>NC_000008.11:8580570-8885051 GCF_000001405.40 Homo sapiens | reverse complement strand
ACACACCCGAGACTTAGTAGCTTCTGCAGAGCCTCTCAGATGTTTGCTGAATGATAGTTTGGTCTTTTTGTGAGAAATAACTTTTTTTTTGGGGGGGTGGGGGCAGGGTCTCACTCTGTCACCGAGGTTGGAATGCATTGGGGCAATAATGGCTTACTGCAGCCTCGACCTCTTGGGCTCAGGTGATGATCCTCCTACTTCAGCCTCCTGAGTAGCTGGGACTCCAGAAACACCCTACCATGCCTGGCTAATTTTTGTGTTGTTTTGTAGAGACAGGGTTTCGCTGTGTTGCTCAGGCTGGTCTCAAAGTCTGCCTGCCTCAGCCTTCCAAAGTGCTGGGATTATAGGCTTGAGCCACCATGCCCTGCCTGAGAACTATCTCTTTTTCTTTGTTATTCACACACTCAGTGAAAATCCCAGGTAGTATTGTAATGATTATCTGGCTTTGTTTAGCTTCCCAACTCCCTCCCCCTCACAGTGTTCCTCCAGCATTCCCATTGTGCGTCTATGACTGGTCTTACCCTTGAATGGGTCCTTCATTTTGACCACTGAAGCAAAGCAAAATTCTTGCCTTATTATATCTAAGTTTTAGAATTACTGGAATTTGAGCATGACCTAGTTGTTTGGATTGAATTAGTCATTGTTTTTAATTTTACAAAGGTTTTTCAATATCTCTTTGGTTAAGCTTTATTAATATTGATGCTTCTTGGCTTTTCTTTTTATGAATAGGCCTCTGAACTCCCTGGGACTTTGTTTTATGTAAAAATCAAAACCTTAATCAGGCACTAGGATAAACAAATACTGTGCAGAATAGAGTTCTAGAAGGCTAGAAAGGCCTTTGGAGTATTTGAATTATTTTAAATATTAGGTGCCTCTTCTTTAAACCCTGGAATAGACTCTTAAGTCCATCTCTGCACAAGTAGTTTAGAATTTCCTAAAGTATTTTTTCTTTAATTTTTTTTTTCTTTTTGTGTGTGTGTGTGTGTGTGTGTGTGTGTGTGTGTGTGTGTTTGTGAAATAGAGATAGGGCCTTTTTATGTTGCCCAAGCTGGTCTTGATCTCCTGGCCTCAAATGGTCCTCCCCACTCAGCCTCCCAAAATGTTGGGATTAGAGGCGTGAGCCACCATACCCAACCAGTATTTTTTATTTAGTGGATATTTTATGTCATACTCTGAGGTTATTCCCCTTTGTCCGTGAAGAGGTGAGGGGCTTTAACTCTGTATTATAGGAGGGGAATGAGTGGGGAAAGGAGGAATTGGACATTTCTGTTTTTCTTCTCATCTACCTATTAACTTGCTTCTATCCATGGGAGCCCTTTCTTTTTTTTTTTTTTTTTTTTTTTTGAGACTGAGTCTCGCTCTGTTGCCCAGGCTGGAGTGTAGTGGCGCTGTCTGAGCTCATTGCAACCTCCACCTCCTGGGTTCAAGTGATTCTCCTGCCTCAGCCTCCCGAGTAGCTGGGATTACAGGCATGCACCACCACGCCCAGCTAATTTTTGTAATTTTAGTAGAAACGAGGTTTCACCATGTTGGCCAGGCTCGTCTTGAACTCCTGACCTCACGTGATCCACCCACCTTGGCTGCCCAAAGTGCTGGGATTACAGGCATGAGCCACTGCGCCTGGCCCATGGGAGCCCTTTTTGATTAAGGACACCTGACCATCCATCCATTAGGGCATCAGAATGCCTGCTGATTTTGTTTTGTTTTGTTTTGAAAACCAGCGGGTGGGTGCAGGCCCAGTACTGCCCTCTCTTGTCTCTGGCAGCCTTGGCGTCCCTGTTCCCTGGGGATGGAGGTCTGCTTTGTGTTTCCAGTCTTTGTGGAAAGCACATCAGGTAGGCTCAGGTCTCAGTCCTCTCTGGTTCAGCTTTTCTTTTCTTTTCTTTTTGTTTTTGTTTTGAGACGGAGTCTTGCTCTGGCGCCCAGGCTGGAGTGCAGTGGCACAGTCATGGCTCACTGCAACCTCCACCTCCTGGGTCCAAGTGATCCTCCTGCTCCAGCCTCCTGAATAGCTGGGACTACAGGGGTGCACCACCATGCCTGGCTAATTTTTGTATTTTTAGTAGACACAGGGTTTCACCATGTTGGCCAGGCTGGTCTCAAACTCCTGACCTCAGATGATCCTCCCTCCTCGGCCTCCCAAAGTGCTGGGATTACAGGCATGAGCCACCGCACCCAGCCTGGTTCAGCTTTTCTGATTGCAACATTAATTGCTGGGGGGTGGTTGTCAGGTTTACCTTCTTCTGGGGGCTGGCAGCCTTCACTTCAGCAGGGAGGGATTAGGAACCCCTGTTTGGCCTGCCTTCTCCAAGGCTGCTCTAGCATGAATGAAGCTGTGCAATGCCTGGCACAGGGCAGATCAGGTAGAAGGGGTCAGAGCAGGTTGGTTATTTTGAAAGAACTCAAACTCTCATTTTTATTTTATTTTATTTATTTTTTTGAGATGGAGTCTCACTCTGTCGCCCAGGGTGGAGTGCAATGGCGCGATCTCAGCTCACTGCAACGTCTGCTTCCCGGGTTCAAGTGATTCTTCTGCCTCAGCCTCCTGAGTAGCTGGGATTACAGGCGTGTGCCACCACGCACGGCTATTTCTTAATTGATGCCTGGCAAGTGCTTTTTTGGTTGTTTATGATATTTTGTTTGTTTGTTTGTTTGTTTGTTTTGAGACTGAGTCTCGCTCTGTCTCCAGGCTGGAGTGCAGTGCCACTATCTGAGCTCACTGCAACCTCCACCTCCTGGGTTCAAGTGATTCTCCTGCCCCAGCCTCCCACGTAGCTGGGATTACAGGCACATACCACCACCCCCAGCTAATTTTTGTGTGTGTTTTTTTTTAGTAGAGATGGGGGTTTCACTATGTTAGTGAGGCTGGTCTCGAACTCCTGACCTCAGGTGGTCTGCCCGCTTTGGCCTCCCAGAGTGCTGGGATTACAGGTGTGAGCCACCATGCTCGGCCTGTGATGTTCTTTATCTTTATGCATTTTAAAGGAAGCCATTGTCATTGTCCCATGTGGTTTTTCTGGTATACATATTCCTGCCTTCCATATCTACCGCCTAATTCTTACAGAAATGGGGGAAGAGTGGGCAAGGGGCACTTAGCAGCAGGATGCAAATGTGCATTTAATGCAGGAGCTGGCCACAGAAAGCCTTCTACCACCTGGCCTTGAGGCAGTGAATACTCCAACCTCCCAAAGCTGATGGTTCACTGGCTGCTGCTTTCTTTTTTTTTTTTTTTTTTTGAGACGGAGTCTTACTCTGTCACCAGGTTGGAGTGCAGTGGCTCAATTCTCCTGCCTAAGTTCAAGTGATTCTCCTGTCTCAGCCTCTCGAGTAGCTGGGATTACAGGCAACTGCCACCACGCCTGACTAATTTTTGTATTTTTAGTAGAGACAGCGTTTCACCATGGTGGCCAGGCTGATCTCAAACTCCTGACCTCAGGTGATCCGCCCGCCTCAGCCTCCCAAAGTGGGATTACAGGCGTGAGCCACCATGCCCAGCCAACATTCTATAGTGGGGAGCATATAGATGGTGAGGAGCGTGAGGTCTGATGGTGGAGGTGGAATAGGTGCAGGAAGGAAGATGTTTTCAGTGGTTCCCGGAAAGTGTGTACAGGTTACACCTGCTGGTGTGAGTTCCTGGAAGGTCATGGAAGGGTGGCTGGCGTAATGCAGAGATGATTGCATGTGTACTCTATATGATGGTGGCTGCGTGGATAACAGTTCCCAGAATCCACTGCTAGCAGGGCTGACTTATTTCTGGAGACCAAGAAGGAAACATTCTGAGTTATTTTTATTTTTGGCACTAAATCCTTCAGAACATTTTTCCTTCCTCAATCTCTTAGCTGAAAATACTGGGGCTTTGTTTATTAAAAGAGTAAATTTAATGAAAAGCTATCACCAACAAGTTTTTTTCTTTTGCTGTAAATTTATAGAAGCAAAGAGTCTAAAAAGTGCACGTTGGAGCAGGAGAAGAATGTGGGCAGAGGAAGACAGAGGCATCGGGTTACTGCTGGTGGGCTTGCAGGGACATTGTGAGTTTGGAGCCTGTTTCACCCATCTTAGGAAGGTATGGGTCAGGCGTGATGGCTCACACCTGTAATCACATCACTTTGGGAGGCTGAGGAGGTGGATCACTTGAGGTCAGGAGTTCGAGAACAGGTTGGCCAATGCGGTGAACCCTCATCTCTACTAAAAATACAAAAATTAGCCAGGTGTGGTGGTGTGTGCCTGTAATCCCAGCTACTTGGGAGGCTGAGGCAGGAGAATCACTTGAACCCAAGAGGCGGAGGTTGCAGTGAGCTGAGATTGCGCCGCTATACTCCAACCTGGGCGACAAAACAAGACTCCATCTGGGGGAAAAAAAAAAAAAACAAAAAAGGAAGGGATGTCCTGCCCTAGACCGACAGCCCCCAGCACCCAGCCTATTGCAAATGGTTTCTTTCACTTTTGCAAATCTGAACAAGCATGCTTGGGAGAAGGGCGAGGAGGCAGGGAAACTGGAGTCATGTTAAGACTACTCTCTGGAGGTTTCTGTTGTGCGTGTGCCATTCTGCCTTTTGGGTGATGTGGCTTAATGAGTCAAGCCCTGATGACTGATGCTGCTTTTCTTCCTCATCTTCCTCCTCCTCTTCCTCCTATTGAGTGAAAGTCACATAATATGAAAAAGCCATTTTAAAGTAAACTATTCCCTGTCATTTAGTACATTCCCAGTGTTGTGCACCTGCCACATCTCAGCCAAGCACCTTTGGAGGGGTGGGGCAGATACATTGGTGTCATTCTTCCTGGGGCCAAGTGACTGGGAATTCTTTTGCCAGGCTTTGTAGCAACTTTCTTTCCAAGGTGTAACTTAAGAGTAGGGGTTTTGGGGCTAGGCCTGGAGATGCCATGTTGATTGGAGATCTTGGACACGGTTGTGGGGATCCTCTTAGTGTGGATGAGAGGACAGAAAGGAGGGCATCCAAGCCTCCTGGTCTGTTCTAGGGTGTATGTGATTTAATGAGGGGTGACATACACGAGCTCCGTAAAGAACACGTAGAAGAGAAGTACAAATAAATGTTGTGTAATTCTTGTCTTCTGCATAGAGCTTTTTTTTAAAGATAAATTTTAAGTTTAACTCCTGGAATGACTGGCAAGACCTAATGAAGGTAGAGTGGCAGCGGGTGGTGATGGTGGCAGTGATACAAATGTAGATGATTACCAGATTAGATAAGTGTCGTCAATCACTGTTGAATACCTGCTCTATACAGAAGTTTGTACTGAACTGGGAGTTCTAGGAAAATAAAATACCTGATCTTGGGCTTGGGGAGCTGTGTTGGGATCTTGGTTAATGTCATTGTTGATTCTTGTAAATACGGAATCTGACCCCATATGGAGAAAATCATTTGCATATTTGAATGTTACTTTGGGGGGAACCCTGGCTTTTGATTTTTCCAGAAAAAAAATGTGATCCTACTGAGCAAAGCAGGCCACAGCTTTGAATTTCCTTCAGATGTATGAGTAGGTGGAAAGTAATGGTCAAGTCCTTCTTTTGAGTTGACTTTCAGTTTGGATTACTTGTTTGCGAGAAATCTCAGGCAGAACTTGTGAGGATGCTGGAAAAAGGAAATTCATTGTATATGAGGATCTCTAAAAACTTCCCAAACGAATCAGCCTTTCCAAGGAAAAGAAATGCCTTTTCTTCAGGAGTCCTTACCTTTTTTTTTTGAGATGGGAGTCTCTCTCTGCCACCCAGGCTTGAGTGCAGTGATGCGATCTTGGCTCACTGCAGCTTCCGCCTCCCGGGTTCAAGTGATTCTCCTGCCTCATCTCCCAACTAGCTGGGACTACAGGCATGTGCCACCACACCCAGCTAGTTTTTTTTGTATTTTTAGTAGAGACGGGGTTTCATCGTGTTGGCCAGCCTGGTCTCAATCTCCTGACCTCAAGTGATCCTCCTGCCTCGGCCTCCCAAAGTGCTGGGATTACAGGCGTGAGTCACCATGCCTGGCAGTAGTCCTTACCTTTTTTGTCATTTATAGACTTGCTCCCATCTGGGGAAGGATTCAAATCATCAGTCATTTCTGAACACCAAAGACTATATGAATGCTGACTCCAAAGACAGCATCCATTAAAGTGCATATCATCATAATAAAAATATATGACTGCTGGATTTCTTTGCTGAGAGATGCTTTGAAGTACTTTTGTACTATTAGCATATTAAATGTTGAGAAAATTAAAGAGTTTAATTTTCTTAGATCCTCCTTATTCCTAAAATGAAGTCTATGCTATTAACATTGTATTAGTACTAGGTTATAGCAGTAGTGAATTTTAGGTCTCTAGAACAAGCCTCCCTCCCTTCCTCCTCACTCTTTCTGTCCTTCCCTCCTTTTTTCCTTTTTTTTTTTCTTTTTTTGAAAAGAAGGAATTTTTAAAAACGCAATGGAAAGGGAAAACATAAAACCAGAAAAATATTTCGCCTGGGTGCCGTTGTTTGACTTACCAACTTTATTATTGTTTTAATATGATTCTTGTTTTTCATGTCATAAAGGTAATTGTGTTAATCATCACATCAGTCTCCCTATTTTTGGAGAAAAATAGAAGAGGTGACAATGTTGACGTTTTCTCATGTTGCAGAGACAGTGCTAAGTGCCTCCTAGGGGTGATCTTATTTAATCCCCACAGCAGCCCTAGGAAGTAGGTATTATTACTGTCTTTGCTTTCAGAAGGAGAAATTGACATTTAGAAATTAAGTGAATTCCCCAGAGTTAGAGAACTCTAGGATATCAGCCCCAAACCTCTGCTCTGACCCACCGTCACTTGGGTCTCAGTTAGGTTGCCATTGATTTCCAGAGTACACCAGCTCACCTCCTCTCCCTTCATATTCTAAGTTCTGGGCAGACAGTCTGGTACTGCACAGGAGCTGCCCGTGCAGAGGTCAGCGGAGGTCATGGTCAGGTGGAGGTAAGGTGGGGAGAGCGCCATCAGGGGTCTCAGAGAAGGGTTCCCAGAAAGGCCACACTGTAGTTGAGTGTCAGAGGATGATTTCTAGTTAACCACCTGAAGAAGGGAGGTGGGTGGAGCATTTCAAGTTAGAATGCCATTTAAAAGGCAGGGAGCAGACAAAGACTTCAGCAGGCCTAGGGGTGGGCATGTGTGGGCACAGATGCGTTTTGCATTTAGAAATTATAGTAAGGGAGAGACTTCTTTGTTTAAATGGCATTCATGGACTGGTAGACACTTGCCAGTGACCCACTGGCCCATCAACTAGAGTTTTAAAAGCATTGTTCTAGCCTGTCCCTTTGTCATTGGGCTGGGCTCTCTTGAGACCTTGGAAGAGATTTATGGCTGGGAAAACGGAAGGGTAGTTTCACATTATTTGCTCAGACTCATAATCAAGTTATTGTTAAGCTGACAGAACACCTGCTCTGCAGAGCCATGTCTAAGCGTGCTGCTGGTCACTTTCACTATGTCGGAGTAGAGGGAGAAGAGTAGCATTGGTTATTCATTCTAACATCAGCCAGAGAGCCGCATGCCTCTGTAATCCCTAGGAATGTATTCCAGAACATCGATTTTCCCTGCTCTAAATCTTACCCTAATAGACCCTGCAATAAAGGCAAATTCGGATCTGACACAATTACCATTTTATTGTGGGCTGTTTAAGTTTCACTATATTTACTTTATGCTTTTTTGTGTGTGACACTACTCACTGACTGAAAATGCCATTTTTATTAAATTTGCATTAATGGAACACCGTAGTTTTTTTTTTTTTTTTTTTGAGGCAGGGTCTCACTCTGTCACCCAGGCTGGAGTGTGCAGTGGCACAGTCACAGCTCACTAAAGCCTTGACCTTCTGGGCTCCAGTGATCCTCCCACCTCAGCCTCCCCAGTAGTTGGGACTACAGGTACATGCCACCATGCCCAGTTAGTTTTTATATTTTTTATAGAGACAGGATTTTGCCACGTTGCCTGGGCTGGTCTCAAATTCCTGGGCTCCAGCAGTCCACTCACCTTGGCCTCTCAAAGTGCTGGGATTACAGGTGTGTGCCACTGCGCCCAGCCCTGGACCACCATGTCTTATGCACTTCATTTGTTGGACACCACTTACCGCACTATGACAGTGGTTTCATTTTTTTTCTTTTTTTTTTGACTGAGTCTTGCTCTGTCATGCAGGCTGGAGTGCAGTGGCATGATCTTGGCTCACTGCAACCTCTGCCTCCTGGGTTCAAGTGATTCTCTTACCTTAGCCTCCCGAGTAACTGGGACCACTATTTAGAAGAGTGATAAGTTTGTGGATAAAAAGTCTTTTCTTCATAGAAGAGGTGGAATACAGTATGATCTCTGTTCATATGAACACCTTATGCTCTTTTAAAAGTACTTTTTCCCCTTTATAAAAACTTATAGGCCAGGTGTGGTGGCTCACACCTGTAATCCCAGCACTTTGGGAGGCCGAGGCGGGAGGATCACGATGCATACACCACTATGCCCGGCTAATTTTTGTATTTTTAATAGAGACGGGGTTTCACCACGTTAGCCACACTGGTCTCGAACTGCTGACCTGAGGCAGTCTGCCTGCCTCATCCTCCCAAAGTGCTGGGATTATAGGCATGTGCCACCACGCCCGGCCGACAACAGTGGTTTCTTGCATCTTATCATCATTTGAGTTTGTCTTCCCTTGCCTGCCAACTTATCAAAGTTTCCTCAATTACATTTAATCAAATCCTAGGAAGTACAAGGTATTTTTAAGTCTTAGGTTATATTTTGTTTGTATTTGCTTTATAGATTGACTTGAAACAGTTGGGATTTTGTGTAGTTTTCAAATTGAAGCATTATAATATGGTGGTTAGTTGCAAGAGCTCTTGGAGTAGACTGCTGGGCTCTAATCCCTGTGCCACTGCTTCTTAGTTATGTGACTTTAGGCATCATAATAGTTTGTGTTGGTTCTGAAGATTGAGTTATATGTGTTAAATGCTTAGAACAATGCTTGACACCTGGCAAGAGCTCAGTAGGAGTTTGCTGCTGTTTCCACCATTCCAGAAGGTACAAGAGTCTAAACATACTTTTAGAAGAGTGATAAGTTTGTGGATCAAAACTCTTTTCTTCATAGAAGAGGTGGAATACAGTATGATCTCTGTTCATATGAACACCTTATGCTCTTTTAAAAATGCTTTTTCCCCTTTATAAAAACTTATAGGCCGGGCATGGTGGCTCACACCTGTAATGCCAGCACTTTGGGAGGCCGAGGCGGGCGGATCACGAGGTCACGAGTTCGAGAGCAGTCTGACATGGTGAAACCCCGTCTCTAGTAAAAAATTGCAAAAATTAGCTGAGCGTGGTGGCACGCACCTGTAATCCCAGCTACTCAGGAGGCTGAGGCAGGAGAATCGCTTGAACCCAGGAGGCAGAGGTTACGGTGAGCTGAGATCGTGCCACTGTACTCCAGCCTGGGTGACAGAGCGAGACTGACTCAAAAAAACATAAAAAATTTGGAGAGTAGAAGAAAAAAAAGTTTCTCATGGTGGGTATCTAAAGTAATCACTACACATTTTGCTCTGTGTCTTTTAGCTTTGTTTCCTCCTTAAGCTTAGGTTTTAAAAATATGTAGTTATAATTGTATAAATAATTCAAATATTGATTTTTTAAACTTATGCTAACATGGATATAATTTCCTGTGATTAGTATTTATACAGTAATTAAAAATGCTTGCATAATAGTACATCAAGGTGATTTTTCACCTTTGTTTATTTAACCTTGTGTTCTTTTTGTTTATCCAACCATTTGTGCTCTTGTTCCCAGTTTTTTTTGTGAGTGATTCTCTGATGACTGTATTTCTTTATAAAAACTCTTTTTTATTTGGGCAGTAATCCCCGAAGTAGAGTCATTGAGTCAAAGGCAAAAAATGTCATTAAATCTCAATGCACGTTTACGTTGCTTCCCATGAGGATGGGCACGTCAGATGCAAGATCTTTTTCACTGTACCTCCTCAACATTGGGTATCATCTATAAAATGCACTACCGTTTAATGGAAACAATATGTCACTGGTGACTGAAGATTTTAACTAGTGGATGTGAACGTTTTCTTGTATAAATGTTGCCTAATTGTGTTGCTTCTTTTCTGAATCCTCTAATAACATCTTCTGGCATCATCTTGGTGGTTTTTCTTTTTTTTTTTTTAATCACAGTGTTTTATCAGTTTATATTAACTCTTCATATATAAAAGATAACCTTTTGTCTATCATACTTAAGGCATTTTTTTCTAGCTTGTTCCCCTCTTTGCTTTAAAAACCTTTAACGTTTTGAAGTTTCAAATTTCATTCAGTATATTAATAGCTTCCTCTGTGATTTCTTCTAGAGCTTAAAAAAACCTCATAACATTTTTCTAAATACAGAGGTGACAGCGGGAATCACATAGTGATTCTTCACCCTTATAACTTTAACTGAAAATAAAAAAAGTGCTATCCATATGTGGATGGTAGATTCATTAGCAAAGCCCCCTTTTTCATAACCCCTCCCCAAACTGTCTCCTCTGTAAAATGTTTCTTGCTGATTTCTTCCAGGGAAAATAAAGCATGTATTTGCATATATTTTAACAGGAATGAGATCATGCTGTACTCCTTGTTCTGCACCTCGCATTTGATCACTTCAAAATATATTTTTGAGATGCCTCCATATGAACAGTTAGAACCCTGTTATAGAAGATTATTATGTGTGTGTGTGTGTGTGTGTGTGTGTGTGTGTGTGTGTGTGTAGAATGTTATAGTATATCCTACAAATATAGCATAGTAGTCTACCAATGGATGTATTGTTCAGTCACACCTATACCGGCAGACCTTTGATCCTTTCCAGATTGTTAAACTAAGTACGTTCTCCACCTTCCAGAGGTGTAAGAAATACTCAGTTTTATTTCCTTCAGGGTTAATAATCCCTCTCTGTGCTCGGAACACTCTTGAGATGCAATTAGAAAAAGACAAATCTCTAAATCAAAGTGGTGGGACCTAAAAAAAGCCTCGAGGGTTATGAAGGCTTCGCTTTGTGATTTGAAACAAGGTAATTTTTTTAAATTGGCTTTGGTGATGTGTATTGGAACACCATTGTTTTCAGCATAATTACGCATTTCACAGCTTAATTCAGCCATTACACGTGATGCAGTGTTTAGACATAGCAATAATTACAAATTGTACATGTTTACAGATAGATATACCGCTGATCAAAATAAAACAGTGGCAGCAAGAATGATGTTCTGTCCATGTAAGAAATCAATGAAATATAATTAAGAACGAACTGTATCTCATTGACTCAAAACATTGCATCTGCCTTTCTGTCCCATCTGTTTTCTAAACAAAAATCTTCCCGCGCTGCGTGGTTGTTTTTATTTGTATCCTAGAACCATCCTCTCGAGTTCCACACCGTTGTATTTTCTACACCTAAGCTTGGTGTGTTCTGCACAGGAAATGTTTCTTGGATGTTTTATCCTCATACCAAGTGGGAATTTAAAATTTAAGAGATTACCCACACTCTTTGCCTTTCTGTACATGTGATGAAGAAAGAGTGGGTGTAACCCAGCACTCTAAAATGTGTTTGACCTGTAAAAAAAAAAAAAAAAAGTAAGCAATTAAATCCTGTTATAGTTGCTTCTGTGTTTAAAACATACTTAATGACGTATATATTTATTTCAAGCTAACAAAGTCCCCAGTCAGGTTCTTGGGAGTTTTTTTCACAGGACTCATTGAAGTGTTTGGTCTTTAAAATCCTTCATTTCATGCTAACTGCCAAGTCAATGCAGACAGTATGGCCGAACAGAGCTGGTCACATTTTCCCTGAACATGCTATTAAAAAATATATTCACTGGGATTCTCTTGACTCATGGCATAGCTGAGGTGACTTTGATTCCGGAGGGCTATTGCTTATGAATTGCATGTGGAAGAACTAAAAATAGAAATGTGAATTTTCCAAAAGAACACTATGATACCAAAAATGGCTCACTGGCTTGCCTAGAGCTGGGCTGTTTTGTGCCCAAGGTACAGTAATAAGAACTGGGATGCAAAGCCCTGTAGGGTGCATCTGTCCCCTTCCCTGACACCCCTCACTCCCAGATGGCTCACGAGTGGCACTGCCCGGTTGTCTCCGTCTCACTCTTGCACGATGTTCTGCTGCCTGTCTGGGATGGAGCAGGTGTTCTTTTGAATGTATTTGTTAAGCCTCTGAAATATATGCATTTCCCCCTCCCCAAGAAAAACACACATGTGCATGCTCTGTGCTTTTCCCTGGTTACTGTATTGTTCCCATCTTTTTTTTTATTTTTATTTTTTCCCTTGGAATAGGGAATATCCACTCATTTTCTATTTAGTCCCTTCAGGAATTTGCCTTAGGGGCTGTTGGGCCAGGCCTCACTGCAGCCAGCCAGAGCTTATCAGCTGTGTGTTAACCTCTCCCAGACACTTCTTGAATGCTGTTCATGCATCCGAGCCTATGCATCTGAGCCTCCTCTGTGTAATGTGGTGCGGCATTAAAAGCTTACCCAAATAGCAGGGATGATTGCATCTTGTTGATTACCAGGGCTGATAACATTTTCTTGCTTAGCTAAAAAGAAAAGCCAGATGACTGTTTCCAGGAAGTGATAAACTGCCATGCATCCGGCCCCAGGTGGTCCGCATGAAGGAAGCTGCAAGGTTGGAATCCTCCTGCCGTCCCCTTTTACAGTTCATAAATCTTCTGATTTATGGGGCCATTTGTGATTGCAGACACATTTATTCATGGGGGGATTTCCATCGAGATCATAACCCACTGTAAAGCAGGAGGAAGAATCAGGAATTAGAACGGTGTACATTCCTCTTTGTTAGAAAAGAATCCCGATTCTTTGGTCATAGACAAATATTTGCTTTTGAAGAATCTGGTGGTGTGTCGCTGGCTTTGTTCATATCCGTGCACAGTCACATGCTCCCTTGCCTCCCATGGACCCAGAAGCTTATGTTACACAGATCGTTTTATAATGCTTGCCATCCGGGCATGTTTATGCAAAGTGTGAATAACTTTTTGCCTTAGCCTCCTCTTCCTTCCTTCTCCCTCCTTTGATTTAGCTCATTTCTGGAATGGGGCAGATTTTCATCTCAGGGAGTTGATACGGTTTCCTAGGTAGGGTGACAGAACAAGTGTCACCTTAGCTGTAGCTAGAGATGAATATTGCCATGCAGCTTACTTGCTTTATATTAAACCAGCATTAGAGAAAGAGGCCTTGCATCTTTTATCAGCAGTATGTTAACCTCTCCCAGGCACTTCTTGAATGCCATTCATACATCTGAGCCCATGCATCTGAGCCTTGGATGTAATTAAATCAGTGGATTAGGAAGTCGGGGGCCTGGACCTCTGGGAAGCCACTTGGCCTCCCTGGGCCTCAATTTCGTCTGTAAATAGGTAAAAATAATTCTAACAGTTCCCAAGCATTTACACCTGCTATCAGAGTCTCCTTAGATGTTGTGAGGGGGAAATGAATGAATAGATGTCAAGTCCCCAAGTAGTTTTTTCTTTGTTTGCGTGTTTGTGATCACTCTGTTGCCCAGGCTGGAGTGCAGTGGAGTGATCTTGGCTCACTGCAACCTCCACCTCCCTGGTTCAAATGATTCTTGTGCCTCATTGTCATGAGTAGCAGGGATTACAGGCATGTGCCACCATGCCCAGCTAATTTTTGTATTTTTAGTAGAAACTGGGTTTCACCAAGTTGGCGAGGGTGGTCTCAAACTCCCGACCTCAAGTGATCCAGCCCCCTCGGCCTCCCAGAGTGCTGGGATTACAGGTGTGAGCCATCACGCCCAGCTGCAAGTAGTTTTTACCATATAATAAGGGCTCAGTAAACATTAGCTCTGATTACCATCATCCTGGTTTACAGATGAGGAGTGGAGACAGAGGAGGGCTAAGTCATATGGCCAGGGGCACACAGCATGTAGCAGAGCCCAGGTTGTCCTCAGGAACCTATGGTCTTTGCTGTCACCCTGTGCTGCTTCTCAGGAAGGCAATAGCTTGTCACCCATTAAAAATGGGTAGTTATTTGAATGAAAAGCAGAATAACCCCCGGAGGCAGAGGTTGCAATGAGCTGAGATTGCACCATTGCACTCCAGCCTGGGCAACAGAGTGACGCTCCTGTCACCAAAAAAAGAAAAAAAGTAAGGACTCCTTGTGTGAAATGCACATGGTTGCTTTTAACATTGCAGTACTGGACTATAAACATTTGCTGGGGATTGGCAGTGACCAGCCATGGGGCAGAGCATGGGGCATGGGAGGGGAGCAAGGCCTTGACCCCGGGAAGCTGCAGTCCAGGGAAGCAGTGTGGACAGTAAGCAGAGATTTGCAGGGCTGTGTAATAAATTCCAGGAGAAAAAGATCTCCAGGGGCTCGGAGAGGCCTGCGGGATGGAATCTGTCTTGATCCACGTGTGTGTGTGTGGGGTGGTTAGATGGATGGGAGGTCTCCAGGGGAGGTGAGTCGTAGGGACTTTCTGTAAAACCAGGGCCCCTGACGTGTGATGGGCTGTACAAATTACTGGCAGCCCAACTATTCATTTATCAATGCACGTCTGTAAATATTTTTGTTTTCTTTTTAAACCTTTTTTGTTTTCCTGGGAGACAGAGTCTTGCTCTGTCATTTAGGCTGGAGTGAGGTGGCGCGATTTCAGCTTACCACAGCCTCAACTTCCTGGGCTCAAGCTATCCTTCCACTGCAGCCTCCCGAGTTAGCTGAGACTGTAGGTGCGTGCCACCATGTCTGGCTAATTTTTTTTTTTTTTTTTTTTTTTTTGTAGAGACAGGGTCTCACTATGTTGCCTAGGCTGGTCTTGAACTCCTGTGCTTAAGTGATCTGTGCATCTTGTCCTCCCGAAGTGCTGGGATTACAGGTTGAACCACTGTACATATCCCGTGTAAATAACTTTTAGCCTATCTATTCACTAGCTAACACTTTTTCACCAGAAGGAACTTCTGGCATCTGGGTGTTAAGCTAAATTAAAGCCTGATGGTTTTTTTCAGAGGGTGAGAGGAAAATACTGAAGGGTCAAATGGGGAAATGTCAAATTTCCATTTTGTCAGCACACTCAGGGCAGCAGTGTGGAAGATGGATTTCAATGGAGTAAGAATGGAGTCAGAGGGACCACTTAGAGGTAATTCAGACAATAATAAACAATAGAGGCCCCCAGGTAGGTCCTTGGGGATGAAGGCAATTGAGTCTTGGATGTTAATGAGGCAGAGTCCTGGGCCTCTCTCCTCCTAGCTCTGAGCTCTTGAACCTTCCCAGGCTCCGGTTTCCTCATCCATTAGACAGAAAGCATGACTGATTTAAGTGTATGTTTCAAGAAAAATTTTAACCACAGCGGGAAGAAGACTGCAGCATGTTTTAAAAAACAGAAAGCGGAAGTGATTTGATAAGATTAATTTCAACAGGACTGATGTGGAACGGCTGCTAGCTTAATTGGTTTATTAGGGTCGTGTAGCCACCCTCTTATGATGGATACCAGGTGAATTCCAGGAGATATATAGTCTTAGGTTTGTAAGCAGTGCCATTTGCAGAGGAATAAGGTTCTTTATTTCTTAAATTTGGAAGGGTCTCATAGAAATAAGAGACTTTATAAATATCTAGTAACCTGTCACCGCTTTAAAATACCGCAAAGATAAATGATGCTGATTGTCGCGTGCTTGGCATGATGAATTATGTATGTAGCGTGCCCCGGAGTTCTTTATGGTTGTGCATAACGAATCAGCTTTTGTTCTAGCTTATTTTCAGTGGTAGTGCTTGTAAAAGCAGAGGTCAAAGCAGATGCACTGAAGAGATGTGGTTGGTGCAGGATGATCGGGTTTTGCTATCCTGTTCTGTGCATTGCTTTTGTTTGTGCTTTGATTTTTCATTATCAACTTTGGGGAGGGTGGGAGAGCAGCCTTGTGGCATTAACAGCTGCATGATGGCACAGAGCAGGCAGCGACTCTTCTTGGTTCATGCACCTCAAAAGCGGCCCTCTTTTTGCCTTCCTCCTCCTCCTCTCTGCACCTGCTTTGCATAGCTGTTAACTACTTTTCCACCTAATAATAAAGGAAATTGAAATAAATGGTTAGGAACATGCCCATAATCTTTTTTCTCACTGACTTTCTCTAAACTCTAGACGAAACTAGAGAGGATTAAGAAATGTAAAACACAGCAGAGAATGTCTTTTTTTTCCTCTCCCTTTTTCTCTTCCCCTAGCAAAGATTTCTTTAGAATCTGAGTGAGATATCAGAGGTGCTGTTTGCATATGAAGTAGCGATGACTATGGGTGGAAGCCAGTTGTAAGGTTGCATAGTCATTTATAACTTCTTTCTATGTTAAGGTTACTACCGACTTTATGAGAGGAGCCTCCCAGACTCAGGTGTCATGCCTGACTCATGAGTAATTCATTAGAGAGGGCCCAAGCCATGTATTTCATTGTGGGTTTGTGAGCGGCCTCATCTTCCATAAGATGCTCATTTGTTGGGCTGATCCAAGGCAAAGATCCGAGTAGTTGGGAGTAGCTCCAAATTGGGATGAGCCCAGGCCTACTGTGCATATCTGTTTGGAAGGGCACATCTGTCTACCAAGGGCTGGTTCCAGTGTATTAGCCGAGTGGCACTAGGTAATCAGTTTACAGTCAGTTTAAAAAAGTTGAGGCTATCCTTCTCGGTGATTAATTATGGCTTTTAGTTCATACTAGATTAAAAAAAATCTTTGCATCTTTGCAAGAATAATCATTAACTTAGTTTGTCTATATTATTAGCCGAAAGATACAACACAGTGCTCATGCAGTGTAGAGAAATGAGATAACATCTAGAGTTTACATGTAAGTAGCTATTTGTCAGGATATTTATTCATTGATTCTAGATTCATAAAGCAGGAGTTTCCAGAGGCCTTGCAGCAAGGAATAAGCACCTGGGAGATTCAACTGAATCCCCCTCAGAGCCTGTGCGTTGGGAACTTGGTCTAGAAAATGGATCAGGTTTGTGCGCTATACCACTTATTATAATAAATGATAAAAGTCAGTCTGGACAGAGTGCCACAGAAGTTCAGGCGAGAAAGAGGATTCTTCCAACTGAGTGGGGCCATGGAAAAACTCGAGTTCCATTTATTAGCGGTAGGAAACACATGTTGAGAATGAAGAATGGAGTTAAACAATTGGTCTTTCCCTCAGATCCCAGGGTTTTTAACCTGTTACTAAAAAAGTATAGCAATTTATGGCCAGGCACGGTGGCTCACGCCTGTAATCCCAGCACTTTGGGAGGCCGAGGTGGGCCCATCACGAGGTCAGGAGATCGAGACAATCCTGCCTAACACGGTGAAACCCCGTCTCTAGTAAAAATACAAAAAATTAGCCGGGTGTGGTGGCGGGTGCCTGTAGTCCCAGCTACTTGGGAGGCTGAGGCAGGAGAATGGCATGAACCCGGGAGGCGGAGCTTTTGGTGAGCCGAGATTGCGCCACTGCACTCCAGCCTAGGAGACAGCGAGACTCCACCTCAAAAAAAAAAAAAAGTATAGCAATTTATAATGTTTGAATTATCATTAGCTTATTGGCGTGTAATAATACTTTGCATACTTTTAAAATTCTGGGGTTGGATTAATAATAAAAGAGTAGAAACATTGTTTTTATAAAAAAAATTTTCTGTGCGACACCTATAGGCAAGTACCTATGGGCCTCCTTTTAATTTTGGACTGTTTTAGGAATGTTTTATTTTATTTTTGGTATCTTAGGAACCATAAGAAGCATACTTTCAAAAATGTGAGGGTATATTTTTAACTTTTGTTATAAAAATGTAACAAAAAGTTTATATGGTGAAGAATTTAGTGGGTTTGCATATGCTGATGACCATTGTGACTTTCATAAAACCCCACAGCCTGTGTTTAATTCCATTTCCTACTAGTACAGACTTGAAGAGCTCAGTCCATCTCCTTTATTATCTTGTTTCCTTTAATCTATATTAATGCACCTTAGCAGTATCAGAAATTTTGTTAATATATTATGTGTAGCTGAACTGTAAGCTAAAAATAGATCATACCAACCCATCTCTCTTTCTCTTTCTTTTTTTTCCCACTGTCACCTTCACATTTATTCTTAGTGACTTGCAAATGATGGGATTACACCTTAAAAATTGTCTTGTATCAGATATGTATTTCCCCATTCTCTAAAGAAGGCTAATTATGCAAGTACACGGTTCTTTCCTGATTCATGAATTCATATCACGATTTTATTTTCAGATTCCTCAAGGTAATTGCTTGTTAGACTGGTTCACAGGATGAGAGATATCCAAGTAGTCATATGAACCGTTTCCGTCCCATTCATGCCATTCTGTCTTCTGCAGAAAATAAGTGAGTCAATCACTGTTTATGAGAATGTGTAAGAGACTGGGGAGAGAGAAGGGACTCAGTGGCCATTTTGTATCACGGATCCTTTTTACTAGGGATAAGAGTGATCCTTACTGGCTGACTGCAGTGGCTCATGCCTGTAATCCCAAAACTTTGAGAGGTTGAGGTGGGAGGATCGCTTGAGCCCAGGAGTTGAAGACCAGCCTGGGCAACATGGCAAAACCCCATTTCTACAAAAAATAAAAAATTAGCTGGGCGTGGTGGTGCATGCCTGTAGTTGCAGCCGTTGGGGAGGCTGAGGTGGGAGGATTGTTTGAGCCAGGGCGGCAGAGGCTACGGTGAGCTGAGATTACGCCACCGTACTCCAGCCTAGAGGACAGTAAGACCCTGTCTCAAAAAAGAAAAAAAAAAAAACAAAAAAGAAGTGATCCTTGCTAAGTTGCCATAGATCCCTGTTCTAGGTTCCCATTCAGCGTCAGAGTTTTATCGTCTGATAAAACAGGGATCAGTTAGAGAGCTTTTCGCAGGCAAAATGACACTGATTTTACTGAACCAATGGTAAAGAGAAGTGCTCCTAGGTTCCCAGGCCCTGTTCTTCTGTATTCTTCCTGCTTAGAAAAAGAGAATAATAAAAGCACTTCAGCTAGGAGTAGAGCTTTCTAAAAATTGGCCAGCCAAATCCCCAGGGAAACCAGGATTTCAGCTTCTCTGTCATCACCTCTGTTTGAGGTTGGCATGCTTTGGCACTTTTTCCGTGGCTGCACTGTCAGGAGAGTAGGCCAAGCCGCCTGAACAAGGAGAGGTGTGGAGGACAGTCATTCTGTAGCTGCAGTAATCCCTGCCCTAGTTTTTCTGCCTTCCTGAGAGAAATAATAGACACCACTTGTTTTACATCAACCAGGCTTCTGACCTTTTTGGACTATGAAAATTAAATTCTTCTAAGACACTAAGTGTTAAATTTGGGACCCAAAAATAGTTGGACTAAGTGGCTGCCTGGTTTAATAGTGGCAACTCAGTTCAGATAATAATTACTAGAAATTTCAAAGAAGTTATAGGAGCCTCACCTTGAGTAGACTAGGATTTGACAGTTGAGTGATATACAATTGTACTTAACAGCCATTTTCTAAAATGAAGTTTTCTGGACAGTAATTCATGTCAAGTGTCATCTGTTGCTTTTCTATGTGATTCCACTTCACCAGGGCTGTCCTGGGAGGGGTCCTTGGTTGTGTTTAGCTTTCATCGAGTTAGGGTAGTAACTCCTAGTCTCCTTCCTCTCCATCCTCTGTACCTTGTGTCTCTTTTCCCATTTCTGATTTTTGTATCCAGGAGTTTCTGATTTTTGCCTTTTGAGTTTTGTTTCTTAAACTAAGTGGAGCTAGGTTTTTATGGGGAAATAATTTCTCAGCCTGTCATCTTGACAGTGAAACATTTCTTTTTTTTTTTTTTTTTTTTTTTTGAGATGGAGTCTCACTCTGTCATCCAGGGTTGAGTGCAGTGGCACAATCTTGGCTTACTGCAACCTCCAGCTCCTGGGTTCGAGCGATTCTCCTGCCTCGGCCTCCTGAGTGACTGGGATTACAGGTGCATGCCACCGTGCCCAGCTAACTTTTTGTATTTTTAGTAGAAATGGGGTTTCACCATGTTGGCCAGGCTGGTCTTGAACTGCTGACCTCAAGTGATCCACCCACCTTGCCCTCCTCAAGTGCTGGGATTACCGGCATGAGCCACCAGACCTGGCCTGAAACATGTTTTTGGTTTGTTTTTTAATCTAGGTGGAAACTAGATACCCTTTCTAGTAACTAATATGTGGTTCATACCTAAAGCCAAAAGAAATCTCAAGTAATTTTTTGGATGAGACAATTTCGGCACCATGTTATATAACTTTATGATATCATCTTATCTGAGTCCTCTCTCTCTCCCTCTCTCCTTCCCTTTCCTTTTTTCCCTAGTGCCTGTAGGTGTGAGTTTAAAGATAAAATGACTGCCAAGTGACCCCAAGTTCAAGGACTTTTATCCTGGCATGCAACTGGAAAATTCAGTTTACATGATACATTTCAAAAGTGTCTGGTGGGTAGCTGGTACAAATGATAGGAAGAGAGTAGCTAATTTTATGCTCATTGTGGTTCTGTAAGATGATGTAAATATATGAGGATTTTAGGAGAAATAAAAAGTGATCTCACTGAAACAGTTATTTGTAGATTGCATTTTGACTTGTCTGAAACACATCAAGGTTAACATAAGAATATTTAGGATATGAATTTGGTCCAAGGAACATTAAAAATATTTTTACTTGGTGATTCTGATAGGAAGACATTGTTTCTACTAATGTGGGAGGGTGGGCAAAGAGGAGGAGGAGTCGGGCAGGGCCATTTTGTTGCTTGGTGTGAATGGCATCCTTGAATCGTGCAGTGGGCGGCCCTCATGGCCAGTAGCAGCAGATTTGGTTGAGCATAGGGGCAGAAAATGGCTTTGTTTTTTTAACTTACCCTTCTGTGTTTATGTTACCAGAACACCAGAGATTTGGTTTAGGTCCTGCTGCTTGCCGCACAGAAAGCCAATCACTGCTGAGACAAGTGTTGCCAGGGAAGAAGGCTTTAATCGGGTACTGCAGCCATGGAGATGGGAGCTCAGTCTCAAATCCATCTCCCTGACCAACTAAAATTGGGGGCTTATATAGTGGGAAGGCAATGTAACTACATGCCGGTAAACAGGAATTAGGAAGGTATAAGGAAGAGGAGTTGGTCAACAGGAAGCTGGTGGTCACTGAGGCAGCCATAATGGGTGAAGGGTCTGGTGTCTCCTTGTCCAAATGCAGTGATCTGGTGAGTTTCAGCTCCTTGATATCTGGGAGCCCTGATGGTTGGTTTTCTGAGAAAGGAATTCAGATAAAACAAATGCAACTTTCTTAAGTTTTAAGACAGGGTGGGTCAATTTCTAAGCTCATTAGAAACTGCATATTAATAGATTAGTTCTGTGAGATGATGGGGTGGGTTTCAGTTACAGGTAAGGGCCAGACTCTTAGTGAAAACAGGCCATGGTCTGGGTTAAGGACCAGTATGTTAGGGAAATGATTCTCTGAGGAAGTCCAAATAGGTAGGAATCAGATGGTCAAAACAGAGGTTAGAAACATTTTAATGATATGGTCTGGAAAAATCTAAGGACTAGAGACCACGGGTGCAAGGGGTTATGGCCAGTGGAACAAGAAAAGATCATACGTGGTAATAAATATAGGTAACAGTCCATTCTGGATGAGGTCAACTGGGCAGGAATTCTTTATGCTCCATCTAGGCAGGAAATACATGGAGGCCTTTGAAGTCCCACTGGCATGTGTGCAAGGAGCCACTGTTAATTTACACAGGAAAAAGGAATGGAGGGAGTAACAGCATCAGTTTGAGGTCCTGTGATATATCCATTGGGGGTGAATTGTCCCACAGTTATTAAATTATTTAAAAATCAGTACTGTATTCTAAGTTACACTGCCTGATTTCAGTGCTTACTTTCCGGCTATAGTAATTAAGACAGTGTAGTATTGGCGTAAGTATAAACAGATAGATTGATGGAACAGAATAGACCCACACATACATGCCCAATTGATTATGGACAAAGGTACAAATATAATTCAGTGAGGAAAGAATATTTTCAAGTGGTGCCAAAACAATCAGATAATTGTATTAATAAAAATGAACCTTGAGTCATTCCTTGTACTATATACACAAATTAACTTGAAATGGGTAATCGATCTAAATGTAAGTGCTAAAAATATACAGTCTTACCAAGGAAGCATAGGAGAAACTCTTAGTGACCTTCAGACGGGCAAAGATTTTTACTGTTAAATAGACTATGTTTTAGAGAAGTTTTAGGTTCACAGCAAAATTGCACAGAAGGCATGAGATTGCCCATCTGTTCCCTGTCCCCACACATGCGCAGCCTCCTCCATTAGTAGCATCCCCAACCACAGTGGGACTGGTTACAATCGATGAACCTACATTGACACAACATTGTCACACGAAGTCCAGTAGTTCACACTAGGTAGGGTTCACTCTTAGTGTTCTATGAGTTTGGACAAATGTGTAATTAGATGTATCCACCGTTATAGTATCATACGGAAGAGTTTTACTGCCCTAAAATTCCTCTGAGCTCTGCCTGTTCATCACCTCCACCCCCTAACAGCAGACATTTTTTCTTTTTAGCATAGAAACTAAATAATTTTTTAGTTTAAGAAATTTTTTTAACTTAATCTAAATTTAAAACTTTGGGTCTTCAAAAGATCTGTTAAGATGAAGAGACAATCTATAGTCTAGGAGAAAATATTTGAAAAATATATATCTGATTAAAAAAAAAAAACCTCTTATAGCTGAGACAACCCAGTTAAACATGAGTAACATATTTTGAATAGAGATTTTCCAAAATATGATACATGAATAGCAGGTAAGTATAAGATGTCAACATCATTAATCATTAGAGAAATGTAAATTAAACCACTAGGAGATACTAGTGCATGTTCCCTAGAGTGGCTAAGATGAAAAAGACTGACCATACCAAATGTTGACGAGGAGCTGTGACAACTGGAGCTTTCCTACGCTGCTCTTGGGAGTGGAAAATGATACAGCATTTGGGGAAACAGTTTGCTAGTTTCATATAAAGTTAAACACATGTTTACTAGCTAACTCAGCAATTTCATTCTGAGTTAATTCACCCAAGGGAAATGAAAATACATTTTAAAAAGATACACAAATGTTCATAACAGCTTTTTCCACAATTGCCACATACTGGAAACAACTTGTCTGGTGCACAGATAAACACATTGTGGTATGCGACATAGCAAGGAAAAGAGATGAACTACTGATAAAGCGACATGGATGACTCTCAAAAGCATTATGCTGAGTGAAAGAAGCCAGTCGAGTACATATTGTATGACTCCATTTATATGAAGTTCTAGAAAAGGCAAAACTGATACACTGTCAGAAAGCAGGTCTGGGGCCGGTGGTATGGGGAAGGGATTTACTGCAGAGGGGTACAAGAGAACCTTTTTGTGGTGACGGGAATATTCTACCTCATGACTGTAGTGGAGGTTACGAGACTATATCTGTCAAAATGCATCAAGTTCTACGTTTAAAATTGGTGAATTTTATTACACGTAAAATGCCTTTATTATATCTTGTTAATTTAAAAAATAAGTTTTGATTATACGATTTCCTTAGATGTCCTGAAACATGCTGTTTTCACACTAATTTGGTATATACCTTGTGATTATATCCTTTGTATATGAATATTGTGGTAAGTGGAACATTGTTGTTGGAGATATATCCAGATTTTCTACCTTAGTTTGTGTGATTGATTATATTCTGTTAGACTGAACCACATGAAATTGTTGATATCCAATCATTCTTGACCTACAAAAGCAGCAATTTCACGTGGCATAAGTATAGTAGAAATTTTGTTTGCTTTTTAATTCATTGGAAAGACTTGGCAATGGTCACATCTCGATTGTGAAGTTTCAAGGATTTTGTAAGACACAAGGCCTGAGTGTTCTGTTTTACATTACATGTTTTATTTTGCTTTAATTCAGTTCGGTAGATGTTTTATATATGTCTACCACTTTTCAGGCATTCTACTTGAAATTACAGTGGATGAATGTAAAGATGAGTTTGATATTACCTCAGCCCAAGAAACGTTAAGTGATGAAATTAAAAGGCACGTGTAGACTTTCTGTCATAATCGCTAATAGGGACTGTGAAATAGAACTCCCAGTTCTTGTCATGTCCATTGCAGTGATTATAATAAGGTATTTGGGCTTTCATAGTGATGAAATAAGTGGTTGTGGGTTTGTATACGTATGTATACATAAATATGTATGCGTATGAGCCCAGAAGAAATGGAAACGAGACCAATGATTTAATTTGCATGAAAATTAGAACTGTCTGCCAAGAGCAAACATCTCTCTCACCCTTTTTCAAGAGAAAAAAAGGTCTTGTAGTTTGGCATGACTCAGTGGATGACCTCACACTGATTCTCCTTTAGTTATTGCTTGAATGCGTGGAGCCCTCAGTCCTAAGTGAGGCGGTCTGGGTGATGTTATGGCATTTCATTTGGGAAAGCGGCTGTCACTTCATCCTTAAGCCTCCTGTTTGCTGTGATGGTGGCAGAGCCACTCTCAGCACCACAGGAAGAGCCCCGGGGAATTCCTGAAGACACATTCTAGAGAATCCGGTACAAGTGTATGTAGGTTGGTCACCTTGATGCCTTATTTTCTCAGGCTTCTAGTAGAGATGCATGCCAGCAAAATGGAAAGGAACAGAGGGCGTTCTTGAAGTTTCCTAACTGGCGTATTTTCTCCTTCTCTTTTTCTAATAATTAAGTACAGGGGACTGAGAAGGCAGGGGTTGTTGTTATTTTTACATGGAATGGACCTAACCTAGCAGTCAGATGAGATTGTTGACGCGTAGCACAGTCTGTTATCTTTGGGCATCTGCCACCAAAGAGAGTGTACCCAAGAAGGGCTGTCGTGTGAGTGGGATGGGTTTCCATCTTTTGTTCTGTGCTCTTTCTGTGGAATCTCAGGCCTGCGTGTGCTCCCTCTGACCGTACCTTGACTCTTGATGAAGGATTTGCAGCCCTGAGAGGGAGCAGGCAGACCCAAATTAATTATTTCCATTTTTTTTGTGGCACTGTGGGACAATGGGAGAGAATACAGGCTTTGGAGCCAGCCAAATGTGTTTCAGATCCTAAATCCTCCACCTAAGGTATGCAGTCCTGATGGGTAAGTTATTTTAATTTGTTTGAACTGCCACTTAACTGAAAATGGGATTAATACCAGATATCACTTAAAATTAGTAAAAAATACAGTTGACCCTTGAACAATGCAGGCATTGGGGGCACCGACCCCCCATTCAGTTGAACATCTAACTTTTGACTTTGCAGAATTTAACTACTAATAGCCTACTGTTGACTGGAAGTCTTACTGATAGCATTAACAGTCAATAGCACATATTTTGTACATTATAGATATTAGATACTATATTCTTACAATATAGTAAACTAGAGCAAAGAAAATGTTACTGAGAAAACCGTAAGGAAGAGGAAATATATTTACTGTTCCTTAAATGGAAGTAAATCATCGGTGAAGGTCTTCATCCTTGTCATGTTAAAATTGAGTAGACTGAGGAGGAGGAAGAAGAGGAGGGGTTGGTCTTGCTGTCTCAGGCATGGTAGGGGTGGAAGAAAACTGTCATATAAGTAGACCAGCACAGTTCACACCCGTGTTGTTAAACGATCAACTGTATTTTATTAAGCTGTCTTTGAATAGCACCAAGTATCTTAGTGTATGAGAAGGCCTCTGAGAAGTTCCACAGTTAGGAAACATGGTGAACTTTTTTTTTTGGTGTGAGGGGCACAGAGTCTTGCTCTGTCACCCAGGCTAGAGTGCAGTGGTGTGATCTTGGCTCACTACAACTTCCACCTCCTGGGTTCAAGTGATTCTCCTGCCTCAGCCTCCCAGGTGGCTGGGACTACAGGCGTGTGCCACTACACCCATGTAATTTTTGTAGAGACGGGGTTTCGCCATGTTGGCCAGGCTGGTCTCGAACTCCTGACCTCAAGTGATCCTTGCATCTCAGCCTCCCAAAGTTTTGGGATTACAGGCATGAGCCATCACTACCAGCCGTGGTGAGCTTTGTTTAACCAAGCATTTTTCAAACTTATTGACTGAAGAATCTTTATGTGTGTGTGTATGTGTGTGCATATGTAAGAAGTAACATCCGCTGGAGCTGGTATTGTGCAGAAAATATGTTGAGAAATATAAAACAGATATCTGGCTTGTGTTCCTCTATATAGTCTTTTTTGACTGAGAATGCTTTATCCTTGTTGTTACGGATATTTTCACTTTGTTTATTTCTATTTTGGTCTGAATCATGAGTGTAGTTGATCCTTGAACAACATAGATTTGAACTGCTTGGGTCCACCTCGACGCCACCTGTGCATACGGAGGGCTGGCTCATCTCATATGCAGGTCCCGAGGGCCAACTTCAGGACTTTATGCATAGATTTTGGTGTGCTGGGGATGGGGGCCCTAGAACCCAACCCCCCATATATATACCGAGGGAGGACTGTCTATTTTTGTTTTTTACCTGTGAGGCCATCGCCACAATGAAGAGAGTATCCCCCAAAAGGCATATTTTTAATATAGTTGTAATTATAGCATTGCATAATCGTTTTCAGTAACATAGGTCTCATCTGTTGCTCTAGGTCTTAGTAAAATAAATCACTCTTGTTGAACCCTTCCTAGGCTCCAAAACTGGATGGGCCATTTAATATAATTTTAAATATTAAATTTAAATTTTCTTTCATTTATTAGAATTTTCAAAGGGTAATAATGTTATATATTTAGATTTTGATGACATGGAGACATCTGAGACTTGCTTAGTTTTAAAAAAGCAAAATTTATGTCATACAGCTCTTGTAAGGACTGAATAAAATAATGCATATAAAAATGCCTAAGACAATGCTTGGCATGTAGTGGGCACTTACTAAACAATTTCCTTCCTTCCCTTGCTGGCTTCTTAACTACTCCCTGCCTTGTATACCCCCTGTGCTCCGTCCCAATTTCTGTTCAGATACTAGACAGATGGCTGTTGCTTTGGGATAGGTCAAAGGCTGTCAGGCGTGGAGGCAGGCAAATGACCCAGATCAGTGAACACCAGTCATTGTCTCAGAGCATTTTGTTTTGTTCAGCTCAGCTATTTGAATCATCTTGGATTTTCTCATTTGTTTAGAAAAAGGTTTCCCCAAAATTGGTGGTGTTGGGTTCCTGATAGCAAAATGTATCAACAAGTGGGCAGTCAGCATATGGAATTTGCCCAACTCTACAGGGAAACTTGCTTTAGGTATTTTAAAAGTTAACTTGTCAATGTCACTGTAGGACAGTTATATATCTACTGAGTTTACAAACAAAAGATTTTTTTTTGTTTTTTTTTTGAGACGGAGTCTTGCTCTGTTGCCCAGGCTAGAGTGCCTTGGTGCGATCTTGGCTCACTGCAACCTCTGCCTCCCGGGTTCAAGCGATTCTCCTGCCTTAGCCTCCTGAGTAGCTGAGACTACAGGCACCCGCCACCATGCCTGGCTAATTTTTATATATTTTTTGGTAGAGACGGGGTTTCACAATATTGGCCAGGCTGGTCTCGAGCTCCTGACCTTGTGATCCACCTGCCTGGGACTCCCAAAGTGCTGGGATTACAGGCGTTAGACACCGCGCCGGGCCTGAACTCATTTTTAATTAGAATTCTTATTATTTCAGTGGCTGAATGGAGGAAAAAAGAAAGGACCTAAGCCCAGAAAATTCACAGGTTTGTTTCAGGGTAGAAAAATTTGGCATATTTTGGCCTGGAAGATATCTCATTATGGAATCAGAAATCTGAAAGGGATATTAAATTAGGAGCAAACTTGTGCTGTGTTGGTTAACCACTGAAAGTTGCATTGGCAGTTTAGTAACTAAACAATAGGGCCACACGCGGAATTTATTGATGTCTCATGAACTTTCTGTTTAAATCTTTATTGCTTTGAATTGATAGGCTTCTTTTTTCCCTTCCACTTTGCTTAAGGGACTGAATCTGTTTTTGGCATTCTAAGACTCTTTTTAGAATTTGGCAGTGCCTCTCTAGGATGTTTTCTTCTGCACTGCCTCCAAAACAAAATTATGAACAGCCTGGCTCTTTCGGTATCTCTCCTCTTTTTTTTTTTTTTTTTTTTTTTTTTTTCACTTTCCTGATGTGAAAGTGTCAGGTTTTGAGCCAGTTTGAAAGATGAGAACTAGAATATATTTCTCTTTCTGATCTAGAGAATCCTAGTGGCTTCTAGGGCAGTGTATAAACAAAGCCCTGTGGCTGCAAGGTTTCCCGTGTGCAGCAATAAACTGATACATGCCGGTGACAGGAATCTGGCTCATGGGCTTGAAACCATCCATTAACTCATTAATTGACCAGACATCATGGGGGTCTGCTGAGTGCCATGGGGATGCTCTGTGCTGGGAAAGATGCAAAGATGAATAGGCTAGGAATAAAAGACCAATTTCATTTTTTAATGTGTCAGTATTTTTAATATTGAAATGTAGGACCTTGCAAGTAAAATACTATTAAGCTAATTTCCCAATTTAGAGTCTTTGAATTATTGTCTTGGATATTAAATATATTCAGTGTTTCCCACCAGTGGATCCCAAAGCCTCACCTGATATGTTTGGCAATTGTCAGGCCCTCTTTTTTATACTCCAGAGGAATTCCAACAGGAAATATGTACACACCATCCCTTACCTCCCTTGCTTCTTTTCTTTTCTGCGTCCTACTTTGTTTGATCTTGAAATACGGGGAAGTATCTTCTGGGCAAGTGCTGTTTCTGTGCCAGGCTGTGCAGGTCATGCTTGCCCCAGTGCCATGAGAAAGACACTCGAGTGAGCTCGGGACAGATCTCTCCAGCACTGTCCTGGCTTGACCCCACCTGACCAGTGACTCTTGTACCATGCCCAGCTCCTTTGGCTGCTGGAGCAAAAAGATCTAGGGAGTTTGTTTTCCAAATAAGGGCCCCAGATCTTACTTTCAGAGCTGTGCATGTGAGGAGTTCATGGGGAATCCCTCATCTCAGCAGACATGGGGAAGACCGTCTTCTAAACTGTAGTTCTGAAACAGGTAAACATTCAGTCCCCGCTCGCTTTCAAAGCACAAAAGTGAGGAGGCTTATTTGGCATTGAAATAACTGAGCATCTTTTCTCATCTGTGTTTCTGAATCTGTTATGGCCAGTGTTTTATAACCCCCTTCACATTACCTTGTCAGTAACTTGCTTCAGATGAAAATAACGGCAGAAAGCATAATTTTTTGTTTTTTTCTTTTTTGAGACGGCGTCTCACTCTGTTGCCGAAGCTGGAGTGCAGTGGCGTGATCTCGGCTCACTGCAACCTCAGCCTCCCAGGTTCAAGTGCTTCTCCTGTCTCAGCCTCCCAAGTAGCTGGGATTACAGGTGCCTGCCACCATGCCTGGCTAAATTTTGTATTTTTAGTAGAGAGTAGGTTTTGCCATGTTGGCCAGGCTGGTCTTGAACTTCTGACCTCAAGTAATCCACCCGCCTCGGCCTACCAAAGCGCCAGGATTACAGGTGTGAGCCACCGTGCCTGGCTGAAAACACTGTAGCGAGTTCATGAATCAGGATTAAAGAATCTGTGGGATATATAGAATGATAGAATAAATTCTATAACGTTCATTTTCATTGTGCAGGATGGAGACATTAGTGTGCATCTCAGTTAGGATTTAATTGCTCCTTCCCTGTGTTCTTGAAAGCGCTTGGAAAGCGCCTCCAATCCTCCATTGTATGATTCTAGTTCAGGTCTGGCTCTTTCACCAGACAATGAGCTCCTGTGGTAAGATGCCATGTCTTAATTCATCTGTTTTCCGCTTGTCCTAATACAATGTTAAGATTGCCAGATAAAATACAGGATGTCGGCTGAGTGTGGTGGCTCACGCCTGTGATCCCAGCACTTTGGGAGGCCGAGGCGGGTGGATCCCCTGAGCCCAGGAGTTCGAGACCAGCCTGGGCGACATGGCGAGACCTCTCTCAACAAGAAATAAAAAATAATTTTGGTATGCTGGGGGTGGGGGCCCTAGAACCAAACCCCCCATATATACTGAGGGAGGACCACGACTGTGGTCCCAGCTTCTTGACAGGCTGAGATGGGAGAATCACTTGAGCCCAGGAGATGGAGGCTGCAGTGAGCTGTGATAGTATCACTGCACTCCAGCGTGGGGTATAGAGTGAGATCCTGTATCAAAAACAAAGAAACAAACAAACAAAACCCCAAAAACCCAAAACCAAAAAAACAGGATAGCCAGTTAAATTTGAATTTCAGATAAACAATAAAGTGTTGCTTATGGGTGGGTCTCATGTATACATCTATTCTTACATCTGAATTTCACGTAAGCAACGAATAATTTTTAGTGTAAATATGTTCCATGTGATGTTCTGATTTAGTCATAATACATATTTTTTTCTTTCTTCCTTTTTTTTTTTTTGAGACAAAGTCCCCCTCTGTCATCCAGGCTGGAGTGCAGTGGTGCAATCTTGGCTCACTGCAACCTCCACCTCCAAGGTTCAAGCAATTCTCATACCTCGGCCTCCTGAGTTGCTGGGACTAGAGGCATGCACCACCTCACCTGGCTAATTTTTTTTTTTTTTTGAGACAGAGTCTCGCTCTGTTGCCCAGGCTGGAGTGCAGTGGTGCGATCTCAGCTCACTGCAAGTACGGCCTCCCGGGTTCACTCCATTATCCTGCCTCAGCCTCCGGAGTAGCTGGGACTGTAGGCGCCCACCACCAAGCCTGGCTGATTTTTTGTATTTTTAGTAGAGACGGGGTTTCACTGTGTTAGCCAGGATGGTCTTGATCTCCTGACCTCTTCTTGACCTCCCAAAGTGCTGGGATTACAGGCGTGAGCCACTGCACCTGGCCTAATTTTTATGTTTTTAGTAGACACGGGGTTTCACCATGTTGGCCAGGCTGGTCTTGAACTCCTGACCTCAAGTCATCCTGCCACCTTGGCCTCCTAGAGTGCTGGGATTACAGCTGTGAGCCACCACACCCAGCGTATATTTTTGTTTTGTAAATTGGGCAACCTTATACAATGCCCATGACTTACAAAGGATTTTTTGCTCCTAAATCAGTGTAATTTAATAATGTGAACACAACTAAGACAAATCAAGGTGTTCATGGAGTTGGTTGGTGTCTTTTATGGAATGCAACATGGGAATTGGAAATAGTAATTATCCACCTTCACCAGTGTGTTAGTGAGTATGGACCATTTAACCTACAACAGTTGGATAACCTTGACAATAGAAATAGGTAGCTAAGCCAGGGGTGGTGGCTCCTAGTACTTTGGGAGGCCGAAGTAGGGGGATCACTTGAGGTCAGGAGTTCGAGACTAGCCTGCCCAACATAGTGAAACCCTGTCTCTACTAAAAACACAAAATTTGCCAGGAGTGGTGGCGCATAGCTGTAATCTCAGCTACTCAGGAGGCTGAGACAGGAGAATCGCTTGAACCCTGGAGGCGGAGTTTGCAGTGAGCTGAGATTGCGCCATTGCACTCCAGCCTGGGCGACAGAACAAGACTCCATCTCAAATATATATACGTAGCTAGGACCTGACCTAATGGTTGTACCCACACTGTTTGCCTTGTACGTGCCAGGCACTAGCAATCTAAGTTGTGTGTGGTTTTTTTTTTTTTTTTTTTTTTTTAAGAATGAGCAGACACCTTGTGCGATTGTCCAGGTTAACTAACAAAAATAGTTGTCTGGGTTTATGGAACTGTAATTACGAGTCAGATCCTGGTTCCCTTCCGCTTTCTCTGCTATTTCTGGTTGCTCCTTTTTATTCCCAAAAGGTAGAAAGGGGCAGGTAGGACAGGAGCTTGCCGCCTGTTGAACTAGAGGGAGTAGCTTCCGAGCAAACTGTGACAAAATGGGGTATTTTAAGCCTCCATTTTTTTTGGGGGGTATGTGAGTGTGTGTGTGAGTCGGTGTATATGTACACAGTGCAAGTAAATAAGCCTGAGTGGGTGGCAAGAGCCTTGTTTGTGTAGTAGGAGAAATGGAGCCTGCAGGGGCATAGTCGGGGTCTTGAGAGCAGACACACGGACTGAGCCAGGCAGTTGCTGCTGAGAACAGAATCAGGACCTCCTGCTTCCTTTGGGTGATATTGGGTTTTTTAGGCCACCTTCCCAGCCACAAAGTAGGACTCTGAAATACATCCGGGTATAAATGTTCTTATGGAAATGCAATCACTTCTGACTTTAAGTATGTAGAAGTGAGGGCTCATACCCTTCTCCCAGAATGTAAATTTGACTCATCGGGGCTAACAACAATGATAGCCTAATATAAGAAACTGTTTACCGGACTCTGTTCTGATGTCAGCCAAGCTAGAGCTTTGCATGGTGGGATGCTTTCTCTTGGCTGTGCCCTATTAGGGAAGGCAAAAATAGAAAGCTTTTTCTCTGGACTTCAGAACGGAATTAATGCATGGTTATTAAAAGCATCAATGGCAAATGGCCATGGAAGTCAGAATCTCAGCCTTAATGAAGGGCGATGGTGTCCACAGAACCAATTATTTTGCAAAGAAATAAAATAATAAAATCCTCCCATTGGTTTTAGAGTGGCTGAAACCAGCAGGCACCAGGTCTAAACCCTCTTGTGGGTGTGTGTGTTTGTGTGTATGTGTGTGTGTGTGTGTGTGTGTTTGAGAGAGGGTCTCGCTTTGTTGCTTACGCTGGAGTGGCGTGATCTCAGTTCACTGCAGCCTCCGCCTCCCAGGTTCAAGCGATTCTCTTGCCTCAGCCTCCCAAGTAGCTGGGATTACAGGTGCATGCCACCACACCCAGCTAATTTTTGTATTTTTAGTAGAGATGAGGTTTCACCATGTTGCACAGGCTGGTCTCGAATTCCTGACCTCAAGTGATCTGCCCGCCTCGGCTTCCCAAATGTGATTACAGGTGTGAGTCACCGCACCTGGACATTGTGGTATGTTTTAAGTACTCACGCTAATGACATTTATACCTTGCTTGGCACTCCTGAAACCTCAGCTCTCTGGAGGACAGAATATCTGCTAAGGGTGCGACTCCCATGGTGCTGGAGAGGGGTCTCCTTCGAATGGAAGCCGGCATTCCACCACCCACTCCCTATGTATCCAAAACTGGGCTTGGCATCGCTGTTCCTGAGGGAGCGCTCTGTCCTTATTAGGGATCCGCCTGGTGACCTCAGATTTACACTTAAGCTTCAACTTTGTTGAGGGAAAACATTTTTTCTCTGTCACCAAGAGAATGGAGAACACTGTGATCGCTTTTCAAGTCTCACCTGCCAGGAAATCTTTATTTTGCGGGGGGCATCACAACTTCCTCTTTTTCCATGTACCTTAGTTTACTATTACTTTAAGTGTTTTGGTTGGATTAACTTCCTGTATTTGTTCTTATTTTAAATACATTCTTTAGTTAAAGTGTTACTCAGTGAATGGAAAGAGAAAAACAAGGCAAGAGGAAGGGGTATAATATGAAAGAATAGAGTTTTGTTTCCAGTTTTGTTTTGCAACAGTAGATAAGAACTGTAAACTTTCTAGTCCCTGGTTTTTTAATAGTATATGGAAACACGATTTTGTTGTACTACATGGTAGGATGAATTTAATTAAGCTGCCAAGCAAACTTGTTGATTTAGATAACAACTCCACACGTAGAGTTTGAAGAGCCTGTTTTGTGGTATCTAGACCTCACTTTTAAGAGTATTTCCCTGAACCTGTCCATGCATTTCTGAGACGTTTGTGTGCTGACTGTTTGTTTTATGTTTGTGCAAAGCCTAGTGTCCTACTGACTTGTAGGGACTCATTGAAATGGCAGAAACTGTGTGCATTTTAAGTGCTGGAGGAATGCTAAATATTAATATTTGGGATCAACCACAAAATATAGTTTCTATTTATAAGACACCCAAGACTAAATAAACTGTAGGACAAATGAAGTGTGCACATTCTTTTTGGTAACATTCAGCATCCTGAAAACCACCAAGGGTTAGGAAAAAGAGAAAAATGTATTTTTCATCTTCTGTAATTCATCTAGCCTTGGGATTTTCTCCTAACCTCTTGAGGCACGCTTATATACGTGACCCTATGTAAGACTTTTGGGTGATAAAGTCGAGGAGATTCACTAAGGAGGAACAGAGCAGGTGTAGTGCCCAGGGTGGTAAAACCACAGATGGAGCTATGGGGTGAATATGGAACCTGCTAGCTGGAGATGGGGAAAGAGAAGAGATCGCTGAGATTACGTGAGTGTTGAAGGGTTAGATGAATTGGTGTGTAGCGGGTGCTGACCTGATCTTTCTGGGTGTTCTGATTTTTTTTTTTTTTTTTTTTTTTGAGACGGAGTTTCACTCCTGTTGCCCAGGCACGATCGCCACTCACTGTAACCTTCGCCTCCTGGATTCAAGCGATTCTCCTGCTTCAGCCTCCTGATTATAGGTGTGCGCCACCAAGCGAGGCTAATTTTGGGGTTTTTAGTAGAGACAGGGTTTTGCCATGTTGGCCAGGCTGGTCTCCTGACCTTAGTGATCCACCTGGCTTGGCCTCCCAAAGTGCTGAAATTACAGGCGTGAGCTACCGCACCCGACCCTGGGTGTTCTGATTTTATATTTACTAATAAACTCTGTGGCTTTGGACATTTCAGAGGCTCTGGTTCTATCTCCTAATCTTTAAAATGAGAAGCTGGATGAAATGATCTCTAAAGTCTGTTCCAATTTAAAAATTCTGTCGTTTGCTAGGAAAATATTAGCACCACAGTCTATCTCTCTAATATGGGAAGTTTTTTCAGATTGGGTATCAGTGCTATTAAACATTTAATAAAAAGTGGGAAATTATTAGTGTGTATTGTCACAGACATGTTAAGCTATTTGCATTTTAATGAATGAAAGAGAACTTTAACTGTTAACATTTACCAAGGGGTGTAGCTGAGAGTTAATAGTTTACAAGGGGTGTAGGTGAGAGTTAATGGTTTATAAATGTTAACTAGTTTAATAGCTGTTAGTTGCCTCGGGATTTAAAGGTATACACACTGATTTTTGGTTTTGGTAGCCTCAAACCTAGTCAAGAATCATACAAAATTATCTTCATTAGAACAAGCATAGTATTAGCCATCAGTGCTATGTAAGGTAAAGATTTCAAACTCTCTCTGAGGCTTCATTAAATTCCTTTGCTTTCCTGAAAGTTTCTACCATCCTGAGAAAGTCTAGCAGCTTCTTCAGAGACCTGGTTGCTTTCTGTCTCAGAATATTTAAAGGAAAGTACATTTTCTTAAAATGGAGTTTTCCCTGGGTCATACCAGGCAATTAGGGCTTTGAGCCATGAACCGTCTTCAGGATTTGGTTCCCTCTGAGAGAAAGGGAAAGGAGATAACTTTTGCCCTTGCTAGAAAGTAAAGCTTATCTACCCTTACCTGTTTGAAGTTTAGACAAATAGTTTATTTATACAAAAGCATAGTTTCCCTTGACCACAATGAAGTGTCCACTTGGACTGCTCATTTCTTGACCAGGAGACACAAAATGCATTTTCAGCCCAGGGGAGGCTCTTTGGGGCCACAGTTGGACTGAACAGGACCGCAGCTGTGAAGGTCTAATTTGCAACTGGCAAATATCTTTATAATAACCCCACGTTTCTTACTGACACAGAATACACACACGTGTAAGTGCACACACATTATGCACATGTGGGGTGGTGAAGGCAGAAAATCAGTGAACTGAAATTACTTGCTGCAAGTATTACTTTCTGCAAGGCTTTCAGAATTACTTGCTACAAGGCTGGGTGCGGTGGCTCACACTTGTAATCCCAGCACTTCAGGAGGCTGAGGCAGGCAGGCCACTTGAGGCCAGGAGTTCAAGAGCAGCCTGAACAACATGGCAAAACCCTGTCTCTATTAAAAATACAAAAATTAGCTGGGCATGGTGGCTCACGCCTGTAGTCCCAGCTACTCGGGAGGCTAAGGCAGGAGAATCGCTTGAACACGGGAGGCAGAGGTTGCAGTGAGCTGAGATCGTGCCATTGCTCTTCAGCCTGGGCAACAGAGCTAGACTCTATGTCTCCAAAAAAAAAAAAAAAAAAAAAAAAAAAAAAAGGTAAAAAGGAATTAATTGCTGCAGAGCTGTTCTTTGCATTGTGTACCTTTACCCTGCTAGTGGGAGGAAGTGGTCAATTCCATCATGTAGCAATTTAAGAAAAAAGTAAGTATAATAGTGTTTTGAATTCAGAAGTAAATCCCTCTTCCTACCTTCAGAAGAAAAAAGGTAACTTGATTTAACCAGTTTTTAAAAACACCAGCTTTGAGAACGGAAACCGACTTCGCACTGTTTGATTAAATTGGTTCTGTGGCTATTTAATTCATTTGTGTTAAGTAGCCTGTGGGCCGACTGCTTGCCATAGCAGTCTGTGTTTTTCATTTGTTTGCTTTAAAAAACACGTCCTAATGTAAGGACCAAAATCTTTGTCCATTCTCTATTGAGTACTCAATTTATGGTTTAAAAATAACTACCTCTTGCGAGATCTGATTGTTTAAAAAAAATTAATAACTGCCCAGCTCCGTTAGTAGTAAAAGGGCTTGTCTTTATCTCATGAAGTATTTTAATTCAATTTCCAGTTAAATGATCAGGGGTTTTTGAGTTCTGCCTGAGCCGTTTGCCCTTTACGTGTGTCTCTTTATGTTAATGGCTTTCACTTTTATTCCTTTGCCTGCAGTGGAGAGGAAAATGAAGTGGGATGGCATGGCTTCTTTTTTTTTTTTTTTTCTTCCTCTTTAGGCCTGACTGGCCCTTTTTAAAATGGAAAGTAGAGGCACTCCCTCCAAATGGCTAACACGGGTTCAGCGGTGTGTAAATTGGAGTCATAATCCCTTCTTTGAAGACTAGGAGGAGGCTATTATGATAAATGTTGGAGAAATGATTAAAGAGATGAGAACAGCAGGATGCAGATGGCAACTGCAAACCCTGTGGTGTCAGGTGGAACACTCTGGGAGCTCGGCTAAAAGGGACAGAGAAGCAAAGGGACTAGCCAGTGCAGCCCTGGGCGGGCTGGGTGGAAAGCAGCCGTCCCAGATGATTGTCCCAGCAGTTCAGTTGCAACCCAGTGTCTAGGCTGTGCTTTGTTTTTTCTCACCTTTTATCCTAGGATGGGGAAAATATCCCCTAACAGGGAAGGATGTTTGGATAGTGTTTTTAATGTTACATGTGTGCATCACAGCAAGTATACTGCCTCTTTCAATATTTACAAATCTTTTTTTAAAGCATAACTGTGGTGTGAAATTGAGGTTGTTCAGCAACATGGGCTATACCAGATATTGATTAGACTAAGCTGAGCATCCCTTAATGAATGAATTGACTTTAAACACCTGCTGTCTGAAGCGGTTGGGAATAGAAACTCTCCTATCACTGTTGATGATAAAATGGAATTTTAGTTCATACACATTTTCTGAAGGTCCAGAGTGTGCAGGGAATTTACTGCAAAATTGTTTTATACGTCTGTCATGAGATGTCTTCATCAGGTAGTTAGTAAATGACAATTCTAAGCATAGGGCTCTTTTTATTTCTTAGTATATAACCACCAGCTGTCTTATCAATAATGAATTTCCATTCTGTCTTTTGTCAAGTAGATCCTGCCTGCTTCTGAGTAGATCCTTTCTGCTTCTTTGTTTCTTAAGATATTTCTGGCCGGGCGTGGTGACTCACACCTGTCATCTTAACACTTTGACAGGCCAAGGCAGGTGCATCACCTGAGGTCAGGAGTTTGAGACCAGCCTGGCCAACATGGTGAAACCCCGTCTCTACTAAAAATACAAAAATTAGCTGGGTGCGGTGGCACATTCCTCTAATCCCAGCTACTCAGGAGACTGAGGCAGGAGAATCACTTCAACCTGGGAGGTGGAGGTTGCAGTGAGCCCACATCAAGCCATTGTACTCCAGCCTGGATGACAAGAGCAAAACTCTGTCTCAAAAGAAAAAAAACAAAAAATATTTCTAACTAGCGAGTATACACAAGTACCTGTGTCTCCAGTCTTCCTGCCAATTACGAAAAATATCATTGGTGTTAGCCTCATTTTGGTGATTCCTCTGAAAAATCTAAGACAATTGTTTTTCTGAGTGTGTTTGGAGGAGGGATGTTGGAATTCACTCATTCATTTATTCATCCATTCAACAAATATTTATTGTGTCTGGCATATAGTAGATGCATAATAAGTTTATTCCTTCATTCTGCAAGCATTTGTTGAATGCAGTGTATCAAAGGTCATCGTAGACACTGCACAAAGTCATTGTTTTTATGGGTTTTACATACTTGTGATGAGAGACAGAATGATGGGCGGGGTGGGTCGCTGCTATTTTAAATAAAGCAGCCAAGGAAAACCTGTCTAGGAGGGCTAATTCAGCAGAACCTTGAATGAAGTAAGGGAATGAGCAATCTTATTATGTGAGGGAAGAGCATTTGAGGCAGGGAGAACAAGTGCAGAGGCCCCGAGACAGCTGTGTTCTTGGTTTGTTTGAGGCACAACAGGAAGGCTGCAAGCAGGGGAAGAAGGAGAAAAGAGATCAGAGAGGTGCCAGCAGCAGAGGGGAGATTCTGTGAGGCTTGGGAACTTTGAGCTGAGAACATTTTAAATGAACTAGTTTTAAAAGGTCCTGGAGAGTGTGTGGTGAATAGGTAAGGGTGAAGGCAGGGAGGTAAGGCAGGAGACTTTTGCAGTAGTTTGGGCAAGGAACACTGATACCTTGGACTTGCATAGTAGCAGTGGAGCTGGTGACCAGTGGTCATTTTCTTCTCCTTCTCCTTCTCCTCCTCCCCCTCCTCCCCCTCCTCCCCCTCCTACTCCTCCTTCTCCTCCTTCCCCTCCTCCTTCTTATCCTCCTCCCCCTCCTCCTCCTTCCCCCCCCCCCTTTTTTTTGGAGACAGAGTCTCGCTCTGTCGCTCAGGCTGGAGTGCAGTGGCATGTTCTCAGCTCACTGCAGCCTCCACCTCCCAGGTTCGAGCGATTCTCCTGCCTCAGCTTCCTGAGTAGCTGGGATTACAGATGCGTGCCACCATGTCCAGCTAATTTTTGTGTTTTTAGTAGAGACAGGGTTTCGCCATGTTGTCCAGGCTGGTCTCAACCTCCTGACCTCAAGTGATCCGCCTGCCTTGGCCTCCCAAACTGCTGGGAATACAGGTGTTAGCCACTGTGCCAGGCCCATTTTCTAGATCTGTTTGGAGGATCGAGTTGAAGGGGTTGTTGATGGATTTGTTCTGGGTTTTGAGAGAAAGAGGTAAAGACAAAGGTTTTTGGCCTGACAACCAGAAAGATGGAGTTGCTATTTATTGAACTGGGAAAGCTAGGGAGAGGAGCAGATTTTGTGGGGAAAATTAAAATTGGGTGTGGGACCCATTTAGTTTTTTGCTGTGGTTGTTATGAAAAGCTATTATTGTCTCATTCAGTCTTCTCTATGCTTTTCTATAGGGATAAGTGTGCTTTTGTTAACAAATCTCAGAGTATAACACTAAGCTTAAGATAGGGAAATATTAAGTCAAAAAAAGGAAAATTCAGGATAAAGACTAGAAAAGACCACTGAGGAAGAAGCATTCCCCGGAGCCTGCCATGGGCCCCCCAGCAGGAGGGTCTTGTCAAAGGCCATTTAATGAAATTATAAGTGTCTCATTGAGAACCTGTTTCCGGCAGCCTCACAGATGCCACTCATAATCTTCTGCTCCTGGGTCTGCCGCTAGATAAGCGTGCACCCAGGCTTGGGTTTCACTACCCGGTATGCTCTGTGATATGCTAATATTACTGAAAAGGAATATGATTTTCTGCTGCTTCACAGATACATCAATTGTAATCTTGCCAATATTGGTATTGATGATGAAAGCACCTTTTTAAAAAAGTTTTTAAGTGTCTATAGGACTGTTTCTGACTTTTATGTGAACTAACCTAGAAAACTACCATTATTTGTTCAGCTGATTAAATCTGAAAAAGAATGGCAGTTGAAGCAGAACATAAAAAATCCACTTGATTTTATCCTCTTTGCATATGAATGACAGAGGGTCAGTTTAAATTTCTGTTCGTAACTCTAAAGGGAAAAACACATGTGCATTCAGAATACTGAGGGTAGTTGTATCTTAATCCATTTTATAGGTCTTCTTAGTTTTCCTCTTACTCCAACAAAAATGAATTCTTTTCTTCTTCTTCTTCTTTTGTTGCTCTTGTTCTTATCTTCATCCAAGGATTGCTTTGTCATGCAGATAGTTTTGGGCCTTCTTCTTGAAAATACAGCAACAACCTCACTGACCAGTATTAGAACTTAAATTTGCTTATTTGGCCAGTGGTTATGGCCTCTGTGCCAGACACTGTTTTGATGTAGTAGTAGTGCCAGGTAACACCCCTCCTCTCTAGGAGTTGAAAATCAAGTTGGGGAAGAGGAATGGTCAGTAATCCAATATGCCAATTATAATTTAAGCTTTGAGAAGATGTAAGAGAGGTTCAGGGGATAGAGTGTGATGGGTGGTGCATGAGAGATGGTCTGAGAAGGAGGCATCTGAAGCAGAGAGCTGACCTTGCGGAGCTTCCCGTTTATGCCCGAGAAGGTGGACAGAAGCCAGCCCTGCCTCTGCAGAATTAGAGCACGCCAGTTGTGTCATTTTTAGATCTTTTCAGATAAGAAGCTGGTGCAAGAGTCATGCTAACTTTAAACAATGACAGGTGTGCTGTGTATATGCCTAGGCTTATTTGTATTTTGGTAAACAAGACTGGCTAAGTGTGAATAGAGTCATGTTTTGAAGAAGTCTGGACTATTTCCTAAAATGAGCAAATGACACATTTGAAGCCTGCATCTGGTGAGACTACCTGTGAGTCATTTTTCCCATTTTAAAGAGAAATAGTAATATTGAGACAATGATTAACTGACTTAGAATCATACAGTTTTTAGGGCTCCTATGGAAGGACCTTTGGAGACAACGTTGGTTGATTTTTCCTGTTTCTTTGGATGACAAAGCTGAGCCTGAGAAACTGCCCACAGTTCTCTTGCTAGGTTAGTAGTAGAAGGGCTGACACTGCATTCTGGGCTTGCTGACTTCAGAGTTCTTTCTTCTCCATCTGTCATTCTTTTCAAAAGGATTAGAATTTGCGTTTCTGTGCCTTTCAGCATGACACCCATGTAGGTAGAGTCCCAGAGAACAGTGGATTGTTAATTACTTAAATTGATCCCACAATCCCTTATAAAATAAGATTCTGCTATTTTTTAATATTTTGTCCTCTTTAGGCAGGTAATACTGCTTTGGTTAATGATAAAACAGAGGTAATTAATTCTTCAATTTCTACCTTTCCATTTTTGGACCTTAGCGTAAAAGTTAAATTTAAGAGAAATGTGACTCCTTTTCCAGCCTGTAAGATAGGGATGAGTTCGCTGATGTTTATGGGAGCAGGTGCAGGGTGACGTGTGGGGAGAAATGAGCCTCTGCCCTCTCTTCTGACCTGCTTCTTCCACACCGGACCTGCTCACCTTTCACTTTCTTCTTTTTCTCTCCCAAACAGACCCCGCTCCCTGCTTTCTCTCTCACTTTCTTTTTATTTATGTGTTTATTTATTTTTGAAACGGAGTCCCACTCTTTAGCCCAGGCTGGCATGCAGTGGCATGATCACCACTCGCTACGGCCTTAACCTCCTGGGCTCAATCCATCCTCCTGCTTCAGCATCCTGAGTAGCTGGGACTAAAGGTGCACAACACCGTATCTGAGTTTCTTTATTTTTTGTAGAGATGGGGTCTTGAAATGTTGCCTAGGCTGGTCTCGAACTCCTGGCCTCAAGTGATTTGCCCACCTGAGCCTCCCGAAATGTTGGGATTACAGGTGTGAGTCACAGCACCTGGCCCTCTTTCGCTTTCTTTTTTTTTTTTTGAGACGGAGTCTCGCTCTGTCGCCCAGGCGGGACTGCGGACTGCAGTGGCGCAATCTCGGCTCACTGCAAGCTCCGCTTCCGGGGTTCACGCCATTCTCCTGCCTCAGCCTCCCGAGTAGCTGGGACTACAGGCGCCCGCCACCGCGCCCGGCTAATTTTTTTTTTGTATTTTTAGTAGAGACCGGGTTTCACCTTGTTAGCCAGGATGGTCTCGATCTCCTGACCTCATGATCCACCCGCCTCGGCCTCCCAAAGTGCTGGGATTACAGGCGTGAGCCACCGCGCCCGGCCTCTTTCGCTTTCTTAGATGCTAACCAGATACTACTCTTTTGTTTTTCTGTTAATTCAAACCATGCTAATTTGTAAATGCAGATTGCAAAGGCCCAAGTGAGAAATTGGAGAGATCACAGGGAGCACTATGAGCATCCGTCCTGTGTCCTGCAGCATCAGGTGGGAAGGAAGAGGAGGCAGTGTCTGGGATTTCTCATGATGGTGCATGGGTTACTAGGATTAGGGCATTGCTTCTCTAGCTTTAACGTGCTGTCCGATCACCTGGGCACCTTGCTCAAAATGGATGATGCTGAGTCCAGAGATTGGGGCAGGGGCTGAGGTTCTCCTTTCCTTACCAGCTCCTGGGTGATGCCGGTGCTGCTGGTGCAGACCACACTTGATAGCAAGGCTGTACGGATGAGGCTTCTAGTGCGATTTACACGTGCGTCCTGTGTCACTTTGATGTTGTGAGTTACTGTGTACCGAGGAAATGTTAGCATTCAAAATCAGACGTGGGGTCGGGCATGGTGGCTCACGCCTATTACAATCCCAGCACTTTGGGAGGCTGAGGTGGGTGGATCTCCTGAAGTCAGGAGTTCGAGATCAGCCTGGTGAACGTGGTGAAACCCTGTCTCTACTAAAAATACAAAAATTAGCTGGGCTTGGTGGTGGGTGCCTGTAATCCTAGCTACTCAGGAGGCTGAGGCAGGAGAATCGCTTGAACCTGGGAGGCAGAGGTTGCAGTGAGCCGAGGTTGAGCCACCGCACTCCAGCCTGGGCAACAGAGCGAAATTCCGTTTCAAAAAAAAAAAGAAAAGAAAATCAGACCTGTGAAGTTACAGTTTCTCCGGAAGAAGGTAGGGTGGGTCGTGCTGCTTCTTTCAGGACTTCCCTTGAAAACCTGCAGCAGGCTGTCCGGTTACTAAGATGATTATAAAGGCGCAGCCTTGTTGGCACTCAGCCTCCCACATTGCTTGGCTCATTCTTTCACCGTAGAGAAACACCGGCTCTGATTATTTTTAACTGCATGCCTTGCTGAGACTGAGTAGGGGTTTTTATTTCTGGAGCTAATGCAGAACACACATCCCTCTTTCTTTAAATGCAGAAAATCTCACATAAGGTTGCCAAAGTAGGATGGCATATTTCCTAAAATTCTGCAGCAACATAAGGGTGGCTTATTCTGGGATACGAACAGGAAGATCAAGTCTTTTTGGTTCAACCCAAACTCTCGTACCCGTGGGGTGTGGCCCATGTGGGGTCTGGAAGGCTTCGTGGAGCAGGGAAGAGTATAACCAGGGGCTGGCTTCTTATTCCTGTTCAGTCTCTCTGCAGCCTGGAAGGAGCTACTTAACTTCCTTTTGGCCTTACCATTGCCATTTTTGAAATAAAAGTCCTCCACTCGACTGTCTGACCGAGTGATTGTCAGCTCACAAGGCCTCTTACATTCAGCATGTTTGCTTGAGGGGAATGAGTGAGTGTTTTACATGTGGTGGATCCATTCCCAGCAAACAACAAAAAGAAGTCTTTTTTTTTTTTTGAGACGAAGTCTTGATCTGTCGCCCAGGCTGTAGTGCAGTGGTGCATTCCCGGCTCACTCTGCCTCCTGGGTTCAAGCGATTCTCCTGCCTCAGCCTCCCGAGTAGCTGGGATTACAGGCGTGCGCCACCACGCCCAGCTCATTTTTGTATTTTTAGTAGAGATGGGGTTTCACTATGTTGGCCAGGCTGGTCTTAAACTCATGACCGCAGGTGATCCGCCTGCCTCGGCCTCCCAAAGTGCTAGGATTACGGTTGTGAGCCACCACGCCCGACCCAAAAAGAAGTCTTGAAGTACAGCCCGCCATCGGTATTTTTAGCACATGAAGAATATCTTAAGGAATATGCGAAGGAGATGTTACATAGGTAGCTTGACCTTTATTAAGGCACTTGGTAATTGCCCTACATTTTATTATTTTTTACTTATTTAAGGTTAAATGAAGACATTTAAAATATTACATGTGATGGGGCTTATAGTTTTACATACAATGTCATAGTTTGTGTGCCTTGTTTAAAACAAATCCAATATGAGAATATGCTCTTGTGTAAGAAGTGTATCATTTTACTAAAGGATTTATAAGATATTTGAATCAGGAATCCTGTAGTACTTTAAAAAGTGGTACCTTCTACACCATCTTTTTAGGAGCATGTTTATCACACAAGGCAAGGCAAATCACTAGGTTAGGCATCCAGTACATAGAATTCGACTAGAAGTGTAGTGAGGTGTGAGATTTAGGGGGACAGGGATTCTAAGAACCAACGGCATCTAACTAATGGACTTGTTCCTAAAGGAATGTTGAAGAAGTGATCATCCATCTTAAAAGATTGTGCCTTCAGAAGAACTGAAGGATACTTTTGCTTTCGTGTACAGTGTGCCGAGTTTGATGGTATGTCATTACCGGGTCGGGTCCATGAATGACCGGCACCATCATGGCTGCCAAGTCCTTGAGATTTGAACAAGATGTTCCAGATGGTAATGAACCATTCTTTTTTTTTTTTTTTTTTTTTGTATTGAGATGGAGTCTCACTCTGTGGCCCAGGCTAGAGTGCAGTGGCACAATCTCGGCTCACTGCAAGCTCCGTCTCCCAGGTTCAAGTGATTCTCATGCCTCAGCCTCCTGAGTAGCTGGGACGACAGGTGTGTGCCACCATACCTGGCTAATTTTTGTATTTTTAGTAGACACAGGGTTTTGCCATGTTGGCCAGGCTAGCCTGAAACTCCTGACCTCAAGTGATCTGCCCGCTTCGGCCTCCCAAAGTGCTGAGATTACAGGCGTGAGTCACTGTGCCCGGCCAGTAATGAGCATTTTGTTGCGTCCCTGGAGTCTTCCTAATAATGAGGTAGTGGCAGTGGGGTTGGAACAGTAGGTGCTTGGATATGTCTTTTGATGGATAACAATTCCTTAAAAACATTGAGTTACACTGTACAAACATATATGTGTATATATACGTATATGTATATCCATTTACTAGAATTAAGAGAATGCATTCAAATACTAGTGGGTTTGTATCTTTTTTTTCTTTTTCCTCCAATTATTGTGTTTATCTTGACTTGCTATTAAAGCTCTGGAAATACTCATCTGAGACAGTCCAGGCATGGTAGGTTCTGGATCTTCCACTGTAATACTATGTGAAATGAGATATTCTTTGTTTCTTAGAAACAGGTGGATTCAGCCAGGTGACCGTTACTCTTTGGGCTCGTGTTACAAGGATATCATGATGGTGTTTCATTGATATATGTAATCAATAATATATTACGTTATTTCAGCCAGACCTAGGAATAAATAATACTGCTCTCTTTTATTGAGAGTGGCTTGGTGATTTTCAAAGTTTGTTTATATGCCATCATCAGATCTGCAGAGCAAGCTTATGAGATGAGGAAGGCATGGATTGGTGGACATAAGAAATGGAGGGTTAAGGCAAGTGGTTACTTACCCACAGTCACTAATTTCATAATTGGTAGATTTGGGACCAGAACTAGGATATCTCATTTCCAGCCTAGTGTTCTTTCTGTGATATTTGTTAAAGGGGCCATCTGGTTAAAAGGATAGTCTGGCTCTTTAATGATGATAGCTTTCAAATATATAACACTTTACAGTTTGACAGGCTTTTACATAGATAGCACATTTTCTTCACAAAAAGACAAATAATGGCTTTACATATGTTGGATGAAGATGTGGAGAAATTAGAGTCTTTGCATACTGTTGAGAAGAAAAAAAAACTTTATTTTTCTCTTTCTCAGTCAGTTTTTGCAGCAAGTCTTTTATAGTCCTTATTTTTTTTTTAATTCTCTCTTCCCCAGGTTTAATTTTCTTAAGAGGCAGATTTATAATACTAAGTAATATCCAGAATAGATAGTTCCTGCAGGAAATGGGTTTATTGTTCTCATAAATTTTAGTGGTCTAGTTTGTCAATATTACTGTCATTTCTTAATAGCATTTGTCTTTCTGAGTAGTAACTTGTACTTGAATTAAAATCTTTCACATGTATAGAGTGGAGCAAAGAGACCCTGCATATATTATAAAATGGTACATGCCTTTGCTTAGTTGTCATTGTGTTAGATCAGAGAAAGAGAAAGTCCTTTAAAATATGAAAATAACTGGTACTCAGGAAGGGAGAAGAGAAGCTTGAAGGTACGTGGATTTTTTTTTTTTTTTTGAGGCAGGGTCTCGCCCTGTTGCTCAGTCTGGAGTGCAGTGGTGCAGTCTCGACTCACTACAACCTCTGCCTCCCAGTTCAACCGATTCTCCTGCCTCACCCTCCTGAGTAGCTGGAATTACAGGCACCCGCCTCCATGCCCAGCTAATTTTTGTATTTTTAGTAGAGACACGGTTTTGCCATGTTGGCCAGGGTGGTCTTGAACTCCTGACCTCAGGTGATCCGCCCGCCTCTGCCTCCCAAAGTGCTGGGATTACAGGCATGAGCCAACGTGCCCAGCTGATATATGGAATTTTATGTGAGGCTTATTAGAAGGTGTGGGGTATAGGGGGAAGAAGGACAGCTTCGCTTCTTTTCATCTTTCAATATGAAAACACAGCAGGATAGCGTAAAATTTTTTTAATGATGTATAGTTTGCATACAATAAAATGTACCATTTTAACTATACATTTGGGTGAATTGTGACAGATTTAGGTATCTACCACCACAATCAAGAATATAGACCCTTCCCCTCAATCCTGGGGTTGCTTTCTGCCTCTTCCCAGCCAGGCCTCCCTCATGCCAGCCTCAGGCAACCACTGATGGGCTTTTTGTCACTATAGATTAGATCTGCCTTGTCTAGAGCTTCGTAGAAATCCTAACGGATAGTCTTTTGTCTGACCTTTTCACTCAGTGTAATGTATTTGACACTCACTCTTGAGGTGTTGCACAGGTCAGTACTTCATCCATCTTATTGCTGAATATGCCGGTTTATTTATCCATTCACCAGCTGATAGACATAGAGGCTGTTTCCAGTTTGGGGTGATTATAAATAAAATTGTTATGAACATGCATGTACAAGTCTTTGTGTGCTGGACATGTCATTGTTTCTCCTGAGTAAACATGTAGGGGTGGAATGGTGGGTCACATGGTGTTAAATCATTTCGCTGATTTTACTGAGCAGTCATAATACTGTTTTCTGTAGCGGTTGTACCATTTTACATTCCCACCCACAGTGCACAAGAGTTCCAGTTTCTCCACATCCTAGCTAACACTTGTTATTTATTTATTTTTTTAATAGTAGCCCTCCTAATGGGTGTGCAGTGGTATCTCATTGTGTTTTAAATTTGCATGTTCCTAATGATAAGTGGTGTTGAGCATCTTCTTCCTCTTCTTTTTTTTTTTCAGTTGAGATGGGGTCTCACTCTGTCGCCCAGGCTGGAGTGCAGTGGCGCGATCTTGGCTCACTGCAACCTCCGCCTCCTGGGTTCAAGGAATTCTTGTGCCTCAGCCTCTCGAGTAGCTTGGGAGTATAGGTGTGCGCCACCACGCTTGGCTAATTTTTGTATTTTTAGTAAAGACAGAGTTTCACCATGTTGGCCAGACTGGTTTCGAACTCCTGATCTCTCAAGTGATCCGCCCGCCTTGCCTCCCAAAGTGTTGAGATTAGGCGTGAGCCACTGCGCCTGGCCAAGCATCTTCTTATGTACTTATTGGATGTTCTTCTTTGGAGAAATGTCTATTCAACTCCTTTGCTGCATTGCTTTTTAAAATATTTGGACTTGAAAGCCCAGCAAGGATAACTATTTTGTTCTTCTGCTCTAAGAATATATAAAGATCTTGCTCAACTCAGCAGAACATTTGTATCATCATTTCAGAACTGCAGTGGTATGAACATCTAGTTGCTAATTACATATTTAGAATAGTTCATATTTCAAAATGCTAAATAAATATTTGTGGGCACTGAGCCTAGTTATTATGTTTTGCCAAAGTCACAAGTTCCGCCATTGCACGTCCCAATCCAGTTCAGCTTGTACAAAAATGCTTAAAATCTCTTTTGCATGAAACTATGTTTTGGTCATGACATTAAGCAGACAGAATGAGACTTAATATGTCTTTAAAGGGTCATTTTAAATAAACAACAAGATGACTGTCACTGCGGCGGAACAAAAAGAGGAAAGAAGAAAGGTTGGTTAACTTAGAGAAAAATGGCAAGATTCAGATGGGAAAGGGAATCAGAATTTTTAGACCCCTGTGTGCAGAAAGGAAACTAAAGGAAGTTATCTAGCTCTACTTCATTTGTTCTCCCCAACCTTGAGTTCATGGATAGAGATGAATGGAGATACCAGGAAGTGTTCAAAAAGGAAAAGTGGATGGTTGGGCGAGGTGGCTCATGCATTTAATCTCAACACTTTGGGAGACTGAGGTGGGAGGATCACTTGAGGCCAGGGGTTTGAGACTAACCTGGGCAACATAGGAAGACCCTGCCTCCACAGAAAAAACAAAATTGGCTGGGTGTGGTGGTGGACACCTGTAGTCTCCAGCTTTTTGGAGGCTGAGGTGGGAGGTTCACTCGAGCCCGGGAGTTTGAGACTGCAGTGAGTTCCGATCATGCCACTGCACTCCAGCCTGGGCAGCAGAACAAGACCCTGTCTCTAAAAAACAAAACAAAACAATAAAGTAGAAAGGAAAGCTGGGTACTTTTTCTAAGAAGCCAAGAGCCATTGATAATTACAACTCACAGAAGCAGACTTTTTGAGAGGGACGCCACCCAGAACCTGAGGCTACTCAAACTATTATTTTGTCAGAAGCAACAGGGTTGCCTGAAATTTGCAATTGAAACAGTGTGCTTTTCTCACATACACAGCCTTTATGTAATTGTTCAGTTGTGTTTTAAAAAGAAATAACATCACTGAGGTGTTTGGTTTTCTCCTTTTCTTTCCTCTCTGTCTTGCATGGTTCAGCATGTTGTTTTAGGTCAACAGATATATTATAGATTGGAGTTCAGCACACTTTTTCTTTGAAGGGCTAGATAGTAATTATTTCTCGCTTCGCAGGCTATAGCCTGTGTGGCAACCACCTACCTGTGCCACTGTAGTAGCATCGGTTAGCAGAATTGCACTACCTTGGAAAGCAGTCGTAGATAATATGTAAATGACTGGCTGTGGTTAAGTTCCAATAAAACTTTATTTACAAGAACAGGCAGCGGGCCATGTTTTGCCAACTTTTGTTCTAAATAATCACAAGAGGCCATGAAAAGTTTAATTTCCATACATGAGAACTGGGTCTGAATATTGACTCTTCTACGTAGTATAATGGGTGTCCCAAATACTCTTACCCAGTAAAGGATCTTTTAAAATTTTAAGTTGAAACCATATTCAGTGGCAGGAATCCTGAGGAAGTGAGAGAGAAAAGCTTTATAAATATTAATAAGTGCTGAAAATTAAGTTGTTGAAAAAATTGTTCACATAAAAGATCATTATATAGCAAGTTTGGAATTTAGTTTCAATTTTCATTTCCTTGTAGAAACATCTTCATCGTGAGGAAAATGAGGGAATTAATGAACATTTGTTTCCTGAGTGTGAGCTGTGATACCTTGTAGTCACTGAGATGGCGGCTGCATGATGGGTATCTCGTAACTCTGCTCCGGGATGCCCACCATCTAGAAAGATGCTCAAGACCCGTGGGACAGGATAGTGTTTAGGAATGTGTGTTTTAAACTTTTCTTGCAGTATTTAATTTCTAAATAAACTTTATTAAGGTATAATTTATATACAGTAAAAATGCACCTATTTTTTTAAGTGTGTGATAGATTCTATGGGTTTTGACATGCATTCACTCCCAATCAAGATAGAGAGCATTCACTCCCATTACCCCAAATGTACCCTCACTCCCCTAATGCTCACCCTCGAACAACCACTCATCTGCTTTCTGTCCATGGGAATTAGGTTGCCCTATTAGAGAGCTTCCTATACATTCAGTCATTTAGTATGTACTTTTTTTGTGTCTGGTTTAGAGGTTTGCAAACTTCCTTGGTTCACAGTGCCTTTAGAATCCATAATTTTTTATGGTGTTGAAAGTTAAAAGGGATACCTACCAGTTCCATTAGATCCAGAGAACTCATTAAAAGTAGCTTACATGGTGTCCCACAATTATTGCTGTTTCCCTCCAAGATTTAAAATATCCAGTGGCATGTCTGTGAGTTCACTGGGGGCCCTGGGGTGGTTTCGTGCACAGTTGAGGAACCACAGATCTGGCTTCTTCTACTTAGCATAATGTTTTGGAGGTTTATTTATGTTGTTACATGAATGAATACAGTCATGCATCCCTTAATGATGGGGATACTGAGAAATGTGTCATTAGGCAATTTCATTGTTGTATGAACATCATAGAGTGGACCCACATAACTTACATGTTACAACCTATTATGCACCTAGGCTATATGGTCAAGCCTGTTGCTCCTAGAATAGAAACCTGTGCAGCATGTTACTGTAATCAATACTATAGGCAATTATAACACAGTGGTACTTGTGTATCTCAAATGTGAACACAGAAGAGGTACTGTCAAAATACAGTATAAAAGACAGAAAATGGTGCACTTGTATAGGGCACGTCTCGTGAATGGAGCCTGCGTACTGGAAGTGTCTCTGGGTGAGTCAGTGAATGAGTAATGAGTAAATGTGAAGGCCTAGTACATTACTGCACATTACTGTAGGCTTTATAAACATGGAACACTTAGGCAACACTAAATTTATTTTAAAAAATTGAGTTATGGCGGCTATGATGTCACTCCGTGATAGGAATTTTTCCACTCCATTATAATCTTATGGGACCACCATAGTATAAAATGTCATTATGCTGCATGTGACAGTAGTCTGTTCCTGTTTTTTGTTTGTTTGTTTGTTTGTTTTGTTTTTTTTGTTTTTTTTGACAGAGTCTCACTCGGTTGCCCAGGCTGGAGTGCAGTGGCACGATCTTGGCTCACTGCAGCCTCCGCCTCCCGGGTTCAAGCGATTCTCATGCCTCAACCTCCTGAGTAGCTGGGATTACAGACATGTACCACCATGCCCAGCTAATTTTTGTATTTTTAGTAGAGACGGGGTTTTACCATGTTGGCCAGGCAGGTGTTGAACTCCTGTCCTCAGGTGATCCGCCCACCTCAGCTTCCCAAAGTGTAGGCTGTTTCTTTTTGTTGTTGAGTAGTATTCCATTTTAGGAAGTACTGCAGTATGTTCATTCATTTGATGGGACATTTGGGTTCTTCTCATTTTTTTGGCAATGTGAATAAAGTCACTATGAACATTCACATGTAAGGCTTTGTGTAAGCATATATTGTCATTGCTCTAAGATTAGAATTGCTAGGTCATATGGAAAGTGCATGTCTAGCTTTTTGTTTATTTGTTGATTTAATTTATTTATTCTTAAAGACAGGGTCTTGTTCTGTCACCCAGGCTAGAGTGTGGTCGTGCAATCGTGGCTCACTGCAGCCTTGAACTCCTGGTTTCAAGCAGTCTTCCTACCTCAGCCTCCTGAGTAGCTGAGACTTCAGGCATGTACCACCACGCCTGGCTAATTTTTAATTTTTTTGTAGACATGGGGTCTCCCTGTGTTGCCCAGGCTGGTCTTGAACTCCTGGCCTCAAGCGATCCTCCCACTTCCGCCTCTCCATATGTTAGGATTATGGCATGAATCACTGCACTCAGCCCATGTCTAGCTTTATAGGAAGCTGCCAAATTTTTCCAGAGTGTTTGTACCATTACATTCTGATATGATTTGGATCTATGTCCCCACACAAATCTCATGTTGAAATGCAATCCCCAGTGCTGAAGGTGGGGCCTGGTGGGAGATGATTGGATCAGGGGGTGGTCTCTAATGGTGTAGCACCAGTCCCCCTTTGGTGGTGTTGTCACGATGGTGAATTCTCATGGGATCTGGTTGTTTAAAAGTGTGTGGCACCTTCCCTTCTCTTTCTTCCTCCTGCTCCTGCCATGTAAGACACCTGCTCCCCCGTTGCCCTCTGTGATGAGTAAAAGCTCGTTGAGGCCCTCCTAGAAGCAGATGCTTCCGTGCTTTTTGTACAGCCTGCAGAACTGTGAGCCAATTAAGCCTCTTTTCTTTATAAATTACCCGGTCTCAAGTATTTCTTTATAGCAGTGTAAGAATGGGCTACTACACAATTCGACCAATAGTTTGTAAAAATTCTTAGCCTGGGCAACTAAAAGAGACCTCGCCTCGACAAAAAATTAAAAGTGAAAACTTAGCATGTAGTAATGGCATGTGCCTGTAGTCTCGGCGAGTCAGGAGGCTGAAGTGGGAGGAACGCTTGAGCCTAGGAGTTCAAGGTGGCCGTCAGCTATGATTGAGCCACCACACTCCAGCCTGGGCAACAGAGAGAGACTCTGTCTTGAAAAAAAAAAAAAAAAAAGAAAAAAATTCTGGTTGCATCACATGTTCATCAGTACTTGGTATTGTCAGTCATTTTAATTGCAGGCATTCTAGTGGTTATGTTGTGTATCTTCGTAAGGTTTCTGTTTGTGTTTCTGATAGCTAATGATGAGCATCTTTGCTCATTGTGCCATTTCTGTGGTTACTGGCTCTGTGTGTGTGTGTGTGTGTGTGTGTGTGTGAAGTATCTTGTTCTAATTTTTGCCCATTTTTAATAGGGTTGCTTGTCGTCTTATCATTGAGCTGTATGAGTTTTTAAATATATTCTAGAAACAAGTCCTTTGCCAGATGTATGTATTACAAACATGTTCTCCCAGTGGGTGGCTTGCTTTTTCATTTTCTTCAAGTGTCTTTTGAAGAGCAAGAGTTCAACATTTCAATTTGTCGAAGTCTTCTGGTTAGTACTTTTTTTTTTCTTTCTTTCTGTCCCTCTCAAGGTTAAGAAGACCTTCACCTAGAAGTTTGTGATTTTGGCTTTTGCATTTAGGTCTAGGATCTATTTCAAGTTACTTTGGTGCGTGTGTGTGTGTGTGTGTGTGTGTGTGCGCGCGCGCGCGCGTGCATGTGCGCCTTGAAGTAAGGATTGAGGTTTATTTTCTTTTCCATACAGATATCCAGTTGTTTTAGCACCATTTGCTGAAAAAAGCTATTCTTTCTCCTTTAAATTGCCTGGGCTCTTGTCAAAAATCAATTGACGGCTGGGGGCGGTAGCTCACACCTGTAATCCCAGCACTTTGGGAGGCTGAGGCAGGCAGACGGATCACGTGAGGTCAAGAGTTTGAGACTAGCATGGCTAACATGGTGAAACCCGTCTCTACTAAAAATATAAAAGTTAGATGGGTGTGGTGGCGCATGCCTGTAATCCCAGCTACTCAGGAGGCTGAGGCACAAGAATCGCTTGAACCTGGGAGGCGGAGGTTGCAGTGAGCTGAGATTGCACCACTCCAGCCTGGGCGACCGAGTGAGACTGTCTCAAAAAAAAAAAAAAAAATTGACCATTTATGTGTTTGTCTATTTCTGAACTCTATTCTGTTCTATTGATCTATATGTCTGTTCACATTACCCTGATTCTTGTAGCTTTGTGGTACGTTTTGAAATCAGGTGATTGTGGAGATGTATTTTTCCCATCCAAGTACTAACGAGGCCCGACCCTGCTTAGCTTTCCAGATCAGGTAGTATGGCTGTAGACAAGAAGGTGTATTTTTAAGTTGGATTTATTCGATCAAACTTTTATCAAATGCATTATTCTACTCATATTGGAAAAATGAAGTAAGAGTATCATTTTTCAAAGTTGGCATTGCTTGGGACTGATTTGTGACTCCCAAATTATATGTTGAAGCCCCAACCCCCAATGTATATTGGAGATAGAGTCTATAAGGAGGTTTTAAGGTTAAATGAGATCATGAGGGTGGTTGCTGATTCAGTGGGGTTAGTGTCCTTATTGGAAGAGACCCCCGAGAGCCCACTGTGTCTCTCTCTGCCATGTGAGGACATAACAAGAAGGCAGCATTCTACAAGCTAGGGAGAGGCCCTCACCAGACACCAACCATGCAGGCACCCTGATCTTGGACCTCCCAGCCTCTGGACTGTGAGAAACTACATTTCTGTAGTTTAAACTACCCAATCCGTAGTATTTTGGTATAGCAACCTGAGCAGACTAAGACAAAGAGCAAGCTGACTTTAAAGGAAGGGAAAGTATACTGAGAATATTGGCTGGGCACGGTGGCTCATGCCTGTAATCCCAGCACTTTGGGAGGCCGAGGTGGGCGGATCACCTGAGGTCAGGAGTTTGAGACCAGCCTGCCAACATGGCAAAACTCCGCCTCTACTAAAAATACAAAAATTAGCCGGGCATGGTGGTGCTGTAATCCCAGCTACTCGGGAGGCTGAGGCATGTGAATTACTTGAAACCGGGTGGCGGAGGTTGCACTGAGCCAAGATCACACCACTGCACTGCAGCCTAGAAGAAAGAGCAAGAATCCATCTCAAAAAGAAATATATAGGATAGGATTCCTTGCTTTAGGGCCAACTTTGGTGACCTTGGGTACATGTTTCCTTTCCTGTAAAATTAGAAAATTGGTCCAGAGAACTCTAGAATAGCCCCCACTAATGTCCTATTTAAATTTAATAACCTGTAATTTTAGATGGATTATGAGTGATTTTCTCTTTTACTTGTATTCTCTGCCCTGATTCAGGTTTTAAAATAGCTGAACAAAAACAATACTGAAAGCCAAATCGTTTGATGAAAACGGTGGCTGACACTTAATAATAACTTAGTCTTCTTTTAGTTAAAATGCTTCAGGAAAATCCTGATATAGATAGAACCAGACTCTAGTTTATTTTAGGAGTTTTTACAGTCATTTCTTCCTTGAGCCTTTTGCTTGGTGTTTCCTGACACAGAACTCGAAGCCATGCTTTCTCCTTAGTTAATGGCTCCCCACGCCAGAGGTGTGGGGCCACCTCATATATGTGTCCTGGGACAGATCCCAGGATTGGAGAGAAATTAGAGGTCATCTAGTCCCGGGCATTTCAAATGTGGTCCCTGGACTAGCAGCTTCGACCTCCCCTGGGAGAATATTAGGAATGCAGAATCCCAGGCCACACCCCAGACCTGCCGAAGCAGGCACACTCTAAAGCAAGGCTGAGAAGCACTGTTCTAGTTGAACAGTGAAGAATCTTCTGTATGGTCTTCCCAGCAGACCATCTGGCCTCTGGGCACCTCTGAACGTGACCTCACGTGAGGCAATCTGTTCCATTTGTGGACAGTTCTGTTCAAGTCTCTTTTTTGTATTTATCTGAAATGTGTCTTCCCCTCCCTTCTAGTTTAACTTGCTGTCATCCATTGGTCCTGCCATTGTGTCAGGCACTGAGGATACCCCACGCAATCTCCTTTCTCAAAGATCTCGCAATCTTTTGTTTGTTGGTTTGAGACAGAGTCTCACTCTTTCGCCCAGGCTGAAGTGCAGTGGCGTGATCTCGGCTCACTGCAACCTCCACCTACTGGGTTCAAGCGATTCTCCTGCCTCAGCCTCCTCAGTAGCTGGGATTACAGGTGCCTGCCACCTTGCTTGGCTAATTTTTGTATTTTTAGTAGAGATGGGGTTTCACCATGTTGGCCAGGCTGGTCTTGAACTCCTGACCTCAAGTGATCTACCCACCTAGGCCTCCCAACGTGCTCTGATTACAGGCATGGGCCATGGCGCTGGACAGATCTCACGATCTGATATAGAAATAGAGATGTCCATGAATGAACTAGAGCACAGTGTGAGAAAGGCAGTGAAGAAGATGATGTCCAGGGTGCTGAGCTGCACGGAGAAGGGTGCTGGAGAGGACCTCCAGGTGGGGGTGCAGCCCGGTACACATACTGAGTTGGAATCTGCCAGACTCAGGATGGGGAAGGGGTTCTGGGAGGGCGCTCCGCACCCAGAGAAGAGCTTAGCAGAGGCATGAGAGGTGACGTATTGGGGTCCCTGAAAAGTTTGATTTCCTTATGTTAAAGTAGCAAGGAGCTGGGAAAGTGGGCAGGGGGCTGGATCACAAAGGGCCCATTCTGCAGTGTCCAAGGAGTTCACTTGAATGTGAGAGGCTGGGGAGAATAGATTTGCATTGTAGGAAGAAGGCTGCTGGCTGCAGTAACGGGCCGGAAGAGGGAGGCAGGGGTGCTCTTAGCAGATTGACAGAGCCTGATCTAAAGGAAAGACATGAAGGACTGAGCTAGGGGCGGGATAAGAGCTCGGCCACTAGTCTCTAAGGAATCTACCTCATAAATCTAAAGCAGCAAATCCTGTCCCCTCAGTTCTCCACTTTTGCTCAATGCTTATTCATTAGGGGCCAGCTCTTTCCAGGCTATGCACGCCGTGAGGACTGCACAGATAAAGGTGGCGTGGGCCTTGCCCGCATTACAGAGTGTCACTGCTTAGTGGGCAGTGGGCATCTCCAGTTATTCCTTCTTCATGTGATATTGTTTTAAATGCCCTTAGCTTTTGCGTTTTTCCTCCGTGGAGTGGTCTAGTTGATATTCCCCTTAACTGGTCGTGTCTGAAACTGAATTGCAGGCTCTAGGTAATGGTGTGAGCAATGTGGACTAGGGCCCGGGCTGTTACCTTCTTTCTGTGAAGACGGCCTAAGATACAGTATGGCCCTGCGTCTTTGAAGGCCATCTGAGAACACTGCAGCTTCAGACTGCCCTAGGTCAGAGCTACTGGCAGTGTCCCAAGGAGGCCTTGGCATGTGTTCTGCCTCCCCACTATTTCTCTTCTGTATTTGATGGCTTTGATTTCACCGCACCTAAGTGTAAGTTCAAACTATATCCTATTAGACATTATCTTGTTAAACAGTTCCTGTTGCTCCATGCTTTTGAGATGTTTTTTAATCTCTGGTTTCATCCTGTTAATTTATTCTCTTGGTTGTAAGCGACACAAATGATTGACGAGTTCCCTTGTATATTTGCATCAGCATCATTCACTGAAACATTCTCGAAGGTAGGGCATATGTCAGAGTCCTGGCAGATGTAGGCTGCTTCACACTGTGCCTCCAGATTGGGAAAAGGTGGCATTCCTAATCACCGGGGGAAGTAAATTCATCAATAAATGTGGTTTAGGACAGCTGAAGAGCTGTTAGAAAAAAAAGGGAGCTGGGGTCCCTCCAACATTCCTTAGATAAAAATAAACTACATAACAAAGAAAGTCTCTTAAAAAAAAAGAAATTAAATTGTCTGAAAGATTTAGACTTAAATAATGAACTCATAAAAATTATTAGACGAAACATGAGTAAATTTTAAATATATCTTGGAATGTAGACAGAAGACTTTTTTCCCCCCAAAGCGTGTCACAAAACACAGAAGCTGTAAAGAAAAAGGCTAACTTTCCTAAAAGAAAAATTTCATGAGGAAAATTTAAAGTTCTGTTGGGCAAAAATTCCATAAATGTGGTCAAAAAACAAGTAATATATTGGAGAAAAATATTTGCAGCCTATGTGTCAGAGCTAATTCCTTTCACATGGAAAGAAGTCTTAGAAGTCAATAGGAAAAATGAAAAATGGAATAGTTAAACCAATGTTCATTGCTAGAAGTGAGCTTGTGAAAACATAGTAAACTTCACTTTGTTTAAAAATGCAAAGGAAAATAAAGAGGTCTCATTGTTTTCATCTGTGAAATTGGATGTGGCTAAGTCTGATAATACCCACCTTGCTGGTGAAAGGATGAGAAAACAGACATATTGAGTTGACCAGTGCTGTTGAAGGGCATTTCTACAATATCCTTAGACTAGAATTTAAAAGGTTCGTATTCTTAGACTCAGTCATTCCACTAATGACCCTGTAAATGTTTTCCAGCATGTACACAAAAATAACTACGCAGATATTTGTAATAATAGCATTTATACTAGCAAAAAATAGAGGTAGCTTATATGACCATCTGTAGGTGTCCAGCAAAATATTGTGTAGTGTTAAAAATGGCACAATTCTCTACGTACTAACTAGGAAAGGTTCAGGATACTAAATGGAAAAGCAAATCACTATGCATAGGAGGATGTTGTGTTAAAAATTAAAAAGATATACGGGATATCAGTAAGGAAGATATTAGCTATAAATTAACAAAAATGAAGGGAATGTATTTACCTTGTACAACAAGACATCTTCATATGTCAGCAGTGCAGGGTTGGGACAGGGTCTCACTATGCCATCCCTGCCTCAGATGCCATCTTTCTCCTCTGCGGTACTAATTATGTGGGTGTGTTTCCTTATGGCAGCAAGATGGCTGCACTGTACCGGACCTCACATCTGCATTTCTGATGGAAAAAAGATGTAAGGAGGAAGGTAAGAAGTTGGAATCGGAAAACCCAAAATATTTCCAGAAATGTCCAACCAGCTCTTTTTTGAGATGGAGCCTCACTCTGTCACCCAGGCTGGAGTGCAGTGGCGTGATCTCAGCTCACTGCAGCCTCCACCTTCTGGGTTCAAGCGATTGTCCTGCCTCAGCCTCCCGAGTAGCTGGGACTACAGGCGCCCGCCACCACGCTCGGCTAATTTTTGTATTTTTAGTAGAGATGAGGTTTCGCCGTGTTGGCCAGGCAGGTCTTGAACTCGTGACCTTAAGTGATCTACCCTCCTGGGTCTCTCAAAGTGCTGGGATTACAGGCGTGAGCCACCATGCCTGGCCCAACTTCTGCTTACATTTCATTGGCTAGAACTATCCCATGGCTACCCAGACCTTCAGGGAATCTGTCAAGGCAAAAATTTTGATTAGGCACGTGTTCTTCCCTGACACACAATCCAGAGTTCTGTGAATATGGAAGAAGAGGAGAAGGGATATTGGGTAGGCAGCAGTGTGCGACACACACACACACACACACACACACACACTCTTTGTGTTTGCATGCAGTATTTCTGGAAGGCGCCTGAGAAATGGGTAACAGTAGTTACCTCTGTGGAATAGACTGGCCGTCAGGAGGAAGGTGGACATTTATTTTTCACTTTATAGTGTTCTTTCCTGCAAATTTTTTAAAAAAACAATGAATATGTGTTAACTTTAAAGGAAGGAAGTTGATAGGAAGCTGACAACTATCCATTATCAGAACCTCTTGGGTACAGCTGTCCAACCAGTTACTCAGAACCAGGTCATTTAACCTCTGTGAACTTCAGCCTCAACTGCAAAATGAGAGGCTAGAATAGATAGTATCTTAGGCTCCTTCTACCTCTGAGCCTCCTCCAGTTAATTACACAATCTCCAGGAGCTGAAGGAGAGAACTAAGAGTCAGCTCCTTTAGCAAGAAAAGACATCCAGGATTTTAAACAGGTTCTTACTTAGCCTTTGTTATGGCTGAATTGTGTTCCCTCTAAAATTCATATTTGGAAATCTTAATCTCCAGAAGGTAGTATTTGGAGTTAGGGTCTTTAAAGAGGTAATTATGGTTCAATGAGGTCATTAGGTTGGGCCCTAATCCAGTAGGACTGGGGTTCTTACAAGAAGAGGAAATTTGTACCCAAACATCCTCAGAGGGAAGGCCACGTGAAGACACCGGGAGAAGGCAGCCACCTGCAAGCAGAGGAGAGAGGCCTCAGAAGAAACCAACCCTGCCAGCACCTTGATCTTGGACTTCCAGACTCCAGAATTTGAGAAAATAAATACCTGTTCTTAGGCTGGGCATGGTGGCTCACACCCATAATCCCAGCACTTTGGGAGGCTGAGGCAGATGGATCACTTGAGATCAGGAGTTTGACACCAGCCTGGCCAACATGGTGAAACTCTGTCTCTGCTACAAACACAAAAATTAGCTGAGTGTGGTGACGCACACCTGTAATCCTAGCTATTCTGGAGGCTGACGCCGGAGAATTCCTTGAACCCGGGAGGCGGAGGTTGCAGTGAGCAGAGATTGCGCCACTGTACTCCAGCCTGGGCAATAGAGGGAGACTCCATCTCAAAAAACAAAAAAACCGCAACCCTTTTCTTTAAGTTCTCCAGCCTGTAGTCCTGTGTTATGATAGCCTTAGCAAGCTGATGCAGTCTTCTGTCCCTTTACACTTTGTGAGGGGAGCTCTGCATTTTGCAGAATCTCTAGGACAGCATGAGATTGCACTGACTTAGCTACTGCCTCTATTCCCTTCCTTGGTGAAAGCAGGTCCCCTAGGAGTCTAGCCTGGGAACCTGCAAATGCTAAACGTGGCCTGGGGGCAGAGAAGCGCATCTGACTGGAAGAAGCAAATCTGTTCCCGTGAGGCCAGCGCAGCCTTCCTCCAGGGTGCGATCGCTGTGCACACCTCCTTCCTGGGTTCCTTGGGGCCTTGCCTCCAACTTGCTTACCTGTTCTCTAATCTATTTTCTTTCCTTGAACTTCAGAATTGATGGATACCCTGTCTCACTCTAGATTCCTTGCCTGGCTTCTGACCGCTAAACCCATCTGGACTACAAATGGTTTATCTTTTAGAGATGATCTATATCTCTTCAGCTGGTGAGATTTGAGGGCAGGATCTTATGTTACATGAGTGACCTTCTTATAGATATTGGCAAGAATCATTTTCTTCTTCTGATGGAGCAGAAAGGGGTGTGTGTGTGTGTGTGTGTGTGTGTGTGTGTGTGTGTGTGTGTGTGAAAGAGAGAGAAAGAGAAAGACTTTCATTGCCCTTTAAGCCCTCACCCTAGCACTGCATCTGAGCCAGAAGACTCTGAAATGGCCTGCAGTGTTCCAGGCCATTTAAGGGAGACTGGATCTTTTCTGAGGCTAAATGAGGGCTGGTTTTCCTGTGCTGGAGTGGGTAAGGACTCCGGGGTACCCTGTGTGCTTGGAGGGAGGCAGTCCTGTATTTCTTAAGATGCTTAAGAAGATGCAAGATGTGAGATGCTTAGATGATGGAAGGTGAGGAGAGATTGGCCTCCAGGCATCCTGCTCCCCGCAGAGCCCCTGAGAAGGTGGCCTTATTTATGGAGTTTGCCTGTCTGTTTACTGGCTTCTTCTCAAGGGAGCATAGAGGACCCCACTGGTCAGGTGTCAGACAAAAGAGCTGTACGGATGCATAGATTTAGTTCTGCCTCACAGGCAGGTAGCCTGAGCTCCTAGGGGGAACTGTTTTTGCTAAGTAGGGAATGAAAAGCATGTTTATTTAAGCACAAAATTAAATCTCTCCTATTTTTATATGATTTCCCGTTGTTTTCTTCCCTGTAGGGAAATCTGCTGTGATAGAGAACTGCGTAACAGGCCTTTTCTGTGAGCGCTCACTCATACATTATGCACGACGTGGCTAAGATCTTTGAAGCGCATGGAGACAGGCACATCTCTGAGAGGCGAGATTCTTTCTTTTCTCAGCCCCCACTATCTTCTGTGCTACATCAGAGATGGAGCACAGCCACCGTGGGTCTTGAAATTTCGCAGGTGATGCTCTTCTCGGTGACCTGTGGGTTCATTACCTGTGTCAAAGACTGAAGACGGGAGAATTAGGGAAGTGGTGGCCTGGGAGAACCAAGGACATGTTTGTGTGCCCTATTTAGGCGATTGTTCTACTTCATGCTAAATTTGTGAGGAGTTTTATGAAGCCTAGAAAATTAAGTAGAAAATATATTTTTACAGTATTTTAAGCTGGAACAGACTATTTAAAGCTCGAAGAGACCCTAGAGATAAACCAGTTCAGTCTCTTCCTTTTGCAGTAGAAGGGACGAGGCCCAGAGGACTCACGGTGTTTCGGGAACTTGCAGGGAGTTAGCGCAGCACCAGGATCGGAGCGCGGGGCCCCGTGTCCAGCTCCTTACTCTTTTTGTTCTGGCAGCGATGCCCACCGGGCCTTCACAGTACATTTCTCTGGATACAGAGAGAAACATTATTCATCTGAAAGCAAGGCTTCAGAAGCTGTTTTTATAATAATTTGTTAGAGCCACATAGTAACTTGCAAATAAACATTTACAGTTAATGAGAAAAATGGATACCCCTGAGAAAAACCGTTTGTAGTTACTGTGTTCTAGTCAGAGCTCTTGAGCTAATTTGAAAGGAAAGTCAGGATTCTGGCAGGAGGAGAGCTATCCCCAGATTCCAAGGATGGGGAAGAGAATCTCTGTATGGACTAGAATTCGAGACTGTCCTGTGTCCCTCTGTCTCTCCTTCCCGGTCTTCTGTCTGTGTCCTCTGTGCGGGATCCCATGCCTGGCTCTGTTACCCTCCCTTCCCGCCACCAGCCTGTCGGTACCTCCTGTCCTGATTTTCTGGTTTTCAGTCATTCCAACCCCTTCTCAGTTTCCCTGACTTGGTCCCTGTGCCCGTCTCAGTCCCCCTGACTTGGTTCCTGTCCCTGTGTCAGTCCCCCTGACTTGGTCCCTGTCCCCTTCTAAATCCCCCTGGCTTGGTTCCCTGTCACCATCTCAGTCCCCCTGACTTGGTTCCCTGTCCTCATCTCAGTCTCCCTGACTTGGTCCCTGCCCCCATCTCAGTCCCCCTGACTTGGTCCCTGTCCCCGTCTCAGTCCCCCTGACTTGGGTCCCTGTCTCCATCTCAGTCCCCCTGACTTGGGTCCCTGTCTCCATCTCATTCCCCCTGATTTGGTCCCTGTCCTCACCTCAGGCCCCCTGACTTGGGTCACTGTCTCCATCTCAATCCCCCTGACGTGATCCCTGTCCCCATCTCAGTCCCCCTGACTTGGGTCCCTGTCTCCATCTCAATCCCCCCTGACTTGGTCCCTGTCCCCATCTCAGTGCCCCTGGCGTGGTCCCCTGTCTCCCGCTCCATCCCCTGCCCCCATCTCTGTCCCTCTGCATCAGGCATGGTCACGTCTCAGTGCCATCTCACCCTCTCCCTGAGGACTCGCTCCATTTTCCTCTCCCCTCAGACCAGCTTGCTCTGCAGCTGCGCACGATGCAAATGACCGCCCCAGCCTCTCTTGGCTTCAGTCCCCCACCACAGACTAATTCTATCTCTCACCCCAATTTCAAATCCCCAGGGAGCTGTCTGATCTGCCTGCTTCAGCTCCTCTCAGCCTGCCTGGTGCTGCCGCACAGAGGAATTGGCTGCCCGTGGCCGGGTGGAGAGTCCTCGTCTTGTGTGTGGCCAGGGTCTCAAGGCCTCATGCTACACACTTGCGTATAGCATCTCGTGCAGGCTTCACCACAGTCTTACGAGGCATGCGGTGACCTTGCCCTTAGACGTGTGCACTCAGGCCTAGAGCTGTCAGAGCCATTTGTCGAGCGACCCGCTGCTAGGAGATGGCAGAGCTGGAGCCAGACCCCAAAGCCAGCGCTGCGCTGTTCTCCTTTTGACGCGGGCTTATCCACAGTTAATCAGTGATTTCCTCAGATGTCCACATGCTCCTACGGTGACTAAACCCAGCTGTCTTTTGCACATAGTTGGAAAAGTTACTATTAGGCACCTAGACTAGGTTTGATAGCAATAGGATTTTATTAAAACCTTGATGGAAAACCTGCGTAGTATCTGCTAACATCTTTGCATGCTTGGAGGCAGAGGAGGATTTAATATACATCAAGTCTGTGTAGCAACATCAAAGGAAGATTTAAACACTGCTGGCTTTTTTGTGCGATATTTAAAAAGCACCCCCCACCTTTTAAGAAAATGTGAAGTTCTGGCATAAATCAAAGTGTGATTAATCAGTGATGATTGACTGGTATTTTCATAACCTGTGGCATTAATAACAACTTTGTATGGACATAAGAGTTGTAAGCAAATTTGGGAGGGAGGTTACTGCTTCATGCTATTCTCCATGCCGATCTTCGATCTTTGTACATACTTACTTGCATTCTGTAAAATTCGGCGTGATGAAATCCAAGAACCAAAAATGCAGGGTGGAAATAGGCTTAGTAGTAAGTGACCTTCTATTTCCACTTCCCACCTCCTTGTTAAGATTCTTTGACCTCCTGCCACAGGGGCCTTAGAGGCATCCTGTAAGCTTTGCACAGAAGCTGCTAATCCCCCGGCAGGCAGTTCAGGCAGGCAGTTCATTCCGTTTCCACCTGGCAGCTGCTCCCTCTGACACCCAAGGACTCGCAGGGAGTGGCCGTTGGACCTGCAGACCCCTGGGAACAGGCAGGGGGAAGATATGTGGAACTGAGACCCAGAGGCCTCCCCACTTCCCTGTGCTGACTCACGTAGGCTGTCATCTCTGTTGGCTTTTAAAGGAAGAGGGGTAGGAAGGACAGTGAAATTAGAAGCATTGCCAGGTCTTGCTTGAGAGCTTCTCTCTCTCACTGCTGCTATTTTTTCTTCATTAAATGTGTGATGTGGGTTTGTTCAAAGCATCCAGTGGCTCTCCACTTAGATCATTTAATTCCACGATGCAAATGGCAGCACAGCTTTGGCCTGGAATCATGCTTCGCACTTGGTCAAGGCCACCTTTAACTGCCTGGCCAGACGGCTAGAGATTTTCCCGGGGCACCCCTGGAGTTTTTCCCATCCTGACTAGAGATAATCTCAGAGCGGGAGCCAGCCCCAAGTGAGAGGGCCTCTGAAAGACCACAGGATGGGAACATGGACGTGTAGCCTCATTTCCTCAAGGGGATGCAAGGAGATTGATTAGGCAATGGGGGATTCCATGAAAAAAAAATTCATGATATTAGTCTACTTACGTAAAATTGTTTGGGTGAGCACGGGTGGAGGGGCAGGGTGGGGAAGAGAAAGACATTGAGATCAAGTGAATAAAGGAATTGGGACCAAATACCATTCTCACGCTAACCTGACTGTCAGATGAAAGAAGAGAATGTTGCAGTTATGCTTATGGCTTGATTCTGCTTGGAAGAAAAGAAATCAACACAAAAAATTCCTGATGTGTGCATGCGCTTTTGGAAAAAGGTGTAGGGAAGGGCACACAGCAGTCTAATCCTGGGGACTTGAGAAGGGGGAGCACAGCAGTCCCAACCCTGGGGACTTGGGAAGGGGGAGCATAGCAGTCTAACTCTGGGGACTTGGGAAGGGGGAGTAAGGGAAAGGATTATATTCTTTTCTTTGCACATCTTTATATTTATTTCCTTATTCAAACCAGCACTGTTAATTTTTGTAATTAAATAAATTTAGAGAAAGACTTTTTAAATGTGAGAGAGCTGTTCTGGGGGAAAAATCAGAACAAAAACTAAATTTACACTGGGATTGTTTATTTTAAGTTTTGTGTTTCATAGATAGTCTGTATAGACTGGGTGTGGTGGCTCATGCCTGCAGTCCCAACACTTTGGGAGGCCGAGGCGGGAGGATAGTTTGAACTCAGGAGTTTGAGACCAGCCTGGGTAATGTAAAGACCCCGTCTCTATCAAAAATAGAAAAAGTCAGCTGGGCATGGTGGTGCGCACCTGTGGTCTCAGAAACTCGGGAGGCTGAGGCAGAAGGATTGCTTGAGCCTGGGAGGCTGAGGCTGCAATGAGCTGTGATCATACCACCACACTCCAGCCTGGGTGACTCAAAAGGTACAAAAGGCTCTTTGGGGAAAAGGAAGTTGTCTGTTCTGTCCACAGCCATGTATTTCCCTTTCTGGAGGCAGCCACTTTGGCCAGATTCTTGGATATTCTTTTTTTTTTTTTTTTTTGTTTTGAGTTGGAGTCTTGCTCTGTCGCCTAGGCTGGAGTGCAGTGGCGTGATCTTGGCTCACTGCAAGCTCCGCCTCCCGATTCACGCCATTCTCCTGCCTCAGCCTCCCGAGTAGCTGGGACTGCAGGCACCCGCCACCATGCCCGGCTAATTTTTTGTGTTTTTAGTAGAGATGGGGTTTCACCCTGTTAGCCAGGATGGTCTCGATCTCCTGACCTCGTGATCCGCCCACCTCGGCCTCCCAAAGTGCTGGGATTACAGGCGTGAGCCACCGCACCCGGCCAATTCTTGGATATTCTTAAAGAAATGCTCTATGGTTTAAAAAATCTAGAGATTTGTTTATAATATATATATTTGCATGTATATAATGAGTAGGGAGAGAAAGTCTCCCACCCCAAAATGGTAGTAGAATAGAAACAGTGTTTTGTATGCTTTTTAAAAGTTTAATATATACACTGCAAAATATTGATATATAGAGAGCTGTTTGATTCTTTTTTACTGGCCACGTGATATTCCATTATATAAGCCGACTTTATTTAGCCAGCCTTCTATTGATGAGCATTTTGATTATTTTCAATATTTTACTCCAGAAACAACACTAAAGACTCGAGATTGTATTCTTTGACACATGTTAGTATATCCGTAGAATAAATACCTTGAAGCAGAATAATTTTTCTCCAAAAAGGGGCTACAAATAATACACTTCCTTCAGAAACATGTGAAAGTGCTAGATATTCTTTATAGAACAAGGTCTGCATTGGAAGTGGGATGAAATATAATGATAGCGACAGGGACTTTAGAGAAGGAAGTAGGAAAGTCAGGGCCCTTGCAGTTGCTTCTCTCATAGACACCTCTCTTTCTAGAAGATATTTTTGCCCAAACTTTGGTTTTTATATTTCAGGGTAACAAGGATGTGAGGAAGGAAGTCAACATTGAGTGAGTTGCTATTATGTGCCAAGCCTAGGGTTAAGTCAGTTGCAAGTATTGTTTAATTCTTGTAGTGTTCCTATAAGGTCCATATTTGGCATTTACTATCCACAGAGCACAGATGAGAAAAATGAGGCTCAGGAGGCTAAGTCAGTTCCACAGGGTTATCCAGTGGATAAATGGCAGAGTCACCTTTCAGACTTCATGAAAGTACTCTAGCTTTTTACAGTCCTTCTCCTTCTCTTCCTCGTAGAAAAATAGAAATCTCTGTAGCTCTTGCTTTGTGAAGGATCTGGGGATGCATGAACCAGGAACTAGGTGGAAGACCAGTTTCACCTGAGGTTGACCTGTGATGTATGACTTTGCTTGTACTTAAGAAGTCACTTTTAATAAGGTTGTAGGGTGTGCAGAGAAAATTTACTGTTGGATTATGTGGATTGTCTTCAACCACAAAGGGCTGTGTTCCAGAAACTCTTCTGAGTCTACTGACTTTAAAGGAGAAGAGCCAGCCCCGAAGTATGACGCTCTGAAAGCTGGTCAGGTTTCAAGGTGGACCCACAAAGCCCACCTAACTTAGAACATTCTGAAAGAGTATGACGTATGGGTGGCCATGATTTCTTGGTGTTCTTAGTCCATAATGGGATGCATAGGTGAGAATGTATGTATAGATACGGGCTAGAGCAGGGGTCCTCAGTCCCCGGGCCACAGACCAGTACCAGTTCATGGGCTGTTAGGAACTGGGCTGCAGGGCAGGAGTGAGCAGTTTCATCTGTGTTTATAGCTGCTCCCCGTAGCTCACATTTCTGCCTGAGCTCTGCCTCCTGTCCGATCAGCGGCAGCATTACATTAGGTTCTCATAGGAGCTTGAACTCTATTGTGAATTCTGCATGCTAGGGATCCGTGCACTCCTTATGAGAATCTAATGCCTAATGATCTGAAGTGGAACAGCTTCATCCAGAAACCATCCCCCTCCTCCGCCATCCCTGGAAAAATCATCTTCCACGAAACTGGTTTCTAGTGCCAAACAGGTTGGGGACTGCTGGGTTAGAGCCACAGCAAGGAGAACAGGAGGGGCGAGAGCCCCCCCATCTGCGGGCTGGGATGGAGTCCAGGGGCACTGCGGCAGCACTCGAGGCTGCAGCAAGGCTGGGGCTGTGGCCAAGGATACAGGGCAATAGGTGGCCTCTTAGGTGGAATTGTTGAAAGCCTCAGAGAGAGCACTGTGAGGAGGAATGAGGCCATTTATTATTTTTGAAAGTCAAGTATGTGTAGGTTGGCAACTGCCCATACTTTTTATTTCAAATGGCTTTATTAAGCGAATTACCTCTGATACAAATGGACGTCAATTAACAAAGAGCTTGGAGGTAATTTAATGTAATTTCTCAGCTCAAGAAATCAAGTGCTTTTTTTTTTTCCTTTCATAGAAGCCAGGGTAAATTTTCTCATAGCTGACAGAGATTATTATGGTGGTTACTCATTTTATCAGAAGTGATGTAATATCCAGTTTAGATGGAGAGAGGATGGTGCTCTTTGGAGCTAGTTTTCGGAGTCTGCCACTAGATTGCTGTGTGCTTCTATACTGAAAGCAGCCAGTGTCCTGATCTCTAATTACCCTTAGCCTTGGTGTCTCTTTGACATTTCGAGGGGGATAGTGTTGGATGAACTAAAGCTCGTGTCTCACTTTTAAGTTACAGTTCTCTGAACCTTGTAAACAGGTAGGGAGTCATTTCCTGAGGCTGAAGAAGAAGAGGAGAAAGAAGCCACGCTTATATATGTCTTTAGTTGATTAGAGATGGGTAAGAGTATGTTAACCTTGGCTTACCTTTCCCTAAATGTCAGCTCTTACATGTGGGTCCTTCAGTCAGTAGGTGTGTTTCCATGTTATTGCTACTCCTTCAAAGTTTATAACCATCAACTATGTTTAACTACTTTGACCTACTGATATAATAACCATTGGTAGGTAGTGTCATCTACCAATTATTATTAGATAGCATCTAGTATTATTAATATGAGAACTTTCTACATGTTTGCGTAGAGCTTCAGCTTGAATTTCATCTCATAGAATATACTTTTTTTCTTTTACCAACAATACAGTAAGGCACAAATGAAATAATCATAAATATTTCACAGAACGATGCACGCTTATATGGCATTTCTGCCTGTGTGTGCATTTGATCTATGAGATTCCCTGATTCTTTAGCATGAAACTCATGGGATATGATCAGTGAAATTTGTCCCGCTCAGAATCTGTCAAGCATTTTATTTTCTTGGGGAGGATGGTCATGCCATAACCCCAATTGATATTTCTTGGTGATAGTTTAGGTTTTGGGTTAACCATAGGGTTTTGTGTTTTTGTTTGTTTGTAATTGAGATATAACTTGCACACAGAAAAATGCATAGTTGAGGGTCCAATTTGATAGATTTTGATATATACATACACCCATAAAATCGTCACCCCAGACCCCATCATGAGTATGTCCATCACCCTCACTCCTTGCTCACTTCCATTCCTTCCTGGCTCCCATCCTCACCCCCAGCAGCCACTGATCTGCTTCCTGTCACTCCAGCTTAGCTTGCATTGTCTAGAATTTTGTATAATGGACTCATCCACTATGCACTCTGTTTTTGGTCTGGCTTGTTTTACTCAACATAGTTATTCCCAGGTCATCGATGTTGGCGTATATATCCATGGCTCATTCCTTTTCCTTCCTAGATAGTAGTCTATTGTACGAATATGCCACAATTTGTTTATGTGCCGACCTTTTAACGGACACTTGTATTCCTTCAAATGAGGGAGTTTCTACTTTTTGACTACTTCAGATGAAGCTGCTACAAGTCTTTGTATGGATATATGCTTTGTTGTCTGTTGAGTAAATATCTAGGAGCGGCATAGCTGGGTAACATGGTAGGTGTATGTTTCAACTTTTCAAGAAATGCCACCCACAGTGTAGGAGAGTTCCAGTTCCCCCACATCCTCAGCAACAATTGATTATGCTGAGTGTTTTTCATTTTATAAATTCTAGTAGGCATGCAACAAACATATGAAAAAAAGCTCAACATCACTGGTCATTAGAAAAATGTGAATCAAAACCACAATGAGATACCATCTCACACCAGTCAGAATGGCAATTATTAAAAAGTCAAGAAGCAACAGATGCTGGCGAAGCTGTGGAGAAATAGGAATGCTTTTACACTGTTGGTGGGAGTGCGAATTAGTTCAACCATTGTGGAAGACAGTGTGGCAATTCCTCAAAGACCTAGAACCAGAAATACCGTTTGACCCAGCAATTCCATTACTGGGTATATACTTAAAGGAATATAAATCATTCTGTTATAAAGATACATGCATGTGTATGTTCATCGCAGCACTATTCACAATAACAAAGACGTGGAATCAACCCAAATGCCCATCAATGATAGACTGGATAAAGAAAATGTGGTACATATACACCATGGAATACAATGCAGCCATAAAAAGGAACAAGATCATGTCCTTTGCAGGGACATGGTTGGAGCTGGAACCCATCATCCTCAGCAAACTAACACAGGAACAGAAAACCAAACACCGCATGTTGTCACTCATAAGTGGGAGCTGAACAATGAGAACCCATGGACACAGGGAGGGAAACAACACACACTGGGGCCTGTGTGGGGGGCGGTGAGAAAGGGAGGGCATTGAGAAGAATAGCTAATGGATGCTGGGCTTAATACCTAGGTGATGGGTTGATCTATGCAGCAAACTCCCATGGCACACGTTTACCCATGTAACAAACCTGCACATCCTGTACATGTACCCCAGAACCTAAAATAAGAAAAAAAAAAAAAAAAAAGAAATTCTAGCAGGCATGAAGTAGTATCTCATGTGGTTTTCATTTACAGCTCCCCAATATGCATCACGTTGAGTGTCTTTTCATGCTCCTATTTACCATCGGTTTACCTTCTTTGGTGCCTGTTAGAACTTTACCCATTTAAAAAAATTATTTTATTTATTTTCTTAAGTTTTCAGAGTTCTTTACATATTTGGCACATAGGTCTTTTATCAGATACATACTTTGCAAATATTTTCTCCCAGTCTGTGACTTGTCTTTTCATTCAGCATTTTTGGAAGAGCTTAACTTTTTTAACTTTCATGACAGGCTTACCATTTAAATAAAGAAATTGCAGTCATTCCTTGCTTAACAATTTGCATATGTTCTGAGAAACGCACCCTTGGGCGCTTGTGTCATCGTGCGAACATGACAGAGTGCACTTACACAAACCTAGATGGTCTAGCCTACTACACACCCAGGCTGTAGGGTCTAGCCTATTGCTCTTGGGCTACAAACCTGTACAGCATGTGACTGTACTGAATATTGTGACCATTGTAACAACGATGGTAAGTATTTGTGCATCTAACCTTAGAAAAGGTACAATCAAAATACAGTATAAAGATAAAAAATGGTGACCAGGCATGCTGGCTCATGCCTGTAATTCCAGCACTGTGGGAGGCTGAGGTGGGCAGATCACTTGAGGTCAGGAGTTCGAGGCCAGCCTGGCCAACATGGCGAAACCCTGTCTCTACTAAAAATACAAAAATTAGCTGGGCGTGGTGGCACACACCTGTAATCCCAGCTACTTGGGAGGCTGGGGAACAAGAATCGCTTGAACCTGGGAGGTGAAGGTTGCAGTGACCGAGATCATGCCCCTGCACTCCAGCATGGGCAACAGAGCAATACTCTGTCTCAAAAAAAAAAAAAAAAAGATAAAAATGTGGTATACACCTGTGTAGGGCACTTACTATAAATGGAGCTTGTAGGAATGGAAGTTGCTCTGGGTGAGTCAGTGTGGGTGAATATGGAGGCTCAGGACGTTACTGCTGCTGTAGACTTCAACACTGTACATTTAGGCCACATCCAATTTATTAAGTCTTTATTTCTTTAATAGTAAATTAACCTTAGCTTACTGTAACTTTTTTACTTTATAAACTTTTAATATTTTAACTTTTTGATTCTTACAGTAACACTTAGCTTAAAATACAAACATTGTACAGCTGTACAAAAATATTGTTTCTTTATATCCTTATTGTATGAGTTTTTTCTATTTAAATTTTATAGTTTTTTAATTTTTAAAGCTTTTTTGTTAAAATGAAGACACACACACATTGGCTCAGGCCTACACAGGGTCAGGATCATCAATATCACTGTCTTCTACCTCCACATCTTGTCGCACTGGAAGATCTTCAGGGACAATGACAGTGATGGAGCTGTTATACCCTGTAATAAAAATGCCTTCTCCTGGAACACCTCCCGAAGGGCCTGCCTGAGGCTGTTTTACAGTAATGTTTTAAAATAAGTAGGAGTACACCCTAAAAGAATGATAAAAAGTATAGTATAGTAAGCACATAATCCAGTAACATAGTCGTTTGTTATTATATACTGTACATAATTGTATGTGCTAGCATTTTATGACTGGCAGTGAAGTAGGTGGTTTATACCAGCATCACTGCAAACATAAGAATAATGCATTGCTCTACGACATCACTAGGTGATAAGAATTTTTCAGCTCTTTTGTAATCTTATGGGACCACCCTTATAAATGTGGGGTCTACCATTGCTCGAAAAGTCATTATATGAAGGCCAGGTGCAGTGGTTCATGCCTGTAATCCCAGCACTTTGGGAGGCTGAAGTGGACAGATCACTTGAGGTCACAAGTTTGAGACCATCCTGGCCAACAAAGTGAAACCCCGTCCCTACTAAAAATACAACCTTTAGTTGGGCGTGGTGGTGCACGCCTGTAACCCCAGCTACTCAGGAGGCTGAGGCCAGAGAATCGCTTGAACCCAGGAGGTGGAGGTTGCAGTGAGCTCAGATCACTCCACTGCACTCTAAGCCTGGGTGACAGCGAGACTCTATATCAAAAAGGCAAAAAAGAAGTCATTAGACAGTGCCTGACTGTATTTTATTCACAGTATCAAGCACTAAAAAACCTATGGCAAAAACAAGCACAAAGCAAAAGCAAAACATGCCTGTAGCCACATTACCCCTTCCCGCCAAGACAGTGTCACAGGAACCATATTCATTTGCACACCTAGGGCAAAAACCCCAGTCAAATATAAGAAGTAATGATTTCCAAGACCATGAGCATCAGGCAACAAAGGACAGTGATCCTGAGCTATGAGAAATGAAGGAGGCAAGCCCTGTCATTGCCCCAGCTTACTGTCTTGAGAGTTTCCAGGCTGTGGTGCCAGGAGGGTGGCCTAGATAGCCGACCCAGAGGAGAGAATTGCAGAAAGAAAGATCTCCAGAGATGTGCCCACCACCCTGGGACCCAGCAGCGTACTGACCAGCCCGTGTAAGTAACCAAGACTGGAGGACAAAAAGGGGGATGCTAAGATCTTACGCCGGCTTCAGTCTCCCCCTACCCCACACCCCTGAACCACTAAATGATTCTTCGTATCTCTGCCCTTTCCCCCTCAAAGGAAGCCATTTGCAACTACGATTCAGAAGAGGACATTTTGCACTACACTTACGGGCTTCTCCGAGCCATGTAATCCTCAAAATTGAGAAAATATTCTAAGAGGTTGGCATTGGAGTCGCCGCACATGGAACTTGACTTTGTTGTGGTTTTCTCTTTAGTTTGAAAAAGATCCAGTAATCTGGTAAGACAGCAAAGCAGGGTGACCACTTCCTGGAGTGCTTCTGGTTTTGGGGTTTTTTGTTTGCCCTTGGATGGCATGCGGAGAAGGTAGTACTGCCCAGGGAAGTCTGGAAGCTTCCTAGGTGGTGACTTGTGTACCCTGTGGAAGAAGAGGGTGTGGACTCTGGCCCCCGCAGCCTAACCCTGTGCCCCACCAGTGTCGGATTCAGAACCACACGCTTGAGGGCACTTGAGAGACCTCCGTGTTTATGCCCCAACTTATGGATTCGGGGATGGATGAGTTTCGTTCTTTAACATATATCTAGGGCCTGCCGTGTGCCTGACATTGTTCTGGATGCTTGGGATCCCACAGTGAGTAAGGAAAATCCCACTCTTGTGGAGCTTACGTCCCTGCAGAGGAGACGCAGCATCAGCTAGTATGCGTCAGGTGGACGTTAGTTACCCAAAGGAGAATAACCCTGGCCTTGGCCAGGCATGGCGGCTCACGCCGGTAATCCCAGCACTTTAGGAGGCTGAAGTGGGAGGATCACTTGAGACCATGAGTCTGAGACCAGGCTGGGCAACATGGCGAGACCTCATCTCTACAAAAAATAAAAATAAAAAAATGAGGTATGATGGTGTGTGCCTGTGGTCCCATTTACTTGGGATGCTGAGACTGCAGTGAGCTATGATTGCGCCACTGTACTCCAGCCTGGGTGACAGCGCAAGACCCTATCTCAAAAAAAAAAAAATTTTTATTCTGGTTTGCAATTATAATTTTTCAGAGGTTGAAGAGGCTTGGCAGTGCTGGGTTTAAATTAGTTGTGCAATTTAGTGCTTTTCCCGTCATCATAGATGCTGTGGGTTTCAAATGGCCTCAAGTCCCGGCTGGATTTTATTCTGCGGATGACACTTGGGTAGGGGAGTAGATAAAGAAAAGCTGGTGTTGAGAGAGGATTCCAGCTGGAATCCTCTCCCTGTAGTGCTGTGGGAGATGTTTCTGCCTGCGCGAGATATTATTCATGAGCAAAAGGAGAAAGTTGAGCCATTTCAAGGTTCCTTCTGGCCTTGAGGTGCTGTGGGTCCGATTGCAAGCCTGTGGGTTTTCTCCTCTCTCCCAGGACTCTTCAGGGAGGCCTCAGCTCTACCAGACCTCCCAGTCCCAACCTTCACTCCTTCTCCTTCCTCCCCTTCCTTGGAGAAAAATGAATCTGCAGAAATGTTAGGAGACAAGAAGCAAGTACACTTGACCCTTGAACAACTCGGGGTTTAGGGGCACTGACCAGCCCCCTCCCATGGAATCACATCCACATATAACATTTGACTCCTTAACTACTGATAGCCTATTGTTGACTGGAAGCCTTAACGGATAACATCAGTAGTTCATCAGCATGTATTTCGTATGTTTTATGTATTATATACTGTGCTCTTACGATAAACTAAGCTAGGGGAAAGAAAATGTTTAGAAAATCATAGGAAGAGAAAATGTATTTACTGTTCAGTGGAAGTGGATTGTCATAAAGATCTTCATCATCGTCTTCGTATTGAGTGAGCTGAGGAGGAGGAAGAGGAGGGGTTGGACTTGCTCTCTCAGGAGGTGGCAGAAGTGGAAGAAAATTTCCTGTAAATGGACCTGCATGGTTCAAACCTTTGTTGTTCAGGAGTTGACTGTATACGCCTTCTGATCATTTGTTTTTTCCCAAGACGGTCTTGCTTTGCCGCCCATACTGGAGTACAGTGGCATGATCTAGGCTCACTGCAACCTCCACCTCCCAGGTTCAAGCGATTCTCCTGCCTCAGCCTCCTGAGTAGTTGAGATTACAGGTGCCCACCACCATGCCTGGCTAATTTTTGTATTTTTAGTAGGATGAGGTTTTACCATGTCGGCCAGGCTGGTCTCGAACTTCTGGTCTCAAGCAATCTGCCCGCCTCGGCCTCCCAAAGTGATGGGATTACAGGCGCGAGCCACTGCGCCCGGCCTGGCTTCTGATCATTATTAAGGACTTCACATGATTCCCCTTAGTACTTCAAAGTCAGGTAGATTTTGATAAGGTCCTTGGGCGCTAGTTTTATAATTTCAGGTCATAAGGGTTCGTCCTATTTTCTCTTGCAAGGAAAATGAATGTTGGGGAGAGAACGTTGTCGTCTGAATGCTTTTATGCCGTCTGCAGTAACCTCTCTGAGTCTGGAACCATTTTCCAGTAAGAAGTAGGTGACAGGCTATCAAAATAAAGAGTAACCTTTTGAAAGCACTTCAGTGCAGCACTGTGGGCTTTTTATAATCTTGACTTGTGTTTTGTGAGAGGAGAGGGCTGAGCTAGGTTTGTGCTCTGCTCCTCCCCCTCCCCCTCTCCCCAACTGTCTTTGATCTGTGAAGCTTGTCTCATCCTTAGCCAAGTCTGCTGGAACTTTATCCAGAGCAGGAAAAGGGGAAATAGTTTTCCTTTCTTGGGTGGATTTGTATTTATATAAACCCTTAGCGAGCAAAATGGAGCCAAGTGGCACACGCGTCTGCAGGGAGGCGTGGTGGGACGAGTGAGTGGCGGGAAGAGGCGGCTTTGACTTGGGTCACATGGTGTCAGACCTTTTTAGGGTCAGTGAGGAGAGGATGGTGTAAGTCCTTGTGCACATTTTCTTAAGGACATACTTACATGTCGGGCCATTGTAGAGCAACAAAGGGCAGGGTGTGTGTGCATCTCACTGTATGTCTATATCACCAAGAGCAGCTGTCTCCAACCTTGTTCGGCACCACAGACTGGGGTTGGTGGGATGGTTTCATGATGATTCAAGTGCATTACATTTGTCGTGCACTTTATTTCTACTATTATTACATTGTAATAGATAATGAGATAATTATACAACTCACTATAATGTGGAATCAGTGGGAGCCCTGAGCTTGTTTTCCTGCAACTAGCTGGTCCCATCTGGTGGTGATGGGAGTGACAAATCATTAAGCATTAGATTCTTACAAGGAGCGCGCAACCTAGATCCCTCACATACAAGTTCACAGTAGGGTTTGCCCACTCTTATGAGAATCTCATGCTGCCCTGATCTGACAGGAGATGGAGCTCCGGTGGTAATTTGAGCAATGGGGAGTGGCTGTAAACAGATGAAGCTTTGCCTGCTCACCTACCACTCACCTCCCTCTGTGCTGCCCATGGACGCGTACCAGTCCATGGCCCTGGCGTTGGGCACCCTTGCTATAGAGTCATTCCTCCAACCCTTATTTGCGGGGGATGCTTTCCAAGTACCCTACTGGATCCTGAAACCACCAATGGCACCAAACCCAATTGCCATCAATTGGAAAACGTTTCCGGTCATATCTTTTGCCCACAAATGTAATGTCTTTTTCATCTTAACTAAGCACTTAGCAGGTGCTGTAACCATACCTTTTGCAGTTTGAGGTGTAGCAGCAAAACTAGCATGGATTTATTTTTCCTTTTTCACAGTTTCACAGAATATTCATTCTCACTGTAGATCTGGTAATTTCAGCATGCAATTTTTTTTCTTTCCTTATTAAGTCAAGACCTTTCAGCTTTTTACTAAAGCACTTAACAGCTTCTCTTTGGCAGATCCAAATCGCCAGCATCACTACTCTTACACTTTCGGGCCATTATGAAGTAAAATAAGGGTGACGTATTAAGCACTGCAACACTTTGACAGTGGATCTGATAACCGAGAAAGTGCCTAAGTGATGAGCAGGTGGGGAGCGTTTACAGCGTGGGGACACTGGGCAGAGGAGGGTTCCCAGGGGAGCGTCTACAGTGTGGGGACACTGGGCAGAGGAGGGTTCCCAGGGGAGCGTCTACAGTGTGGGGACACTGGGCAGAGGAGGGTTCCCAGGGGAGCGTCTACAGTGTGGGGGCACTGGGCAGAGGAGGGTTCCCAGGGGAGAGTCTACAGTGTGGGGACACTGGGCAGAGGAGGGTTCCCAGGGGAGCGTCTACAGTGTGGGGACAGTGGACACAGGAGATTTCATGGTGCTGGGGGGTATGGAGCTGGACAGGTCGAGATTTCATCATGCTACTAGAATGGTGCTAGATTTAAAACTGATGATTGTTTATTTCTGGAGTTTTTCATTTAATATTTTCAGACCCAGATTGATGGCTGGTAGCCGAAACCTTTGGAAGCAAAAACCACAGATGATGGGGGACCACTGTATATCTAAATATATCACTATATATAGTGATACATACAGATGAATGACAAGTTCAAGTTCATTTTGCTTTTTAAATTGTTACTAAGAGAATAATGTTGTAGAAGGCCTTAGCTCTCCTTTGCAACATTGACCTCGGAAGTTTTAGCTACTTACAGTGTGTCCCACTATTAATTTACTTCCTTGAATTAGTCTCAGCCTTTCACACCAGCTCTGGCCACTTCTTGTGGATGGTGAGGTTTTTAAGTGTGCATGCCATCCACGCGAATGCCTTCTTTTCATTGTAGGGGGTACAGGGAAAACTTTCCCTTTGCTCTCAGAAGAAGGTTCAGTGAAAATCAACTGATGAAAGGCAAATTAATAAGAATAAGAAGATTACTAAGGCAAATAAATTTATTAACATTCAAAGGGAATCACAGTGGGATACAGAAGCTATACGCTTTTTCATAGGGGAGGGAAGAGATGAGAATGTAGACAGCTCTTTTGAGAGGCAGTAAGTGAGGATTAGGGAGAATGAATGGACCACAGAGACCGAAATGAAATTGTAAGTGATTCTCTTTGGAATCTGAATGGGCCTGAGAGGCAGACATTATCTCGGGAAAATGTCTGTCAGGTGTGGTCACATTCGTCAGGCTTTTTTTCTGAGATAATGAGATTCCAGGGAGGGCATAGAAAGCATTTATGTTTCTTTTGGTGAGCGCTCTTGGTCAGATAAGGACGTTCCAGGAATAGTCCCTGCCCTTGTGGTTTGGGGAGGCACAAGACAAGGTTAGAGGGACCTTCATTCTGAGGCTTACTTCAGGGGCCGCTCAGCTTTCAAAAGCGCCCAGCGTGCTCAGGTGCCATATTTTGAGGAATGATTTTCTATACCCCCAACATCATAAAACCACCTCATTGAAGCTTCAAGTGGTGCCTCATGGTTCCTTTCTGTGTTTTCTTTTTTTTTTTGAGACAGAGTCTGGCTGTGTCCCCAGGGCTGTAGTGCAGTGGCACAATCTCGGCTCTCTGCAACCTCTGCCTCCCGGGTTCAAGCGATTCTCCTGCCTCAGCCTCCCAAGTTGCTGGGATTACAGATGTGTACCACCTCGCCTGGCTAATTTTTGTATGTTTAGTAGAGATGGGGTTTCAACATGTTGGCTAGGCTGGCCTCGAACTCCTGACCTCAAGTGATCTGCCAGCCTTGGCCTCCCAAAGTGCTGGGATTACAGGCCTGGGTCACCGGACCCGGCCCCTTTCTAGGATTTTTAGAAATTCCAGAGAAATCTCATACAAAATCTAGAGAAAGCATCTATTGTTCTTGTGTTATTGCAATTTGTATAGTGTCAGGGTTAATCTGGGACTGATGAAGATGCTGAGAACAGTAAGTTTAAAGAACTTTGATATAGAACAATATTTTACTTTGCTATTGTTCTGTCTTTTAGAACCAAAAATAAAGCCCTTCTTAGTAGGTGACTCAGCTTCCTGCAACCTCGCTGGGGAAATTTCTCCAAATATTAATGCATGCCACGTAAGCCAGGTTCACTTGCTGGCCCTGGATGTTTATTCTGGCCCCCAGTTATATTTATTTTGTGTCTGGTAGAGCCTCACACTTCAAAGTGGAATGCTCCTGAAGTTTCTACCTGGCCTCTCATCCCAGTGTTGTAATGGACACTTGGGGAAGGAAACTCCCCAGGGACTCTGGAGATGCCAAGACTCTGACGCTTTTGCAGCAGGTGGGCGTCCCGTGAGGAAGAGTGGCTTGGAGGAGGGGAGATGGGCTCTCCTGTTGCAGGTATTAGAAACAGAGAAAGCAGGAGGAAGAGGAATTGCAAATAACCAGGCATGAGGAAGACGTAGGGAACAATGCTACAGAGGATTGGATTTGTATGAATTATTTTTAAAACAAAACAAAACAAACAAACCCCCAAACGGCCAGGCACAGTGGCTCACGCCTGTAATCCCAGCACTTTGGGAGGCCAAGGTGGGCGGGTCACCTGAGGTCACAGGAGTTAGAGACCAGTCTGGCCAACATGGCAAAACCCCATCTCTACTAAAAATACAAAAATTAGCCAGTCATGGTGGTGCGCGCCTGTAATCCCAGCTATTTGGGAGTCTGAGGCAGGAGAATCTCTTGAACCCGGAAGGTGGAGGTTGTAGTGAGCCAAGATCATGCCACTGCACTCCAGCCTGGGCAACAGAGTGAGACTCTGTCTCAAAAAAGAAAGCAAAACAAAACAAAAAACCCTCCAAACAAAAGGTTGTCATGAAAGGGAAATGCAGTTGACCCTTGAACACACACGAGTTTGAACTGTGCCGGTCCACTTACAGAAGGATTTTCTTCCACTTCTGCCACCCCTGAGACAACCAGACCAACCCCTCCTCTTCCCCCTCCTCCCCAGCCTCCTCAATGAACAGACAATGATGAGGAAGACCTTTATGATGGTCTACTTCCACTTAATGAATAGTAAATATATTCTCTCTCAAGATTGTCTCAATAGCATTTTCTTTTTTCTAGCTTATTTTATTGTAAGAATACAGCACATGCTATATGTGACACACAAAATATCTGTTAATCAGCTGATTACATTATTGGTAAGGCTTCCAGTCAACAGTAGGCTTTTTGTAGTTAAGTTCTGGGGGTGGTCAGAAATGATACGTGGATTTTTGACTGCTTGGGGTGTTGATTGTTCAAGGGTCAACTATATAAGCTTGTAATGTGAGGGAAGAGACTAAATTCTGGTAGAGATTTGAAAAATAGTAGCAGTTTTTTCCCCTTGGCTTTCTGTGGTTGAACGTTTACCAAATGCATTGGAAGGGCCGTTGTGATCTGAGGCCTCAGCTTTTTGATCTAGAAGAGACCTGACTGATGATCCCTCAAGGGGCCCTTGGACCAACTGCAGCTCTTCTTGGTTTAGCAAACCTGAGATCATTTAGTCATCCCCTTCTCCCTCCTATCTTTCAAACCAAAAAATAATTTTAACAAAGCTTTATGTAATTAGCAAGCAAACATTACTGTCAGGACGATCGTCTTCTGCCAGGAGTTGGGCTAAACAAGGAAAAGCTGAGGTCATGGGCTCCAGGTGGAGCACCTGCCATGAAAGGAAAACTGAAAGGCGCCCGTCATCCGTGCCCAGTGTGTGGGCCTGGCACGGCTTCCCTGGCGTTATTCATTGGGAGAATCTGAGAACCATTGTGTGAGTCGCAGAAGTAATCAAGAGTGTGGCCTTTTTTCTTCCTTCTGCCTATAACTATCACCACTTTGGAGGATGCTTGGAAGAAGTGGAAGAAGCCAAGTGCTGACACTGAGTTTGTTTAGTGTTGCCTAGTGACCAGGCCATGAATACTCACTGAAGATAGGTGCTGAGGGCTTTCTGATTTAAGGGCATCTCTGAGAGGCCCCAACTGGCCTGGTTTATTTACCCTACCGATTGTACTCTGTGACTGCTAAGACTTCACAAATGGTTTCCAAAGCTTCAAGACGCTGAAGGGTGTTTATGAATGTTGTTTTTTTGTTTGTTTGTTTTTTGTTTATTTTATTTTATTGAAGTTTCAGCATTCAATATCAAAACCGGACTTGAGAATTCCACAAATGCCTGAAAATGGAAATTTCCTTACATTGTTAAATTGCCCAGAACTCAGTGGATTCCTACATTTTGAAGAGTTGCAGAGATGTGTGCTGAAAATGAAAACGGTTCTAGGAGAGGGTCATAATTTTTGATGGTGTAAGTTTTTGTAGCTGTCGTTGGAACCATACCTTAGGATATATTCAATTATCAAGTGAGCCTATGAGTTTGAGTCGTTTTGAAAAGGAATGATATCTGTGGGGCACTGGTTCCAGGACCCCCATGGGTACCAAAGTCTTTGGATGCTCAAGTCCCTGATATCCAGTGGCATGGTATTTGCACATAACCTACGAACATCCTCCCGGATGCTTTATTTTATTTTAGTTTAGTTTTCTGAGACAGAGTCTCACTCTGTCGCCCAGGCTGGAGTGCAATGGCACAGTCTCGGCTTACTGAAACCTCTGCCTCCTGGATTCCAGTGATTCTCCTGCCTCAGCTTCTGGAGTAGCTGAGATTACAGGCATGTGCCACGATGCCCCGCTAATTTTTGTTTTTTTAGTAGAGCCGAGGTTCCACCAGGTTGGCCAGGCTGGTCTCTAATTCCTGACCTCAGGTGATTTGCCTGCCTCGGCCTCCCAAAGTGCTGGGATTACAGGTGTGAGCCACTGCTCCCAGCCTCCTCCCTTACTTTAAATCATCTCTAGGTTACCTATAATAACTAATACAATACAAATGTTATGTAAATAGTTGTTATACTATTTTGTTTAGGGAATAATGACAAGAAAAAGGTCTATACATGTTCAGTACAGATGGAATTTAGTTTTCTTTTTCTTTCTTTTTTTTTTTTTTTGAGACAGGGTCTTGCTCTGTCGCCCAGGCTGGAGTGCAGTGGTGCGATTTCGGCTCACTGCAACCTCTGCCTCTCGGGTTCAAGCGATTCTTCTGCCTCAGCCTCCCAGGTAGCTGGGATTACAGGTGCCTACCACCATCCCTGGCTAATTTTCATCTTTTTAGTAGAGAATGGGGGTTTCACCATGTTGGCCAGGCTGGTCTTGAACTCCTGACCTCAAATGATCTGCCCCCACCCCTCGGCCTCCCAAAGTGCTGGTATTACAGGCATGAGCCACCACGTCCAGCCCAGGTGCAGTTTAAAAACAATTTTTTCGACCTGCAGTTGGTTGAATCCGTGGATGCAAAACTCACTGATAAGGAGGGCTAACTCTGTAATTGAGCCAAGAGCAAACCTTGTTCACAGGAAGAATGCAACATCCCTACAGTTTTGGGGAACCACTCTTTGAATCCCCAAAACCCCTTAAGAGTATATGTGGCTTAGTGGTAGAATATACCTGTGGGTACCCCAGCTGACTTGTTAGTGGCTATGCAGGAAGATTGTTGCCAAATCTACCGATAGCCTGCATACCTTGGGTAAGTCTCTTGCAAGTTCAGCAGCAACTCAGCCCCTTTAAGGATGTTCCACCTGCCTTCCCCATGAATTCAGCATCCCGTGTGGGTGGCCTTCCAGGGACCACAGCTGTTGCCTCATCATGTTTCCCAGAAAGTTCTGTAGCCTGCTTTCCGCACAGCCTGCTCCTTCACCCCCCAAGATAGCTTCCCAGGGAATTTGTTGGCACCCAGAGGACAGTCCCCTGCCTGCTAGCTTTGGCCAGCTGATCATGGACAGTCTGGCCTAGGGCAGTCCAGCCAGCTTCTCCACCATGCAAGGAGCTGCTCCATACCCTACCCTTCATTCCTTGTAACTGGGTAGCTTATAAGGAACAGAAATCTGTTTCTCACAGTGTGGGAGGTTGGTAAGTCCAAGATCAAGGCACCAGCAGATTTGGTATCTGGTGAGGGGTTTCTCATTCACATATGGTGTCTTCTCGCCATGTCCTCACATGCGCTTGTATGAACTCTTTGTGTATTTAGAAGAGTAAGCCTTTAGAGAATCTTCTCGTGACTACAGTAATAGGGTCAAGTACTTACTAGGTGCCAGATACAGTGTTCAGTATGTTTCGTGTATGTGTTACCTAATTTAAACATCATGCTATCCTTGACACAGGATATCTGGTAGTGATGAGTTTAGTCAGTCCTACTGTCAGAGTTCAGCACAGCCACTTCTTCCTGTGACCATTGGCAAACTACCTCTTGCATCTGAGCCTCAATTTCCTCTTCTGTATATAATGAGGATAATAATTGTCCCTCCCTTCTGGTGTTGTTGTGAAGACTGAGATGGTACATAAACAACATTAAGCCAGTAAAAAGTGCTCGCTCAATGTCAGTTGCTGCTGTGGTCATCTTTTCTTCTTCCTGGATTAACTTAGGCTTATTTTGCAGTTTGACATACATTACACCATGATGGTAAGGTAAAGTGCACGCATCGTTCTCCATTCTGATAACAAAAGTTGCTGGGTCCTTCGTCTAAGTGTTCCCCACTCTGAAGTCTTTCCCAGTCCTGTGAATCAGTATGAATCTCTCCTTCTCCGAACTCCACCAGCATCTCCTGTAAATTTCCTTGGGGGCCTCATCATACAGGACTGTAGTTCTTTGCACACCTGGCCTCCCCTGTGGACACTGGGATCCTCCATGGTGGAGGCTGTGCCCTCAACTCTCAGACCCCTGCGTCTTCTTCAGTCCTCACCCACAGTAAGGTCTCAATAGTTAGTTACTCAGTGAAATAATGCACTTTATTTTGAAGATCAAGTTTATGTTCAATTTGAGAATGATTAGCTTCTGTTTTGCTAGATAGCACACAAATAAACCATTCTTCATATGTGAGTTAAGATCATTTTGAAAGGAAAAAGCTGTTTTTCTTATGTTCTTAATCTAGGAACTGTGCACGTTTCTTAAATCCTGAGGATACTGGCACCGCGTAGTAGGTTGTTGGAGTATACAAACATGCTGGAAACTGTGGACTGTTCTGCTTGCTGCTCAGTATTTGTTAACATCAAGTGAATTTTTCACATGTGTGAAACTTCTCAGTGCCTTCCACCTTCGTGCTCTGTTTCCATGGATGGCAGTCCTGCTAGAGATAAGACCCAAACAAAACCAGTTACCTGGCTCTGTGTGACGTGGACAGTCTGGGGTACAGTTAGAGTTGATAATGGAGGCTTAATAGTCTGCTGTACATTCTTTCTTTCTTTCTTTTTTTTTTTGAGACAGAGTCTCACCCCATCGTCCAGGCTGGAGTGCAGTGTCTCAATCTTGGGTCACTGCAACCTCCACTTCCCAGGTTCAAGCGATTCTGCTGCCTCAGCCTCCTGAATAGCTGGGACTACAGGCGCGTGCCACCACGCCCCACTAATTTTTTATATTTTTAGTAGAGGCGGGGTTTTACCATGTTGGCCAGGATAGTCTCGATGTCCGGACCTTGTGATCCGCCCACCTCGGCCTCCCAGAGTGCTGGGATTACAGGTGTGAGCCACTGCACCCAGCCTGTTATTTCAAATTCTCTGGCAAAATGATCTGACCACCGAAAGCTGTGACATACTAGCCAAGAAGCCTGCTGCACCAGGCTGGTGCCAGGGATGGGTGCTGAGGACAGGGGCTTGGCATCTGCTGTTGTTATTCTGAGTGTCCAGGCAGATAAAAGCAGGTGGAGCTGGGGCCTGTGTGGAATTCCAACCAGGAGAGAGTTTTCAGGGGAAACCAAAGAAGCTGCATCTGTGTTCAAGCCCTGGGGATGATTTTAGGACAAAAGTAGAACTTGAAGATAAGCAGGCAAGGAGCTAGGTGAGGGCAGTCTCAGAAGTAAGAGTGTTAAGAGACTGGGGTGCCCACAGCAACTTCTCGTTGGAGTCCTGGCCCCTGTGGTGCATGGTGGGTGGGTTGGTTTACAGACCTGCAGCTCTCTGTGGGACTTGGAGCAAATCTGTTAAACTCAGAGGGCTTCTGACTTACTAGTTGATGTTTGGACTGGATGCCTTCCAGGTTCCAGTCTAGCTCGAACATGCTGTTACTTGGGTTCATTTTATTACTTTGATAAGCATTTAACATTTACATTTTTAACTTGCATTTTTATATTTGAGGATCTTTTCCTAGCTGGTGTTTGAAGTGCATTTTTGATATCCACATAGCCATGCTACAAGCTAATGATGCTAAATTAACTTTTGTAGCAGTTTGCTGTTTACAGGAGTTTGGTTAAGGAACTCAAATTACATTCACTTAATATTGTGCGACACTATATAAAAATGTACACGTCAGGAAATTAATGTTTTTCATAAAAGTATGCCGCTTAGTTCATTAATTAAAAATAGCGTTTTTAGATTGCTCATTTAGGAAAGATGAGTTCTGGCATAAAGAAGCAGTCCCTGCTTTGGGGAGGCATTAGCCTGGGGGCAAAGAGTAAGGGCCCCAGAAGTGGGTTCCCAAGTTCACATCCCAAGTCTGCTGCTGGTTAGCTCCTGACTCTGGGTACATCGCATAACCTCCCTGAGCATTAGCATCCTCATTTGTAAAATGAGGATAAACCCATCTAGGGCCATTGTGAAGATTACACGAGGTGTACATTTAAAACTGCAGGCCCAGTGCTGATATGGGCCTGCGCTATCAGTGTGGCCTTTGCGGGGGATGAGACATTTAGAAATACGGTGTTTTTGTTTTCTTTTGCTCTTTGAGACGGAGTCTCACTCTGTCGCCCGGGTTGGAGTGCAGTGGCCTGATCTCAGCTCACTGAAACCTCTGCCTCCTGGATTCAAGTGATTCTCATGCCTCAGCCTCCCGAATACCTGAGATTACAGGTGCCCGCCAACATGCCTGGCTGATTTTTGTATTTCTAGTAGAGACTGGGTTTTACCATGTTGGCCAGGCTGATCTTGAACTCCTGGGCTCAAGCGATCCACCCGTCTTTGCCTCGCAAAGTGCTGGGATTAGAGGCATGAACCACTGTCCCAGCCAGAAATACAGTACTTTGAAGCAAAGGAATTTCATATCATTATACGTCAGCAGATACAGTGGTCCCCTTATCCATGGTTTCACTTTCTGTGATTTCAGTTACCTGCAATCAACTGTGGTCCAAATACATGTGAATGCAGCATAATAATAGTTTTTGAGAGACCATATTCATAAAAGTTTAATTATTAATACAGTATATTATCATTGTCCTATTTATTGTTGTAAATTTCTTACTGTGCCTAATTTATAAATTAAACTTTATCATAGGTATCTACTTATAGGCAAAAACATAGTCTGTATAGTCTTCGGTACTGTCCTCGGTTTCATGCATCCGCTGGGGTCTTGGAACGCATGTCTGAGGGATAAGGGGGGACTGCTCTTCTTTGGAGTCTCTAGAATTTCTTTTCTTTTTTTTTTTTTGTTGTTGTTGAGACAGATTCTCACTCTGTCGCCCAGGCTGGAGTGCAGTGGCGCAATCTGGGCTCACTGGAACCTCTGCCTTCCGGGTTCAAGCGATTCACCTGCCTCAGCCTCCTGGGTAGCTGGGACTACAGGCACCTGCCACAAATGCCTAGCTGATTTTTGTATTTTTAGTAGATGTGGAGTTTCACCTTATTGGCCAGGCTGGTCTCGAACTCCTGACCTTGTGATCCACCTGCCTCAGCCTTCCAAACTGCTAGGATTGCAGGTGTGAGCCACCGCGCCCAGCCCGGAGTCTCTAGAATTTCAAGTCAGCAGTAGAAGTGGTTGGTGCAGAGAGTTGAAGTTGTAATTGCAGTAGTGTCTTTCCCCAGTTGGTGTACATTTCACATCCTTGATTTGGTTAATTGACTTTCTAGAAGCCAGACATGGTGGCTCACACCTGTAATCCCAGCACTTTGGGAGGCTGAGGTGGGAGGATTGCTTGAGGCCAGAAGTTTGAGACCAGCCTGGGAAACATATCGAGACTCCTGTCTCTACAAAAATAAAGTAAAAGGTTAACATTTAGCCAGATGTGGTGCTGCATACCTGTGGTCCCAGCTATTTGGGAGTCTGAGGTGGGAGGATCACCTGAGCCTGGGAGATTGAGGCTGCAGAGAGCTGTGATTAGGCCACTGCACTTCAGCCTGGGTGACAAACCAAGAGCCTGTCTCCAAAACAACAACAAAAAATTTAGTTCCTAGGTTTAAGTAGGGCAGTTTGAACAATAATGTGTCCCATCTGCAGCCAGGAGCTGTTTCTTGAGTACTCTCTGAGAAAGGGCAGGGTGCCCTGGGTATATGGATGAGAGAATGGAAGTCATCACTGCTTTTAGAGATGTAATGATCTAGTTGAAGAGAGATTACATCCAGGGCATGCAGAGTAATAGCGTTCCTTTAAGTATTGTGGTGATCCATTAGGTTAATTATGTGTTTTTGCTAGACTCGTTAGATAGTGTTGTGTCGTGCATCTGCTTCACACATACCTATCAGGGCAATCCCCTTGCCCAGAGGAGGCTGGGCTGATCTTAGGCTGTTTGTGTTTTTAACACTTTTAGTCTGCTGTGTTTCCAGATCATTTATATAGGGCTTTGTTGAATGGTTGCTGTGGTCTGCTTGAGTCCCATCTGCCCCAAATCCTAATTATGAACACCTCCTTGGCAGCCCTTGCTTCGGTGGGCTCTGGGGACTCTGGCTCAGTCGTTGATATCTAGATAAAGATCCCTGGAGTCAGTCTGTTAAAAGGAAGGTGAGCAGAGCAGTGACAGATGCTGTCTTTGTCTAGTGTGGGCCTTCCTGCCATAACCATGAAAATTTTCTCCACGGTGACGCAGAGGAGGATTTAGGCGCTGGAGCCGGCGCCCAGGCAGTTCTGCTGTTCTTGGTTGCACATTTGTTCTCACATCCTTCGTTGCTTCACCTCTGCCCTTCTCCCCCTGCCCCCATCCCCGGGCAGTGCTGTCTTTGTAAAATGAGCCCATTTTTAGTGCACATCTCCCTAACACGTTTTTCTCTCTCCTCCTACAGGGGAGTTGCTGAGTCAGCCCAGACCGGAAGGAGTGGCAGAGATCATTTGCCCCAAGAACGGCAGCGAGCGAGTAAATGTTGCCTTGGTTTACCCACCCACGCCGACTGTGATCAGCCCCTGTTCCAAGTGAGTTCTCAAAGTCCCTCTGGCCCCGGGACCTGGCTCCTGATCCCAGCTCCATAGATATGACCACAAAAATCCAGGTTAAACTGCATCTGCACAAACCTTGCAAAGTCCTCCTGAACAGACATAATTCTTCTGGATGACATCAGCATCATGATTTATGCAGCAAAACAGGAACTTTTATTTCCTCTTTTTTGTGATTTTTTTTTTTTTTTTTACTTTAGCTAATAAAGTCAGAACATTTTTTAACAGCCTTTTTGAGATGTCATTCACATACCACAGTTCACTTACCTAAGTGTACAGTTCATTGGTTTTCAGTTTATTTGCAGGTATATGGAACCAAAAAGAACATTTTTTTTGTTGTTGTTTTTTGAGATGGAGTCTCGCTCTGTCACCCAGGCTGGAGTGCAGTGGTGCGATCTCGGCTCACTGCAAGCTCCGCCTCCCGGGTTCACCCCATTCTCCTGCCTCAGCCTCCCGAGTAGCTGGGACTACAGGCGCCCACCACCATGCCCAGCTAATTTTTTTGTATTTTTAGTAGAGACAGGGTTTCACCCTGTTAGCCAGGATGATCTCGATCTCCTGACCTCGGGATCCGCCCGTCTTGGCCTCCCAAAGTGCTGGGATTACAGGCGTGAGCCACCACGTCCGGCCTTTTTTTGCCTTTTTTTTTTTTTTTGTTTTGAGACGGAGTCTTGCTCTGTCGCCCAGGCTGGAGTGCAGTGGCGCCATCTTGGCTCACTGCAAGCTCCGCCTTCCGGGTTCGGGCCATTCTCCTGCCTCAGCCTCCCGAGTAGCTGGGACTACAGGCGCCCGCCACCGCGCCCGGCTAATTTTTTTGTATTTTTAGTAGAGACGGGGTTTCACCCTGTTAGCCAGGATGATCTCGATCTCCTGACCTCGGGATCCGCCCGTCTTGGCCTCCCAAAGTGCTGGGATTACAAAAGAAAATAGTTTTTTGACGGGCAGTCTTAACTCTGTCATTGCAGAATGAAGTTGGCTCTCACATCAAAAACCAGCGCAGGCCCATTCCATGAGCAAAGCCTGCAGAAAGTCAGTAATAGGCCGTTTTCTGTTGCATGGTTCTGATTGCGGAGTCAGTCCCTGAAAATCAAGGGCTGTGCAGTTTGCCACCACCTTGCCCCAAAATGGACTTGAAGACAGAGAACGCACACATGCCAAGTAACTTTCAGATAGAACATTGGGTTACTACTATTCTAGATAACACTCATCCTGTTGGTTTGGGTTTTATGTATGTGTGTTTTTCGTTTTGTTTTGTTTGTATTAAGAACCAAAGAGGCCGCTTTTAAGCTGAGATGAAATGCCTGTTACTTCAAATCCTGAAAAGCAGCAGCCACAGATCTTCTTGGGTCAGATCTCATGATCTGGGTGATGTCAGCACCATGATTTCTCCAGCATAGTATTCATATCCATGCAGCAAACTCGACTCTTTCTTCCTAGCTGGCCACATGGAATTTTTTAATGAAAAAATTATGTATGAATCTAAGCCTGTTTTTAGGGAGCTTGGAAAGTGCGCCTTTGGGAATTGTGACCTGTCATCTCCTCTTGGGAAACTTGCTGTCCGGCTGCATTCCAGGCAGTGTGACAGGCATCCATCTCACCCCTCACATGGCAGCTTCCCTGCCTTTGGTGTGCTCCCTGCAAAGCGAGGGTTCCCAGTGGCATTCTTACTCATTAGCTGCTGCAGTAGAAGTAGAGGGCACTCGGCTCAGTGCCCCGTTTCTCCAAACTGGGAAACTCATTACATAGAACATCCCTAATCTATCCTTGCTGGAAAATATCACCGAACACCCAAGGGAAACTGTTATCTAATGCTCTTGTATTCAGAGTACTATTTAACTATCATGTGCATAGTTTAATTTATCACTGACCCTAAGACATTGTGAATCTTGAAGTGCTTCTTAAATATTAAAATAGGATTACAGAATAACTGTTAAAAGTAATTGCACAATTACTTTTGCACCAACCGAATATTAACCTGAATATCCCCTGTCCTGAACATATCAAACAACGGAAATTTTATTGTTTCTCTTTTAATTTCTTTGAAATTGTACATATTGGTCCCTTTCTTTCAGATACACCTGGGTGAGGATGGATAAGGGGATATTATATGTTTTCTTTTTCTTCTGTCTCTTTTTTTTAATACCCCGCAAGTTCTTAAAGCTCAAGGGGATATTACAGAACCAGCAAGGTATGAAACAGAGGAAACAAAAATTCAATATACTTTGCATTGGCGTAAACTTTCCAGAGCCAAGAGAGACATGAACCTATTGTTTTGCCATAGCCAAGTGCCGTCGAATAGGTGCGATAGAGGTAGGAGTTAAAATATCCATTTGCGCTAGAAACCTTCCTGGCACCAAGCCAGCTTTATCAGTGTTTTCCCATGGGCTTCTTGTACTGCCGCAGAAAGACCACGTTTATACCAACCTGAAAAAAATGTTATCAGCCTCTCTCTCGACAGCGTATTGAACCTGAACGAACAAGCAGCCTAAAGTCATGGGTAAGCGGCGGTACATGGCGCCAGACATCCAAATGCCGAGGAAGCCTCTTTAGGCATTGAACCACTTTTGACCTAGCTATCAGAATCATTTTATTTTGAAAGAGGTTAAAAAAAAAGTCTCATGAAATGGATGACAGCTTTGCAATATAATTCTCAACTCTAAATGAAGGAATGTTCTCTAAGTAGGGAAGTTTCATATTCCTGGCAAGACGTTTCTTGGAAAATTACCATATTTTAGTGCAGCTGCAAGGGGTAAATGATCTCTTGTGTGACTTTATAGAAAAGCACACGTAGATGTGAAGCCTGTGCTCGAGCTGCCCAGTGTTCCCCCACCTTCACCGCCTTAAGCACCCACAGTTTACATCCATGAACACATGGACAAAAACAAACTCATGTGGAGGCCGGGCCAGGCTCCGGGGAAGGTCCCATTCATGGGTGGTTGACAGTGGATTGGAAGCGGGAGATTTGGGGGGATCGGTTAGGATAGCTGGCAAAGAATCTGTGCTTAAGTCAACACAGCTTGGGCCTGAGCCTGAGACTTGGGGTCTCAGCAGGCACTAGACATTGGAAGTCCGGGGCTATTGCACTGGCTTTCAACTCCAGCCGAGGTAACTTAAGCAGGTCACCATAGAGGTCAGGCTTTTTTTTTTCTTTTTTGACAAAGGGTCTCACTCTGTCACCCAGGCTGGAGTGCAGTGGTGCGATCTCAGCTCATTGCAAACTCCACCTCCAGGGTTCAAGTGATTCTTCTGCCTCAGCCTCCTAAGTAGCTAGGACTACAGGCGCACACAACCACACCTAGCTAATTTTTTGTATTTTTTGGTAGAGACGGGGTTTCATCATGTTGGCTGGGCTGGTCTCGAACTCCTGACCTCAAGTGATCCATCTGCCTCAGCCTCCGAAAATGCTGGGATTACAGGCATGAGCCACCGTGCCCAGCCAAGGTCAGGCTTTCTTAATCAGACCTGTTAAGTTAGAATTTCTCAGGGAAGGGACCAGGCATGAGTCACTAAAAAACAGAAGAAGCCACCCAGATGAGTCTAACGTGTGTACACGACTTTCTGATGGTTCAGTTCCAGTCCATGCCTCTAAGGGTGGGTTCCCTGGCCAGTGGGGCCTTAGGACTGCTCTGTGGTCAATACCTGCTCTGCAGCACAAAGGCAAAACTGTCCATGCTGTCTGCTCTCAGCCTCAGCACAGTCCCTCCCACTCTCAGGTAAGGTGAACATATCACTCACTGTTCAAATCAGGAGAGGATTGAGAGTGATGGGACGGCTGTCAGTCATGTTGGGATGATGGGTGCCCTAGAGAAAGCTCCCAGGTAGACCAGAATAATTACCCTAGGTGATTGCTGGCTTTTGTGGGGCTTAGGTGGCTGATCTGGATCTCATGATGGTTTTTAAAAAGACATTCCAAGCTCTTCTTTGGCTGGTTTAGCCCTCTCCTTTATTGGTCAAATCAGAGACTTGTCATTTAACTGCCTGTCTTTGACTAATGGTGCTGCAATGCTTTCTTTATAAAGAAGAAACTGTAGATGACTGTTACCTGATTGGCCTTTTTTAAATGAATTCCAAGCTTTTCTATTTCTTATTTTAAACAATTTGTAGACATTTTATTCCCCCATGGGGAGAGACAGAGAATAAGAAGTAGGTAGTGATATTTTTTTTTTTGTTTTAACAACATGATTTACTCTTATAACTTGTCTCAGTGGATTGGTGGTTGAGGTCTCCACCAGCGTTTCATTGGGAAGAGGTTTCAGGAACAGGATGAAATGCCTCCCCTTCTGCACCTCACCCTCCAGGGAGAAACAGGAGCTGAGTGGCTTCTTCTCCCCCTTGCTGATTATCAGATAGAAATGTGAGTCATTTCCATGCTTTGAATATCTTGAGATGATTTTCAAGGATATCTGCATTTAAGATGAGGTGAACATTCACCTAGTAGCAAATTTGCCTGGGTCGCTCTGAAAAATTCTGGCCTCCTCAAGGATACAGATTGTGACAGATACATTTTTAAAAGCTTTATTGATGTATAATTTCCATACCAGAAAATTCACCTGTGCAATGATTACTAACGTATTTGCAGAGTTGTATTTATACAACCATCACCACAATCTAATTTTAGAACGTTCCTTCACCCCAAAAAGAAATCTCCTGCCTATTTGCAGTTAACTTGTGTCTTATCCAACACCTAGTTCATGCAGTCAGTAAGTTTTTTTTGGTTTGTTTTTTTGGTTATTTTTTTGAGATGAAGTCTCACTCTGTAGCCCAGGCTGGAGTGCAGTGGCGTGATCTTGGCTCACCACAACCTCCGCCTCCTGGGTTCAAGCAATTCTTCTGCCTCAGCCTCCAGAGTAGCTGGGATTATAGGCACACGCCACTGCACCTAGCTAATTTTTTATTTTTTGTATTAGTAGAGAAGGAGTTTCACCATGTTGACCAGGCTGGTCTTGAACTCCCGACCTCAGATAATCTGCCCGCCTTGGCCTCCCAAAGTGCTAGGATTACAGGCGTGAGCCACGCGCCCGGCCAATAAATATTTTTAGTGTCACTTTCAGGAATGGTTTTGCAGGCTGGTGTGTTAGTATGAAGCAGATTTCTGAGCTTTTGTTTTGGGACAGAGTCTCACTCCTTCACCCAGGCTGGAGTACAGTGGCATGATCTCGGCTCACTGCAACCTCTGCCCCCTGGGTTCAAATGATTCTCCTGTTATCCCTGCCGAGTAGCTGGGACTACAGGTACATGCCACCATGCCTGGCTAATTTTTGTATTTTTGGTAGAGATAGGGTTTCACTGTGTTAGCCAGGATGGTCTCGATCTCCTGACCGTGATCCGCCTGCCTCGGCCTCCCAGAGTGCTGGGATTACAGGCGTGAGCCACCGTGCCTGGCCGATTTCTGAGTTTTAAAGAGGTTCTCATAAACACGTTATCCTTGGCACAGTTCAGTCTAAAGGCAGTGGCTTATCTTGCTCCTGCCACTGCCAGCCCCCTATTTCCTGGATGGTGGAGAGGAGCTGGAGCTGCTTGGAGAGCTCCTCCTTTAGAACTTCTTCATGGCAGCCTAATTAGGCCCTAGATATTTCAGGGGTACTGAGCCTTGACATTAGGAGTCAAAAGATAGGGCAAACCTATACTTCCCGTGGGCAAGGTAGGAAGCAAGTAGACCGCATTATCTTTTAAAGCTTTTATTTGTGAATTCCTGTCTCTGTCCAGCTACTCTTCAGGTTGAGACCCAATATTCCATTTCCCAGGGAGTGTGAGCTTCTCTGGACAAATGGCAGCTTGCTGGTTGCGTTTCATTTCTAGGGTTCCTGCAGAATGCTTCTCTTTCTCCTTCTAAAGAGCTTTAGAGCAAATCCGTCCTCCACCAAACTGAAGACTCTTTGATAACCTGCCAGATAACCCAGTTTATCTACTGATTTTTGGGTAAAAGACCAAGCAAATTCAACAGGTCATCATATGAAAATGTTTTACCTTGAGGCATTACTGGAATGCGACCCACATTCTAACATGTGGTTTCTTAATGGACTGACCCTTGAATATACAGGAAATGGGCATGTGTCACTCTTATTTCCTGATGGTTGACGTTTCTCCTGCAGCGATACCGTATCTGTCTGTGCTCCGATATGTGGGGAATGGTGGGAGTTCTGAGACTGAAGAAGTTAGTTCATTCTGATTTTGGCTGATCATGTGTTAACAGAATTAGCAAAAAAAAAAAAAAAAAACGGGTGGGGTGGTGGTTTGAAAATGGTTGAGCTAAGCTTTCTCCTTTTTTAGGAAGTACTAATAATAATAGAGGGGAAGGCTGAGTTATTGCATTTCGAAATACCCTTTTAAAATCTTGGATTATTGCCTCTATACTGTAGAGTTCCCATTCAAGCAAGATCCCCACTAAATTCCAGTTACTTGCTAGCTGTTTGTAAGTATTCTCAGAAGTACCGTGGTTACTTTGCACAGGAATTTTGGCAGTAACATCGTTTTGACATAAAGACATTTAAGACCAGTTGCAGTAGCCTTTCATAAAAAGCAGGATGAAGTCTGTAGCCTTTATATCACCAAATAAACAGGCCACGTATGCCTAACAGCACACAAATTAGCATGAACTTGATAAAATATTTTTAAAAAGCAGTGGCGTGATATGAATTAGGCTTCATCACAATGGAGAATTTTTCACTGACCACAGAATTTTAAAATATAGAGGGTGAGGATGGGATGGTATTTTATAAGAAAAGGCCACATGTGGAGGTTGCCTGTGGGGTGTTTCACATTGATTTGCATTGATTTGTTTTGTTCTATGCAAGGAGTGAGGCAGCTCTTTGCCTTGCTGTTTTAACAAGCTAGGAGGAATTGTGTTTCTTTAATTATTTAGTCTCCCGTCAGCCACATTGATACTGGAATTTTTCCCTCTCTGCTTAGGTATCTTCATACTTTCTTGGAAAATTAAGTGGAAAAGATAGTGCTTCTTTTCCTTATGCCATCATTTTTACTGTACCCAAACTGTGACTTTAGGAGCACCAATTTTTAAGGGTAAGTCTCCGTGAAACAGAGAGAATTTCTTAAATAGGTAAGGCCCTCTTGAGGACTCAGAGAGATTAGGGGGGATATGGGGGTGTTGGGATGAAGAGATTTTGGAGAACAGGAATCCTAGACAAACCTTATACATCTCTAGAATCAAGTTGCATATGGGAATTAGGAAGAAGGGAACTGCTTGATTCTTTTGCTTAATTTACTATGATATTGCATAGACAGTGATCTTAGATCCTTGTTCAAAAAAGGAAGTCATTTTTGAAAAATGTTAATATTATGCAGAAATAAAACATCAAGTGGGTCCACACCTTCAGGAACTACACAGGAAAGTACCGGGATGGTCACAAGTAGGGAAAGGGAGGGACTGGGGGCAGGAGGGGAGAGGGGAGGAACGGGCAAGGCCGGGTAGGCAGGTCTAGGACAGGCTTATTTGAATAATCTCAGTGGCCCTGGGGCAGAGGGGTTGCCTTAGTCGTCTGGCACCTGGCTCAGGGGTGATTAGGGCAGGTGGATGGTGGCCTGGAGTGTGAGAGCCAGTAAAGGAGGTGTTCCAGGTGTGGGTTCAGGATTAGTTGGTTTGTATTGGAAGAGTATACTCCGGGCAAATTGTTTTACCATCTCTAGGAATTGGCTAATCCTAGGAGGGGCAGTCCCTCCAGAGTTTGCAAGGTCCGGAGTAGGAAAGCACCAGAATACAGAAAATAAAAGACATGGTTAATACAACATGCCATGGCTTCAGTTTCAGCCTAAGTGTCTCGGTACCTTGCGTCATAATTTCTTTGTTGCATCCTGGAAGGGCAGATTTCAATTCCCTAACCTGGGAGGACTCGGGGGCTGGGTGCCCCCCAGGCTGGACCCTCCCTTCAGCCCCAGACCTCTGTTTCCAATGTCTCACGTGGCATCATCCCTGGATGTCTGTAGGCTTCACAGGTGTACAGCTGAATTTATTGCCTTCCTCCCGCAAAGTTCTTCCTCAGTCTGTGACCTGTCTTGGGTAACAGCGTAGCTTTGTACCATCGGCTCCAAGCTAGGAGTCCGTAAGCCTCATTGCCTTCCTCTGCTTTCTTCCCTATATGTAGTAATTCTCCAACACCTTTTATCCCATCTCATCTGTGTCGTGACATGAATGAATTTGACCCACATCTTCAGCTTCAGCCTCGGGCTTCCCTCTAGGGCCCAACCCCCCCAGCCACCACTTCCCCCGTCTCTGCCAAGGTTCCTGTGACTGAGTCTCAGCTGGCTGCCTGCTCTCTTATCTTTTTGTCCTTCAAACCGACAATAATTGTCTTTTAACATCAGACCTCATCACATCTCTCCCTGTTGAAAAGCCTTGGATGGCTTCCTGGTGATCACAGGCTCAAGTTCAAACTCCTGGCCGTGGCTCACAAGGCCCTGCACAATCAGACCCAGCCACTCTGCCAACACACAGATACTCCCTTACCATGGGAGGTCAGCCGTGGTGGGCCGTGGCTGCCTCTCAGTCCACTGGCTGGCTGCTGCCCTTCTCTCCTACCCAGTTAAGGCCCATTGGTCGCTGAGGCCAAGGTCATATGTCAGCTCCTCTGGGGAGCCTCCCGTAACCATCCTAACTGTAACCAGTCACTCTGTTCTTCATGTCTCCTCAATACTTTTTGTTTCTTTGTTTGAGACAGAGTCTTGGTCTGTCACCCAGGCTGGAGTGTATTGGCACAATCTTGGTTCACTGCACCCTCCGCCTCCTGGGTTCAAGCAATTATCCTGCCTCAGCCCCCCGAGTAGCTGGGACTACAGGCATGCACCACCACGCCTGGCTAATTTTTGCATTTTTAGTAGAGACAGGGTTTTGCCATGTTGGCCAGGCTGGTCTCAAACTCCTGACCTCAGGTGATCTGCCTGCCTCAGCCTTCCAAAGCAGTGGGATTACAGGCATGAGCTGCCGCACCTGGCTCTCCTCAGTACTTTTTATATACCTCTTTTGGTAATGATCTCATAGTATCTTGGCTACTTTTTACCTGTGGCTTTTTCATCACATCTGACCCATCATTCATTCAACAGATCTTTGTTGAGTAATTATCCTCTAGTAGGCATTGGGCCGGGTGTTGAGGATACATAAAGAACTAAATCAAATCCTGCCCTCCAGAACCTAATAGCCTCTTTGGAGAAGATAGGAATCAAAGCCATAACCAGGCAAACTTATCAGAGTCTAATTATAATTGAAACATGGTACCTGCCATGATAGGTGTATGAACAGAGTCTTGTAAGCACAGGGAAGAAAGAACTCTACCAGGAAGAATCAGGAAAAGTTCCAGGAAGTCGTACTTGAGATGGATCTTGAAGAAGGAGGACAAGTTTATGGAGCTAGAGAGGTGGGGAGAAACAGAGAAGGTTGGTGATTTTGATGGTTGTTTTCTCTAAGATCCCAAATGTGGAAAAAGGCATATAGATGTGAAACAATTTTCAAGCTGGTTGAACAGTGGGATTTTCCGTCTAGGTGTCCTTGATTAGGTATTCTTGTGTTTCTCAGTCTTACGTGTAGCCCGGGGAGCAGACTGTCTGCATTTCTGAAGGTCTGTCAGATTCAGTGGGAAAATGTTTATGTAACACATCTCCCACGTGAACCCAAAACTCACACCACCAAAGTTAGCTGCTAGGTTGAGACGTGTGTTTTTACACTGGCGTCCTCCTTACAGTTAGATTGATTATATTATTAGTTGAATTTGAGGCAGTTTTCAAAACCCTCTCTTCTGGGAGTTTACTATATTAATAGGCATTCAAAAAATTCTCGTGGCAGAGTGCCTTAGAAATGTGAAACTCTTTCCTAGGGCTCCAAATATCCAACTTCTCTTTGAGCTTTGGAGTCAGATCACCCTAGTGAAAGGCCTGGCTCTGTCACTCGCTAGTATGCACCCTTGGGGAAGTTATTTCATCTTTTGGAACCTTAGTTCCCTTCCTAGTAAGATGCTGAGGCCGGGCGCAGTGGCTCACACCTGTAATCCCAGTACTTTGGGAGGCCAAGGTGGGCGGATCATGAGGTCAGGAGATCAAGATCATCCTGGCTAACATGGTGAAACCCCATCTCTACTAAAAATGCAAAAAATTAGCCGCGTGTGGTGGCGGGCACATGTAGTCCTAGCTACTCGGGAGGCTGAGGCAGGAGAATGGCATGAACCCAGGAGGCGGAGCTTGCAGTGAGCCGAGATTGCGCCACTGCACTCCAGCCTGGGCAACAGAGCGAGACTCTGTCTCAAAAAAAAAAAAATAATAATAATACTGAGTAAGATGGAGCTTACATGGTGGGATTATTAGGAGTTGAAGATAAATAATGCACTAGAGTGAACAACCTAATTCCTGGCATGTAGTTAGTAAATGAGAGGTTTTTGGTTTTTTTGTTTTGTTTTGTTTTGTTTTGCTTTGCTTTGCTTTGTTTTGGTGATGTCGTTATTATCATGCTTGAATGAGCCCATGACTGAATCTTGTATGGACTGGAGAAGTGTTTAGGCAGATGCTGAATTATCAGTGTCCATGAAATCAGCGTCTCTCCTAATGAGAGATGGGGGATTGGAGGAAACGAATCGTAACTCCTTTTTCCTTTCCTTTCAATGTCTTTGTATATTTTATTAAAAGTTGCTAAAAAAAAAAAACCACTTTCAAAAACATCCCATCACATGTCATTGTAGGGAAGCAAAAATGAGAAAAACACTTGATATTTTTTCCTCTAACCATTTTATCGGAACTGAATCCCGCTTTATTTGCTGAGGCTGCAGTAGTTTATTCATTCTATATTGATCAGACTCCAGATTTGCGTGGACAACTTAACTTATAACATTTTAAGTAAAATCATGCATTTTAGGCAGACAGACATCTCACTTTTTAGTATATATTCCTTCTTCTAGAGGATTATTTGGTGTGTGTCTGCGTGTGACCGTGTGTGTTTATTGAAAGGAAACAGTTCCGTGTTTAGAGTTTTGGGTTGTTAGTTAGAGGTCTAGTTAAGCTATAAAATTACAGTGGAATAAGTGATGACAGCCAGTTAGTACAGTTCCCTCTTATAGCTGAACTGAGCTTAACACACCAACAGAAATGTTTGGCAAATAGACTGCTAAAATGACTCTTTCCTTTGTGGGGACATAAGTTGCCTGACATTTACATGTTTATAATGAGTCCTGGAAGTAGAAATGAAAATATGTGCAGAAAATAGATTTCTATCATCACTTCCTTTTCTTATTGAGGGTAGCATTGTCCAGTACGTTTTTGTCATCTCTGTGCTTTCTTGTTGTCCACCCATACAGGAAGAATGTTGGTGAAAAGCACAGAAACCAGTGACGTTTGTGGCTGTGGAATTTCCATGGAGAAAAGAGAGCATCTGAACACCTGGACCATCTTTTGCACCTGGCAGACCCTCTGCACTCACCCCAGCGTGTTCTGTGAACTTGAGTGACAACGCGTGCTTGCAGGGTGCTTTTTGGACGACTGGGGAAGAGGTGGGGAGGGGGTGGTGGGGGGAAGCATGGACGAGAACATGGAGCAAATGTTTTACAACCTGAACCTCAGAACTGTGATCCTCCAAGGAGCGCGCTACTTGAAGAAAAGAAAAAAAAAAAAAAAAAGTCGAATGGCTTCTCAGGGATTTTGTTTTCCGTGCACATATAAGCCATAGTTACAGTACAGGTGGCAGTATTTAGAGCACTCAGATTTCAGTTCTGTTAAATGTGAAAGAGGGATCGACTGACGTTCATTGCTGTTCCATAACTAGTGTAAAATATGTATATGTTTATCTTTATTTTTATAATATGCAAATACATTTAAATTTATACAGTTTGAAGCTTCTAGCGTTAGTTCACACTGGGTGCAATATTCTGCATGAGAACTGTGCCAAGATGGGGCTGATTTCTTATTTTAGTATAAGACTTTTTTGTTTTTTCTTTATTCTTTAATCCTCTTCACATTAAAAAAAAAATCTCTCTGTTAGCCCATGGATTAAGTGTTGGTTCATAGAGATTGCCAATAATCAGAAAGAACCTTAAATGTGCATTTAAGACAGTGTCCCTTCCCTTCTTTTCAATGAAGGTCCCTGCCTATATAAATCATCTGGCACGCTGGTGGGAAATCCTTTGCTCTTCCAACGTGTTATTAGTGCTGGGCAGAGATGGGGCACACTCAGGGGCCAAAGAGGACAAAAAGTCCATGCAAAACTTGAGTCTTTTAATGGCTTAAGATAATCAGGAGTCAGTTCTGAATCTTACAAAGTGCTCTGCTTAATAAGTACCTTACTTAGCAGAGCACTTTGCAAACATATTACTTATTAGCAGAGCTCTTTGTAGACCTTCCACATCTGGCTGTCAGATCTTAAGGTTGTGAATTTAGGCTCCAGTTACATTCACTGGAGAGCATAATCCCACACGGGTTATTTATAAATACAGAGCCTCTGATTGGACGGTCTCCTGCCAAGAACTAGTAATACCCTTGTTTTAAAATCTTCACAAGGTAAAACTTAAAAAGCCAACCAAACAAATTGCTCTCCATTCTACTTTTAATTGGGCCAAACAGCATATGCTACAGTAGTAACATGTTTTTCGGAGAGTGTAAAAAACTCTGTTTACATTTGCCTCCTCCGTGGGTTGATCGAAAATGTATAAAACTGACTGCTTCTCGCCAGCCTCAGACAAGAAGAGTGAGTTGCTGGTACTCGCTACTCTTTTACTTCTTTTGTAAAGTATTGACTCTTGGAAGGCTACAGTATACAAAGTCTCAACATGTTTTTTAAAAGAAATAAGGAGCAAGCGACTGCCCTGCTAGAAATCACAAACCGATTTTTGTAGAATATTTTGTGCCCCAGGCATTAATTTCACTGACTCCAGAACCTGCAGTTCAGAGAATGATTTCTTATGATGATAAAAATCGAATGGGATCAGACGATGTTTGCATTTTTTTAATACTTGAATAGGACACCTCAAGTTTGAGATTTCATTTTCTTTTAGAACACAGTCACAAGATTAATCTGGTGAATCCTTTTGTCACAGTTCTCGTGTGTGTGTGCGCGTCTCCGTGTGTGTGTGTGTGCATGTGTGTAAAACTGAATGGTCACATTTAATTGCTTTTTGGACCATTGAATAGTTGGGAAGTAAGAATTTTTTAATTGGCATGAGACGGTTCCTCAACTGTTAAATTAACCAACTTTGACCTGTCTTTAGAAAAAGGCTTATTTGTATGATTTTGGGCTAACTCCCCGGGGACCATATTAAATGACAAAAATGCTCCTTTGGGTGACACACCCTACAAAGTATTTGCTGTTACGAACATAAACGCCCACATTCTTAATATCTAATATTTTTGACCAGTGATGTTTTATGCTGTCATCTGAACCCTAGAGAAGCAGTGTCAGAGGAAACCTTGGTGTCACATGTGTCTTAGCAAAAGGGTTACCATGATCGAGGGTCATGTGACCAAAAGATGCTCCAGAGAAGCTTGAGAATTTGTTTCAAGTTGGGAGGAGGGTTGGAGATACAAAAATCACTCTGCTCTACAGGACTCTTCAGCTGTCTATGCAAGAAATTCCGTTTTCTCTTTCAGCACCTGGAAAGACACAGCAGCCCACCGAGGCGATAGGTGATTCACTAAGCACAAGAGGAATGTTTTCTAAGCAAGGCGTCCCTTGCCTCTCAAACAAATGCCCTCCAAGTTTGTTAGGGTTTCTATTCCTGCAACTTGTGGTATCAAAACCACTTCCTGGAATTGTCAAAGCACTGCCAAAATAAATGTTTTTCCCCCTTCTAAGAAAAAAAAAATGACAGTGCTCATATTTGACACTTGTGTATTGGACTCTCTTTTGAATGAATAAAAAGGAAAAGGGGTTTGGTGTAATTCCTGATGGGGTGCGTGTTGTTTTTCATGCCATGGTTTGTGAATTTTAATTGTGGTTTCCCATTTCGTTGTTGTAACTGGGCAGAAATTAAAAAAGAAAAATCAATAAAAATACAAAGAAATGGTTAAACAGTTGTATTCCCAGAACTTAATTATTTCAGATTTTGTTCATTTGTTTTTACTTTTAATTCTATCAGTTAAGGAATGACTTTTATAGTTTTAGTCCTTAGTGGTACTGTTGGAGCTGTGGGAGGTGGGTGGTGGTAGCTCTCATCTGTTTGGTCTCCGAAGAGAAAACTAAAGAATCCCTGTTTTAAAACTGCCTCTGTTTTCAGGCTGAGGATATAACTTGAAGATCAGCTCTCTTAAATCAGAATCTTTTTTTTTTTTTCAATGATCCACTATATTCCTAAGTCACAGCTGTTGAATTTATGGTAGCTTTGGAAGTTCCCCTGATCTTTCTTTCAAAGGCTCTTAGCAGAAGTCCTGCTACATACTGCCTCAGGGTGCCCTATTTGCAAACTGGAAGAGCAGGCCCCTCAGGTACCCATCAGAGGATTTAGTACTCCATATTGTTTAAATAAAGGCAAAGAGAAGATAAGGAAGGACCAAAGCCAGGGTGTTAACGTGGTGAATCCATAACGGGTCTGCAGCAACCTCAATTCTTGCCTCCTCAGAAGAAAGAATTCAAGCGAGGGGCATAAGACAGCAGGAGAGACGGAGGCAAGTTTTAGGGCAGGAGGGAAAGTTTATTAAAAAGCTTTAGAACAGGAACGAAAGGAAGTACACTTGGAAGAGGGCCAAGCAGGCGGCTTGAGAGAGCAAGTGCACAGTTTGACCTTTGACCTGGGGTTTTATACGTGGGCATTTTTCCGAGGTCTCCCCTGATTCTTCCTTGGGGTTGGCCGTCCACATACGCAGAGGCCTGCCAGCGCTTGGGAGGGGGCGCATGCGCAGTGTATTACTGGAGTTGTGCGCATGCTCACTTGAGGTGTTCTTCCCTTACTAGTTGAATGTTCCTAGAAGGTCCTATACCAGTCAAGCGCCGTCCTTTTGCCTCTTAATGCGCATGCTTCAGCCCACGCACCCAAATCCTGAGCTCTTATCCGAAAGCTGCTGATCACCAGCTTCAGGTGTTTTCTGTCTGTTGGGAGCCTGCCTTTCCCTGGCACCGGCTGTCACCAATTATTTTAGAGAGACAGTGTAACAACCACCTGACCATCTCACCTGATGGTTGCTGGGGGGCGTTCTTCTGCCCTGCTTATGTGTGCCTGACTACCTACTGTAACAAGAGGAGCCCTGCCCTGAAGACAGCGCAATACAGGGAAGAAGGGATCGCTTCAGACCAGGAGGGCCTCACTGCAAGACTCCTGACAAGGCAGGTAGAACCGTGGGGTGTGCAGAATTCAAAGCCACTTTTGCCAACAGAACAGAGGAAAGCAGGAGGCAACTAGAATTTCCAAAAGAAGTGTCACAAGAGGTGCGTCCCACGTGGGAGAGGTGTGGCTGGCCCTACGGCTGCATCCCGCTGAGAGGTGACAGCGTGCTGGCCCTCCTCACAGCCCTCGCTCGCTCTCGGCGCCTCCTCTGCCTGGGCTCCCACTTTAGCGGCACTTGAGGAGCCCTTCAGCCACCGCTGCACTGTGGGAGCCCCTTTCTGGGCTGGCCAAGGCCGGAGCCGGCTCCCTCAGCTTGCAGGGAGGTGTGGAGGGAGAGGCGCGAGCGGGAACCCGGGCTGCGCGCGGCGCTTGCGGGCCAGCTGGAGTTCCGGGTGGGCGTGGGCTTGGCGGGCCCCGCACTAGGAGCAGCCGGCCGGCCCTGCCGGCCCCGGGCAATGAGGGGCTTAGCACCCGGGCCAGCGGCTGCAGAGGGTGTACTGGGTGCCCCAGCAGTGCCAGCCCACCGGCGCTGCGCTCGATTTCTCACCGGGCCTTAGCTGCCTTCCCGCGGGGCAGGGCTCGGGACCTGCAGCCCGCCATGCCTGAACCTCCCACCCCCTCCGTGGGCTCCTGTGCGGCCCAAGCCTCCCCGATGAGCGCCGCCCCCTGCTCCACGGCGCCCAGTCCCATCGACCACCCAACGGCTGAGGAGTGCGGGCGCACGGCGCGCGACTGGCAGGCAGCTCCACCTGCAGCCCCGGTGCGGGATCCACTGGGTGAAGCCAGCTGGGCTCCTGAGTCTGGTAGGGACGTGGAGAACCTTTATGTCTAGCTCAGGGATTGTAAATACACCGATCAGCACCCTGTGTCTAGCTCAGGGTTTGTGAACGCACCAATTGACACTCTGTATCTAGCTATTCTGGTGGGGCCTTGGAGAACCTTTGTGTCTAGCTCAGGGATTGTAAACGCACCAATAAGCGCCCTGTCAAAACAGACCACTTGGCTCTACCAATCAGCAGGATGTGGGTGGGGCCGGATAAGAGAATAAAAGCGGGCCGCCCGAGCCAGCATTGGCAACCTGCTCGGGTCTCCTTCCACGTTGTGGAAGCGTTGTTCCTTCGCTGTTTGTAGTAAATCCTGCTGCTGCTCACTCTTGGGGTCCACACTGCCTTTATGAGCTGTAACATTCACCTCAAAGGTCTGCATCTTCACTGCTGCCTGAGCCAGCGAGACCACCAACCCACCAGAAGGAAGAAACTCCCAACACATCCAAACATCAGGAGGAACAAAGAAACTCCAGACGCGCCACCTTAAGAGTTGTAACACTCACCACGAGAGTCCGCGGCTTCATTCTTGAAGTCAGTGAGACCAAGAACTCACCATTTCCGGACACACAGCAAACCCAAGCACTCACTCCGTGCCACTGCCTCCCTCCTCCTGGTGAAGGTCGTGCAATTAGCACACATCAATTTGGGCCTTGTTTTTCTTTATCAAGAAACAGTTCTTTGCTGAGCAGGCCACGCAGAAGTACCTGTCAGTGGTGACAATTAGAAGTGCATTACTTATCACATATGTTGTTCCCTCCTAAGGCAATTTCCCCTTTTTGTGAGTTTTTTGAAAGAACTTCCAGGTTCACTGAACTTTTGTAAACCAAAAGTTGAGTGAGGCAGGTTTCAATCTATTTGAGGTTTATTTAGCCAAAGTCAAGGACGCGCCTAGTAAAAAGCACAGATCACAGGAGCATCTGTGACCTGTGCTTTTTCCAAAGGGGTTTTGGGAACTTTGGTATTTAAAAGGGAAAGAGCAAGCAAGAGGGAAAAATAGGGAGGGTAGGCAATGCGGCGGATGGTTACCTTCTTGTGAGGCTCTGATCAGCTTCAGTGAATTTACATTTTACCTATGAAAAGAGGGAGTAGAGGAAAAAAACAATTATTCATTGTCTCCAGCTTAGTAAATCTACATTTTACACAAGATAAGCTCAGTAAATCTACATTTTACACAAGATAAAGTTAACGTTTAAAGAGGGAGTAGAGGAAATGAGGCTGTGACATGAGGTTGTGAAATTACAGCTGTCTGGGAACAGAAGGAACAGCAGTTTTTGCGTGACTCAGTTCCCATGCTGAAGTTTCCCTTTGCCATCCTGAGTTTGGGATCCTGAGATTCTATTTTCCTTTCACTCTTTGAACACAGAGTGCCTGACACATGGTGGCAGCTTCTGTGCCAAATTCAAATGCCCAGGGCTTCCTTTGCCCATGGCTGCTGGTGCCCCCCAGTGGAACTGGCAGTGACAAAGGCCATCACCTGGTGGAAATGCTGCTCCTGCTGCCAAGTCAGAAGCGGGTGTGGAAGGACTGGAAGGGGTGTTAGAAAGCAGATGACCTTCTGAAGTGATCTGTGTTCGACGGCATGAGAAATTTCACCAGGTAACAGAAACCCTATTTGAATATTTGTAACCTCTTTCAGGGAAGCAATACTTTCTTCATCTTTAAAAACTAGGAATATTTTTTAATGAAATGAATTTTATTCTAAATGCTGAGAAGGATTCAGACTGCTTAATGGAACATTTGCGTCTCCTGAGGTACAAATACAGGCTCCCCTTTAAAATGATTCTGAGATCCAATAAGAAATGCTGCATTAAAGAAAGCTTAAAAGAGGCTGGGCATAGTGGCTCATGCCTGTAACTCCACCACTTTGGAAGGCCAAGGAAGGAGGATTGCTTGAAGTCAAGAGTTTGAGACCAAACTGGGCAACATAGTGAGATCCCCATCTCTACCAAAAAGAATTTTTTTTTAAATCAGCCAGGCGTGGTGGCATACTTGTAGTCCCAGCTACTCAGGAAGCTGAGGTGGGAGGATTGCTTGACCTCAGGAGTTTGAGGCCAGTCTGAGCAACACAGTGAGACCTCATTTCTACAAAAAAAAAAAAAAAAAAAAAAAAAAGGCCGGTGTGGTGGCACATGCCCCAGCTACTCAGGAGGCTGAAGCAAGAGGCTCACTTGACCCCAGTAGGTCGAGGCTGCAGTGAGCCATGATCACACCACTGCACTCCAGCCTGGGCAACAGAATGAGACCCTGTCTCTAAAGAAGAAAAAGAAAGCTTAAGACAGTGTTTGCTGCAGGACTCTGAGAACCATTTAGATACCAATACAAAAGGTGAATCCCCAAAAGCTGAGAGAATGTGCAGCATTTCCATGTGTATCTGAGCGTGGAAGGAAGACGCCTCTCCCCAGAGCTGTCTGGACATCCCCCCAGACCAGTTTTTCCAAAGTAGGGCCATGTACTCCAATGCAGTCTCAGGCGTTTGTAATTGAGGCACAGATGGCATCAAATCATAGAGAATCACTTGTCTTTTGCATTATGTAGGAGGCAGCTAGGTGCACTGACTCCAGACTGCCTCCATTTGAATCCTGGCTATCCTGAGCGTCTCAAGGTCAGATAACCAGATCCACACATATTTGTGTCTTTCCACAATGTCAGACTTTTGTTGATGCTATTTCAGTCACAGAAGCCACGAGCTACCTAGAATTACCAAGGAGGCGACTCTCCTTACTATTACCCATTCAGTCAGTAGTCAGAGGTGTGAGGCTCAAACCGTTCCACAAGTCAGTCAGCATTGCAAACCATACATGGTGTGGTATGCTTAATCGATATATAAATGTTATAGATTAAACATTCCACATCAAATAAAGTAAATTTTACATCAAGAGAGGCCAGGTGCAGTGAATCATATCTGTAATGCTAGCACTTTGGGAGGCCGAGGCGGGCAGGTCGCTTGAGGTGACGGGTTAGAGAGCAGCCTGGCCAACGTAGTAAAACCCTATCTCTACTAAAAATACAAAAATTAGCCAGGTGTGGTGGTGTGCATCTGTAATCCCAGCTCCTTTGGAGGCTGAAGCTGGAGAATTGCTTGAACCTGAGAGCCAGAGGTTGCAGTGAGCCGAGATGGTGCCACTGCCCTCCAGCCTGGGTGGCAGAGTGAGACTCCGTCTCAAAAAAAAAAAAATCAAGAGAAAAGGGATGAGGGAAAGAGTTAACCAGTCCAGGAAGAGCAATATAGACAAAAAGAATTTCCTGCAAGGTCTTGCAAGGAAGAGTCTTTTATGTGGGCACAGACTTCAGAGGTGGATGCCAGGTGCTTATCACAAGTGACAGCAAGACAGTGTCTGTTAAGATGGGCGTTTTGAGCTGGCGAAGTCCTGCTCTCCAGAGTCGTTTGGTGAGGCCTGATAGTGGAAAAGTGCGCCTGGTTTTGTCCTTATCTGGCTGGGTGCAGTGTCTATTGATTAGGTGAACATCTGGTCCCTGTCGGCATGATGGCTTTTAAAATGTAAGATGGAGTCTTTTTCTAAGATGGAGTTGCTTATGTTAATGCTGCTTGATCTGCTGCCTCTGCCATTTATTCTTTCTTGTCCCTCAGAGTATTAGTCCGTTCTCACACTGCTATAAAGAAATACTTGGCTGGGCACAGTGGCTTACGGCTGTAATCCCAGCACTTTGGGAGGTCAAGGTGGGTGGATTGCCTGAGGTCAGGAGTTCAAGACCAGCCTGGCCAACATGGTGAAACCCCGTCTCTACAAAAATACAAAAATTAGCTGGGCATGATGGTAGGTAGCTGTGATCCCAGCTACTCAGGAGGCTGAGGTGGGGGAATCGCTGGAACCTGGGAGGCAGAGGTTGCAGTGAGCTGGGATCATGCCACTGCACTCCAGTGTGGGTGACAGAGCGAGACTCCATCTGAAAAAAAAAAAAAAGAAAGATGAAAAGAAATACTTAAGACTGGGTAATTTATAAAGAAAAGTTTAATTGGCTCATAGTTTTGCAGGCTGTACAGGAAGCACGATGGCTTCTGAGACCTCATGAAACTTTCAATCATGGCAGAAGGTGAAAGGGAACCAGGCACGTCTTAGGGCTGGAGTAGGAAGAAGTGGGTGGGGCAGGGAGGGGTGGGGGTGGCATGGGGCTACATACCTAAACAGCCAGATCTCGAAATAACTCACTCACTATCGCAAGAACAGCACCAAAGGGGAAATCCACCCCCATGATCCAGTCACCACCCACCAGAACCCACCTCCAACCTTGGGTACTACAATTTGACATGAGATTTGAGTGGGGACATGGACCCACTATCACTCAGTTTCCTCTTGTGTAAAATGGGGAAACAATCTACCTCATACAATTGTTATAAATGTTAAATGAGATACCATGTATAAAGTGCTTATGACAGCACTAATCAAATACAATTGTTCTATTGCATAGCTCTCTCTTTTTTTTTTTTTGAGACGGAGTCTCGCTCTGTCTCCCAGGCCGGAGTGCAGTGGCGTGGTCTCAGCTCACTGTGAGCTCCGCCTCTCGGGTTCATGCCATTCTCCTGCCTCAGCCTCCGGAGTAGCTGGGACTACAAGCACCCGCCATCACACCTTGCTAATTTTTTGTACTTTCAGTAGAGCCGGGGTTTCACCGTGTTAGCCAGGATGGTCTCGACCTCCTGACCTCGTGATCCAGCCACCTCCGCCTCCCAAAGTGTTGGGATTACAGGCATGAGCCGCTGCACCTGGCCGCATAGCTCTCTTTATACAGAGAAAGCAGGCCTCAAGTTCAGAGCCTTTAACAGTGTGTAGCTAGAATGTTTAATTTTTGTTTTCATTATATTTATTAATTGGCTTTTTGCATGAGTGATAAAACATTTGTTTTAAAAATGAATGCATTTAGAAAGAAATACTTAAAAGTGTATTAGAAAAAGTTTTAATAAGTGCAGTTGATACACAGATGTAGAAAAAATGTGAAGATATGGTAAAAATTATGACAGTGGTATGTGAAAGTCTGCATAATATAATCAAACTAGACAGTCCGGGACTCCTGGTCTAATGTGATCCCACTGATTAATGCAACCCGTGGGAGAGACCAGGTGATTTGCCTGAGCAAGTCTGAAGCACCATAGAAGCTTTTAAAGATGACTAGGTGCAGTGGCTCATGCCTGTGGGAGAACTTTGGGAGGCCGATGTGGGTGGATCGTTTAAGCCCAGGAGTTCGAGACCAGTCTAGGCAACATGGCAAAAACCCATATCTAATAAAAATACAAAAATTAGCCAGGAACAGTGGCATGGGCCTGTAGTCCCAGCTACTTGGGAGGCTGAGGCAGGAGGATCACCTGAGCCTTGGGAGGTCAAGGCTGCAGTGAGCTGTGATTGGGCCACTGCACTCCAGCCTGGGAAACAGGGTGAGACCCTGTCTCAAAATAAATAAATAAATAAATAAATAATAAATAAAAAGATGCTTCCTCCAGTTTTAAAATTTCTGCTAGAAAGAGGCTTATTGGGAGATTATGGAACAATTATTATGTTATAAAACTAATATTTTTAAAATTTGAAAGGTAAAGTAAGTTGTGCATTCTTAACATTTGTTTCAGCACAGCCTTTTCACATAAATATAACTCTGAAACTTGGGAAAATTTGATTTGTGAAAACTTTCATGTTTTTCAGGAGGTCCTTATGGGTAGAATACTTTTTCTGGGAATGTTTTACTGAAGCCAAACTGAAAAAGTGAACCCACATGTTTCCCTCATTAGAAATAAAAGCCAAATCTTGCTAACCGATTTGGTACACATAGAACAGAACAAATTGCTTGGGTTTATTTTATGTTCAGTGCTTGAGAAATCATGATATGAAATGAGGTTGGGTACAGGCCACATACCCAGTGTGTGTGTTCAGGGGTTTACGCAATGCCCTGCCAACTAGAGATCCAGCCACTCTTTCCTACCCCAGAAAGCATTCCTCACTGGTAAATGAGCAGGACTTCCAGAATGGAAGGGACACAGAATGAAGCTCAGTTGAAATTCTCCCCAGCAAAACAGCCCATTTCACTGGGGAAAAACATTAAATTAATTAATTAATTTTTTTTTTTTTAGACAGAGTCTCATTCTGTTGTCCAGGCTGGAATGCAGTGGCATGATATCAGCACATGCAATCTCTGCCTCCCGGGTTCAAGCGTTTCTCCTGCCTCAGTCTCCTGAGTAGCTCAGAGTACAGGTGTGCACCACCACACCCGGCTAATTTTTGTATTTTTAGTAGAGATGTGGTTTTGCCAGGTTGGCCAGGCTGGTCTCAAGCTCCTGACCTCAAGTGATCCGCCCACCTGGGCCTCCCAAAGTGCTAGGATTACCGGTGTGAGCCACCGCGCCCAGCTGAAAAGTATTTTAAAAAGCAAAATACAAACAAGTCATAATTGAAAGTCTCTGGAAATTGTCCTAAAACATATAGCAGATGGAGAAACAGTCATTTGAGAAAATGTATAAACAGCCGGACATGGTGGCTCACTCCTGTAATCCCAGAACTTTGGGAGCTTGAGGTGGGCAGATCACCTGAGGTCAGGAGTTCGAGACCAGCCTGGCCAACATGGCAAAACCCTGTCTCTACTAAAAATACAAAAATCAGCCAGGCGTGGTGGCGGGCACCTGTAATCCCAGCTACTCGGGAGGCTGAGGCAGGAGAATCTCTTGAACCTGGGAAGGAGAGGTTGCAGTCAGCGGAGATCATCAGTCTGGGCAACAGAGTGAGACTCTGTCTCAAAAAAAAAAAAAAGGAAAAAGAAAATAAAAAAAAGAGAAAAAGGAAAAGGAAATGTACTAAACACTGGTAAGAAGAATAGCCAAAGTCTGTGGCCTTTGATCCATGACCTTGCCTACCCCTCCTCCCCATATCTCCAGAAGCTCTATTCTGGGCCCCATTCTCGGGCAGATACGACCAAGAAGACAGAGATTCCCGCTCCACTTAACACCCTGTCTGGGGCTGCAGTTTCACCTTGGGAGTGTTAAAGCAAACTAAATATGGCCTGAGAAGGCCTCCGTACCTCTATATTTGAGTCCTTGCAGATGAACTGTAACTTAGCTTAATAGACAAGATTGAAAACCTAATTTAGGAGTATGCCCTGTTGTCATGCCTATAATCCCAGCACTTTGGGAGACCGAGGCGGGTGGATCACCTGAGGTCAGTAGTTCAAGACCAGCCTAGCCAACACGGTGAAACCCCCGTCTCTACTGAAAATACAAAAATTACTTTGGGAGGCTGAGCCAATCTCAGTGGCCATACTTCAATCGCTCATAGACTGCTAAGTGTTCAAACTGTTGAAATAAGGCAAACACCAACCTGCAACCAATCCAGCTGTTCTGTACCTCACTGCCAATTTCTGCACATCATTTCACTTGTTATGTCTGTAAATCTTCCACCGTGTGGCTGTGCTGGAGTCTCTGTGAATCTGCTGTGATTCTGGGGGCTGCCCGATTTGCGAATCGTTCATTGCTCAATTAAACTCCTTTACATTTAATTCGGCTGAAGTTTTTCTTTTACCAGGAGGGAGGGACTGCTGGCATTTCTCATCCTCCCTAGCCCCTTATTGTGGAAGATCTATTCCAAGCGAGGGTAGCTCACAGGACTAGGGCCTCCTTGCACTTAAAGGGCAGGAGCTCTGCAGCAGGCCACCAATAAGAGGCCTGATTGCCCCTGCCAGCTCTCTCACAGGGCAGAGATTCTATACCAGGGAAGGCAAACCAAGAAGACCAGGGCTGCTACATCATCCTCCCTCAGTGCCCCCCTGTAGAGCAGGGATGTCATTCCTAGAAAAAGGCCCTGTGGTGGTGGGGTCGGCGGGGAGGGCATGCTGTCAGGGTGAAGAGCTCTGCAGCTCTGCCTGAGGGAACTGACTTTATTTGAAACAGTACCTGGAGAACTGTATGCCTGAGGGTGTTGTCAAAACAGTGGAGACTGCGTGGAGAGCAGTGAAGGAGGCTGGAGCTCCAGGATATGAGTGGAACGGCAGAGCAGCTGGAAGTTTCATAGAACCAGGTCAAGAGCCCAGAACAGCGCTGCTGGGATCCCAGTCAATTCTGGGATCCCAGTCAATTCTGCGAGTTGGGAAGGCGGTGAACGTGCACTAGGTTTCACCCACTCAAGGCCAGTCAGAGCAGGATGTTGGGCAGACCTGAAAGCTTTCCCCAAGCTGTGCACAGGCCAATCAACACAAGGCAGAGGGCTTGTAACCAAATGCAAGTCCAGCTGCTCACTGCTTGCACAGTCCAATTAATGAGTGAGGGCTGATAGAAAGAAAGCGAGTTTTATTTCAGAGCTTAGCTGAGGGGAAGAGGTACAGGCTTCTGCCTTAAGGGAACCACTTCAGCTTTGGGGGCAGAAAGCAGAGGCTTTAAGGGGGACTTGGAGTGCATGCTATGGAGAGGAGGAGGCGCGGGGTCTGCGTGACTCGCGACTTGCAGGCTGCCACCATGAAGGGCAGAGCTGAGTTGTAAATTGACTGTCATCTTGAGGCAATTTCCTGGTGGGGGAGAATCCGGGAGAGTTCATGGTTTGGTTCAACATTTGGTCCTTAGAATTTCTAAGCAAACATGTAGTTAGATAAGCTCTCAGTGCAGGGAGTGCCAGGTGGAGAGAAGGTAAAGGTTAGAGTTGCATTCCTAAAGAGCTAAGTAAGAGGTGAACATGCAGGGAAAAAGTGAAAAGATAAAGATAATTTTTAGGAAAATGGGGTAGTCGTTTACAGTCTCACTGGTACAAGAGGCGTAAACACAACCTCTGAGCAAACACTGGCTTAAAAATAAGCTACTCCAACCCAGGGGTGAGGCCTAGGAAGCCAGGCTTAAAACTAAAATTGCTCTCATTCCTGACTGTCTGGAAGGCTGTGTGTGTGTTTGAGGCTGAGACATCTCAGGAGTGATTAAAGAGGGACTCCAAGCTACTAGTCCCTGGCTGAATGCAGAGCCAAACAAAATGTAAATTCCCCAATGTGTGATAGCAACCTCTGAACTACACACATATCCAACAGTAAAGGATGAAAATCTAACTAAGGGGCTTAAGCACAACCTTTGAGTAACAGTGAGCTATGCAGATCCAACAAGGGGAAATATATGAGCAGGGACATCAAAGAGCTTCAATAAAGGAAATTATGTAGCTAATGATAAAAGCTGCATAATTACATGTCTTCATTTTTCTTCTCTTAACTGATTTAAGAAAGCAATTGCACAAAACAATAGGTATCTAATTGTGTTGTTGGTCCTGTAACATACAGAAATGTAATATATTTGACAACAAGAGCACAAAGGAACCAGATGGAAAAAAGCTGTATTGGTGTAAGGAAATACACAGGATGGTATCAATTAAACAGCACACTCTTTAATAACTGAATCAAAGAAGAAAGCACAAGGGAAACTAGAAAATATATTGAGATAAATACAAATTAAAACCACAACATACCAAGACCCATAGGATCTAGCTAAAAAAGTGCCCGGGGGAAATTTAGAGCTGTAAATGCCTATATTAAAAAGAAGAAAGATCTCAAATCAGTAATCTAAACTTGAGCTGCAGATGCTTGAAGAATAAAAGCTAACTAAATGCAAAACAAGTAGGAGGAAAGAATAAAGAACAGAAATAAATGAAACAGATAATAGAAAAACAGATAAAAGCAACAAAATTAAAAGTTGGTTCTTCAAAAAGATCCACAAAATTTGGAAAACCTTTAGCAAGACTGATCAGGAAAAAAGGAGAGAAGACTCAAATGTGAAGGAAAGAGAGGACGTCACTACTGACCCCACAGAAATAAAAAGGGTTATATGGAAACACTATTGTATGCCAAAAAGTTAGATAACCTAGATGAAACTGGGCAGATTTCTATAAAGACAAACGTTACCAAAACTGATTCGAAAAGAAATAGAAAATCTAAATAGACCTGTGTGAAGCAAAGAGATTGAGTTGGTCATTTTAAAATTTCTTACAAAAACAAAAAAAAAAGACTGGGACCAGATGACTTCACTAGTGAAATCTAGCAAACATTAAAAGAACTAAGACCAGTTCTTCTCAATTTTTCCAAAAACCAGAACACTTCCTAACTCATTTTATGAGGCTAATATGATCAAAACCAGACAATGACATCACAAGACAAGAAATCTATAGATCAATATCCCTAAAAAATGTAGAGGCGAAATTTATGGGAAAAAAAAAGCTAGAAAACTGAATCCAGCCACACATACAAAGAAGTATATGCCATAACCAAATGGGATTTATCACAGAAATTCAATGTTGGCTTAACATTTGAAAATTAATTGATGTAATTTACTATATCAATGGAATAAAAGACAAAAACCAAAGATTTCAGAATAAAAAAGCTAAAACCCATTTATGATTTAAAAACACAGTAATAATTTAAAAAAAAAAACCTAACCATCCAACAAAGTAGAGATGGAAGGGAACTTCATCAATCTGATAAAGAATATCTATTAAAAACCCAAAGCTGACATAATATTTAATAACATGCTAATATTTCAGAAGGACTAAAATCTTTTCTTCTAACTTTAGGTATAAGATAAGCATATTTGTTCTCATGAACTGGCACATACTACTGGAGATTGTAGCCAGGCAAGAAAAAGAAATAAAGCCATCCAGATTGGAAAAAAGAAACAAAATACCTCTATTTCCAGACAGCATGATCTTGTACGTAAAAAATTCTAAAGAATCCACCAAAAAAAGGAGGCATTAGAACTAACTATGAGTTCAGTAAGGTTACAGGATACAAGATCATACAAAAATCAGTTGTGTTTCTACACACTAGCAATGAACATTCCAAAAATTAAGAAAACAATTTTCAATAGTATCAAAAAGAATAAAATGCTTTGGAACAAAGTTAACAAAATGAGTGTAAGACTTGTATACTGAAAACTCCAAAACGTTGAAAGAAGTCAAATAAATGAAAAAACAGTCTATATTCATGGATCACAAGATGCTAAGACGGCAATACTCTTTTTTTTTCTTTTTTTTTCCTTTATGAGACAGAGTCTTGCTCCGTTGCCCAGGTTAGCGTGCAGTGGTGCAATCTTGGCTCACTGCAGCCACCACCTCCCAGGTTCAAGTGATTCTCCTGCCTCAGCCTCCGAAGTAGCTGGGACTACAGGCACGTGCCACCATGACCAGCTAATTTTTGTATTTTTAGTAGACATGGGTTTTCACCATGTTGGCTAGGCTAGTCTCAGACTCCTGACCTCAAGTGATCTGCCCACCTCGGACTCCCAAAGTGCTAGGATTATAGGTGTGAGCTGCTGTGCCTGGCTGTCAATACTCTTTAAATTTATCTCCAGATTCAACACAATGCCTGTCAAAATTCCAGTTGCCTTTTTTTTGTAGAAGTTGACAAGATGATCCTAAAATTCATTAGGAAATGCTAAAGATGCAGAATAGCCAAAAAATCTTAAATTAAAAAAAAATGGAGGATTCTCACTTCCCAAACTCAAAAATTGCAACACAGCTACAGTAATCAAGACAATGTATTATAGTACTGGTATAAGGAGATAAACACATAGACCAATAGAATAGAATTGAGATTCCCAAAATTAACCCTTACATTTATTTATGTTTATTGATTTTTGACAAAGGTGACAAGACAACTCAATGTGAGAAAGAATAGTTTCAACAAGTAGTGTTGGGACAACTGGGAATCAACATGGAAAAGAATGAATTTGGACCCCTACCTCATACCACACACAACATTTAACTCAAAATAGATTATAAACCTAAATGTAGGAGCCAAAAACGATCAAACTCTTTGAAGAACATATAGTAGTCAATCTTTGTGACCTGAGGTCAGATAATATTTTCTTAAGATTCGAAACCAAAAGCACAATTGACAAAAGAAAAAATAGATAAATAGAACTGAACTGTATCTAAAGGTTAAAACTCTGTGCTACAGACAAGGCTGTCAAGAAAATGAAAGCAACACACAGAATGGGAGAAAATATTTATAAATCATATATCTGGTAAGAAACTGGAATCCAAAATATATAAAGAGCATTTATCATTCAATAAAAGACAAATAATTCAATGGAAAAATTGGCAAAGGATTTGAATACACTTTTCTCCAAAGAAGATATCAAATGGCTAATGAGCACATGAAAAGATACTAAAAATCATTAGCCATTCAGGTAATGCAAATCAAAACCACAATGAGATACTACTTTGCACCCATAATAATGGTATAATGATGACTATAATATAGAAGATAACAACTGTTCATGAGGATGTAGAGAAATTGGAATCCTGATACGTGGCTGGTAAAACGGCACAGACACTTGGAAAACAGTTTGGCAGTTCCTTAAAATGTTAAACATACAGTTACCTTATGACTAGGCAATTCCACTCCTCCAGTTCCAAGAGAACTGAAAATACATATCCATCCAAACACTTGTCAAGAAACATTCATGGCATCGTTATTTATACTAGCTAAAAAGTGGAAACACTTATATATATACCAATGAATGGATAAATAAAATGTGGTGTATTCACACAATGGAATATTATTTGACAATAAAAAGGAATGACATGCTAACGCTTGGATGATCCAGAAAACATTATGCTAGGTTAAAAAAAAAAAAAGCCAGTCATAGAAGACCACACCGTATGATTTAATTTCTATAAAATATCCAGAATAGGCCAGGCATGGTGGCTCACGCCTGTAATCACAGCACTTTGGGAGGCTGAGGCAGGAGGATCTCTTGAGCCCAGGAGTTAGAGACCAGCGTGGGCAACATAGGGAGACTCCATCTCTACAACATTTTTTTGAAAAAAATTAACAGGGCATGGTGGCACATGTTGGTAGTCCCAGCTACTTGGGAGGCTTAGGTGGGAGGATCACTTGAGCCCAGGAGGTTGAGACTGCAGTGCAGTGAGCTGTGAGCTGTGATCACACTACAGCCTGAATAACAGAGCAAGACCCTGTCTCAAAACTAAATAAATAAATATCTAGAATAGGTAAATAGATAGAGACAGAAAGATTAGTGGTTGCTTACAGATAGAGTGATAACACATAGAGAATGATTGTGCATGGGTATAGAATTTCTTTAGGGGGAACGAAAATGTTCTAAAATTAGATTGTAATGACAGGTGGACAACCCTATAACTATACTAAAAAAGTCATTGAATTGTATACTTTAAAAGGGTGGATTATATGGTAAAAGCAGTAAAATTATTTTTAAATATGATAGATGAGCAAGATTGCCACTATATGAAAAGGTAAACTGTATATAGTCTTTAGTTTATTAGTTGCAACAGATTACTGGACATACCTGAAAACTCAATGAGGAACCTCTGTGTGTTATAAACACTTTGCTTAAGAATTTCTATCCTGGCCAGGTGAGATGGCTCCTGTCTGTAATCCCACACTTTGGGAGGCTGAGGTGGGCGGATCATCTGAGGTCGGGAGTTTGAGACCAGCCTGACCAACATGACGAAACCCCGTCTCTACTGAAAATACACAATTAGCCGGACATGGTGGCGCGTGCCTGTAATCCCAGCTACTCGGGAGGCTGAGGCAGGAGAATTGCTTGAACCCAGGAGGCGGAGGTTGCAGTGAGCCGAGATCGTGCCATTGCACTCCAGCCTGGGCAACAAGAGTGAACCTCCCTCTCAAAAAAAAAAAAAAAAAAAAGAATTTCCATCCTACATGGTCTTCGGAAGAAATAGTAGATAAATTTTACTTTTAGTTGTTAATACTGCCTTGAATTTATTCTAAGAGTTTATGTTTAACTTTTGTTAGGCAACTCCTTTGAACTTAGTTCCTAGGGTTCTTTCCCGAGTGCATGTTGCTGGAAGGAGGTAGCAAGTAAACACGGCTCCCCATTTCTTTGCTTTGAACATTGAGGAGGTTTGAAAAAGTCAGCTTGATGTCAGGTCACATGTAGCAGCACAAATAGGAGCTCTGCAATAATAATAAGAGAAAGATGGAGGATTAAGAGGTTTGGAAATTAATTGCTAATCCTTCTTGTACTGGTCCAAGTGTTTTAAGTGCCTTAATCAATTTTATCTTCCCAATAACTACATGAGGTAGTGTGTTATTCTGCTGGGACTGCCATAGCAAAGTACCATAGTCTGGGTGACCTAAGCAACAGAAATGTATTTTCTCACAGTTCTTGAGGCTGAAAATCAGAGATCAAAGTGTTGGCAGGGTTGATTCCTTCTGAGGGCTGGGAGCGAAGGCGTCACTCTCTCCGTGGCTTGTAGATGGCTGTGTTCTTCCTTTGTCTTCACATGGTCTTCTCTCTGTACGTCTGTGTCCAAATATCCTCATCTTATAAGAACACCAGTCATATCAGATTTAGGGCCTACCCTAATGATCTCATTTAAACTTAATTACTCCTTTAAAGACCCTATCTTCAAATAAGGCCACATTCGAAGGTACTTTGCGTCAGAACTGCAACTTATGATTTTTTTTTTTTTTTTTTTTTGAGACGGAGTCTCCCTCTGTTGCCCAGGCTGGAGTGCAATGGCACGATCTCAGCTCACTGCAACTTCTGCCTCCTAGATTCAAGCGATTCTCCTGCCTCAGTCTCCCAAGTAGCTGGGACTACAGGTGTGTGCCACCACGCACGGCTAATTTTTTTGTATTTTTAGTAGAGATGGGGTTTCATCATGTTGGCCAGGCTAGTCTCGAACTCCTGACCTCAGGTGATCCACTCACCTCGGCCTCCCATTACAGGCCTGAGCCACCATGCCTGGCCTACATAAGAATTTTTTAGGGGAGAAATAATTCAGCTCATAACAGGCAAGTACTATTATTATTATACATCCCACTTCCCTGCTGTTAGGAGAGGTAAGAGCACAGGTTTCTAAGAGAAAGCCCCGGAGAACATAGGCAGAGACTGATGGAGCCATATTGAGGATGGAGTGATGATGTTTTCAGGTGAAACACAAGACTGAAATAAAGGAAAAGATTTGGAGTCACAAGTGGTTAGGCTGCTGGCCAGTGGCCTGGTAGAGTCTGAGGTCATGAAGGAATGTGCCTACTGAATACAACTCAAATTTCTTGGTCAATTGGCTTAAATGTAACTTAATTCTGTTCCCTGTACAGGTGTACTTGAGATGGTGAGTGCAAGCATGCCTTTGCTTCCAAGGGGGACTCCCTTGCCCACAGTCCCTGCTGCCTCTCCCTGAGTCCTTCATTGCTGGTTGAAGTAGGCATGGGCATCTGCTGGCCTGGCATGCAAAAATGGACCAGTCCAGTAAGGCTTCTACTTTTAGGACTAGAAATGGGCAAGGCAACAAAAAGTAGGGGCAGAGGGAATGTGATTCGGAGAGAGGGGTCAGACTGGCCACTAAGGCCACTTCCGGGTCAAAGCTAAGATGGAACAGACCTGGATAAGGCAGAAGAAGCTGGCTGAAAGAGAACTGAACAATGCAGAAAAGCATGCCAGAGACCATACATTCTGTGAGTGGATCTGAAGATGATCAGGGGTCTCTAGAGTCACCTCCATCTCCCTAGTTCAAATATATTCTTAAAAGGACCCATCTCCCCCAGAAACCCACTGATTGCAAGAATTTGAATGGATCCTTGCATTTGCAACAACAATACCCAGTTGAAGCAATACCCCTTTCCTAAGAATTCCTTCATTCCATTACTGGGCACTGCCATGGTCTCAATGCTTGTGTCCCCTCAGAATTCATATATGGAAACCTAATCCCCAGTGCAATAGTATTGAGAGACATTTAGGAGGTGATTAGGTCATGAGGGTGGAGCCCTCATGAATGGGATTAGTGCCCTTATAAAAGAGGCCTGAGGGAGTTGTTTGCCCCTTGCATCATGCCAGATCACAACAGGAAAGTGCCATCTATAAAGCAAAGAGCAAGCCCTCATCAGACACTGTATCTGCTGGCTCACTGATCTTAGACTTTGCAAGATCTAGTACTGTAAGAAATAATTTTCTGTTATTTATAAATGACTCAGTCTAAGGTATTTGGCTATGGCAGCCTGAATGGACTGAGACAGGCACTCATGTGCTAGGTGCTATTTGGGGCAATGAAGATTCAATACTAGATAAGACCCTTGCATAGAGCTGATTTGCTTGTGTTCGCAGATGGTAATGTTCGATGCTCACTGCTGGATTACTCAGCACAGCTCCGTGCCCCGCGCTGACCCATCCTGGCCACAAGCTTTTCACTCACACTGTTCAGAGTATTTCCTGATCATAGAACTCCCTTCACCAGCTGAAATCCTAACCCATTTCCTAGTCTAGCTCAAATGCTACCTCTTCCTTATAGCTTTCTAGAAACTCTCAGACAAGGTTAATTTCCCTCTTTCCTATATCACTTAACACTTCTGTGGCCATCGTGGCCCTATGCCATTTGGCCTCAGAGTTCAGGTTATTTACATGCCTAATCATCTTCAGCACTGTAAACTCCTAAAGAACCAGAAATGAGCCTGATTTCCCCCTTTTCCTAGGGCTTATCATGGAACTTTCCCCATATGATCCATTCAATGAATATCAGTTAAAATTAAATTCAACCTATGAGGACCCAGTGAGGGAGAAAGTGAGCAGGACATTGACCTTCATCCCTTATTCCCAGCTTCCATATCCAAGAATATGACCCACCCTATTTCCTAAAGTAAAATGAAATAGTGATACATAATTAAAGGCTTCAGTCTAGCTGCCCTCCTACAAATCTAAATTATCACCAGCTCATGGATAAGCTAGTTTGTTTTTCAGCCTTGGCATGTGGTCAGGATTGCATAGCTAGGAAGAAAGCATAATAAAACACTTCCAAGTGCTTTGAACTGGCAAAACTGTGTTTATACAATTACATGAAAACAAGCTAATGTGATGGCATTGCGGACATTTCATGATGTTTGGGGTCAGGAAATTACAGTTCCCTGGTTATATGTTTTACTGCAGAGTGGTTTGCATCTCATCAGAAAAGAATCTCGCTTTGGAGTTAGCCCTTCGTGCATGGGGCTTGCTACAAATAAGGGGCTGGGGAAATGAATTCTTAAGTGAATTTTATTTCCTCCTGAGAGGTGAATATGATAAGTGGATTCAGCTTCTGGGATGCACCAGAAAATTCCACTACTGATGTGCAGGTGGCAGCAACGTGGAGAATAATAAAAGATATCGTCTGTGTCTTTTGTATATGTGTCCAGGATTTTTTTCAACCACTTCTTCTATGGAGCCCTATGGACCTTGCCAAGACCTCATGGACATGGGCCAGAGATGAGCTAATGCAGTACTAGAAAGAGCATTGAACTTGCAATTGGAAGACCTAATTAAAGACTCAGATAGTCACTGAGCAGCCAGGGGATCTTGGGCATCTTGCTGGACTTCTTTAAATCTTTGATTGCTCATCTGTATACTCAATAATTGCTTAGGGTCCGTTCCATGGTTTGAGTTGAATCTACGTCAGTTCATTAGACTGTTGTCCCACATCTACAAAATTACTGGAGCTGACCCATCAACATTAGTGTTATTCTTCTAATTACACTGATTCATACACATGTTCTGACCTGGCTCTTTTTGTGACTAACGCTGCATTTTCAAACAGTGGCCTGAGGTAAGGCGATTTGGCTGGGACTGTGACAGTGTGTCCATACATGGTATTAGGGGCACAGCTTCCAGGACTGCTATTATCTCTCTAGCAGCATGTTCTAATAGATAGTTCATTCATGTGATCACCAGTCTTCAAGGATTTTATCACAGTATTATTTTTATTTTTATTTTATTTTAATTTATTTTACTATTATTATACTTTAAGTTTTAGGGTACATGTGCACAATGTGCAGGTTAGGTACATATGTATACATGTGCCATGCTGGTGTGCTGCACCCATTAACTCGTCACTTAGCATTAGCTATATCTCCTAAAGCTATCCCTCCCCCCTCCCCCCACCCCACAACAGGCCCCAGAGTGTGATGTTCCCCTTCCTGTGTCCATGTGTTCTCATTGTTCAGTTCCCACCTATGAGTGAGAATATGCGGTGTTCGGTTTTTTGTTCTTGTGATAGTTTACTGAGAATGATGATTTCCAGTTTCATCCATGTCCCTACAAAGGACATGAACTCATCGTTTTTTATGGCTGCATAGTATTCCATGGTGTATATGTGCCATATTTTCTTAATCCAGTCTATCATTGTGGGACATTTGGGTTGATTCCAAGTCTTTGCTATGGTGAATAGTGCCGCAATAAACATACGTGTGCATGTGTCTTTATAGCAGCATGATTTATAGTCCTTTGAGTATATACCCAGTAATGGGATGGCTGGGTCAAATGGTATTTCTAGTTCTAGATCCCTGAGGAATCGCCACACTGACTTCCACAGGGTTGAACTAGTTCACAGTCCCACCAACAGTGTAAAAGTGTTCCTATTTCTCCACATCCTCTCCAGCACCTGTTGTTTCCTGACTTTTTAATGATCGCCATTCTAACTGGTGTGAGATGGTATCTCATTGTGGTTTTGATTTGCATTTCTCTGATGGCCAGTGATGGTGAGCATTTTTTCGTGTGTTTTTTGGCTGCATAAATGTCTTCTTTTGAGAAGTGTCCGTTCATGTCCTTCGCCCGCTTTTTGATGGGGTTGTTTGTTTTTTTCTTGTAAATTTGTTTGAGTTCATTGTAGATTCTGGATATTTTTAAACTCCAAAGAACTACATGTTCAAGTTCTTAAGCTGTTGGATGAGGGATACATTTTCTGTGCAGGGGTAATCACTTGTAGAAATAAGGAGATTTGACACAATTCTAGGAAAATGGTAAATCTGACTTCAGAAATATTTACCCTTTGGGCACCTCTAAAATGCTCTTCTTGGAATCCATGTCTTTGAAACATGGACCGATGAGACTATGAAGTGCAGCATTCCTGAGGCCAAACTGCCCAGACGGAATCCAAAACAGATTTGCAATACATTGAGAAGACTGTAGCTGGGAATGGCGGTGCATGCCTATAACCTCAGCTACTTGTGAGGCTGAGGCAGGAGGATTGCTTGAGCCCAGGAGTTGAAGACCAGCCTGGGCAACATAGCAAGATCTTGTCTCATAAAAAAAAAAAAAAAAGGATTATAAAATACAGATGCTAAGAGGGATTGTGTTAGTAAACCCATTTTATTTTTGACATGTAGTGCTATAGATGCTTTCAAACACTATCCCTTTAAAGGTTGCCTTTTTTGGACTCATAGGTCACAGCACACTGAGGTTACAGCAGTGGAAGTTGGAGCGCTATGGAAAGCAATTAGCAATATCTGTTAAAAGTCATTAAAGCATCCAAATCCCTTCATCAAGTAACTCTACTCTCAGACGTCTATCCCAACATTATAAAGAGATGGTCAAAAATGTATGTATAAAAGATGTTTCCAACAAAAATTAAAAGCAACAGCAGGAAAATGATTCAGCACAGTATGTGATAGAAAATGTCACTAAAATGATGCTTCTGAAGACTGTTCTAATAATATACAGAAATTTGTATGCAGTCTTAGTAAAGAAATGAGGTTGTGAGTTTTGCATACAATATTTTTCAACACACGTGAAGACAAATGCAAGACAAAAAGTTAACAGAGGGGGCCGGCACAACGGCTGACACCTGTAATCCCAGCACTTTGGGAGGCGAAGGTGGGTGGATTGCTTGAGCCCAGGAGTTTGAGTCCACCTTGGGCAACACGGCAAAACCCTGTCTCTACAAAAAATAAAAAAGTTAGCCAGGCATGCTGGTGCACATCTGTTGTCCCAGCTACTCCGGAGGCCGTGGTGGGAAGATCCCTTGAACCTGGGAGGCAGAGTGCTGAGATCGGGCCACTGTACTCCAGCCTGGATGACGGAGTGAGAGACTGTCTCAAAAAGATAAGGCTGGGTGCAGTGGTTCATGCTTGTAATCCCAGCATTTTGGGAGGCCGAGGTGGGCAGATGACTTGAGGTGAGGAGATCGAGACCAGCCTGGCCAACATGGTGATGCCCCATTCTTACTTAAAATACAAAAATTAGGCGGGCTTTGGTGGCATGTGCCATAGTCCCAGCTAGTCAGGATGCTGAGGCAAGAGAATCACTTGAACTTGGGAAGTGGAGGTTGCAGTGAGTAGAGATCATGCCACTGCACTCCAGCCTGGGTGACAGAGCAAGACTTCATCTCAATAAAAATAAAATAAAATAAAATAAAATAAAATAAAAAGATAAAAAGCTAACAGATTACTTTAGATTTGGGAGGATGGGTTATTTTTCCCTTCTCCTTAATACTTCACTCTGTTTCACAAACACCCACAATAAGCTTTACCTTAAAGCTTTTATAATTATAAATTTTTAAAATTATAAAAGTCATTTAAGAAACACAGCTGCTGTTCGTCCCTTAATTACTTGTTCCTTATTTGAGATTGCCTTGTCTCCCAGCTGGTCACCTGGTTCCTCTCTCCCTGCAGAACATCAAAGCTACAGAATTGACTTCTGCTGGTGTTGACTACGAATGTCACAGCCCATAAAGCCAGGTTTAATGGAAAATCCCAAGGTGGTGGGGACAACAGCCTATTTATTTTCAAATGATTATTTTAAGGATAACAGAAAGAAACACAGCAAGATGGGCCTTCATGGATGACTCTGGCTCTGAATCCCTGAGCAAAGTCAAGGGCCAGAGAGAGCAAACCAGTGCCAGCACACCTTGATCCTACAGGAAGGCAAGGATGGTTTCATACTTTTTTGGAACAGGCTTTTCTGCAGGAACTCCAAACTCTTGGAAGATTCCAGTGTTTTCCCCCTAAGTTAACCCATCCTAAAATAGTCAAGGTGGGGCCAAGGAAAATCAGAGAGCAGACTTTAAGCTTTGGATTTTTGGGCCACATCCAGTGTATGGCTTTTTCCACAAGTTTGTCTTATGGGGTAACAGCAAGTATACTTTGAAGGCATATCCCCCAGGGTAGTTACATCTCTGAATAATGAAATTATTGGCAGTGTTATTTTCTTTTTGATGCTTTTCTGTATTTTCTAATCTTTTTGAGTGAGTTTGTGTTGCTTTTATAAGGAAAAGAATACTTTTTATTTTTAACATCATAACTGAGGGTGATATATGAAAAAGGTGCATAGGAAAGAAGACTCAGAAGGTGGTGAAGTAAGACTTTATATATATCTTATTTATAATAAATAAGATATATCTTATTTATAATAAATAAGATATATCTTATTTATAATAAATAATATTACATATCTCTTATTTATAATAAATAATATACATATCTTATTTATAATAAATAATATTATATATATATAAAATACTTCCTTTGCATTTCCTAATTACTTTGTAATGGAACTACCTTCCATTTCCCATCAGAAAAATATACATTTATTGAAATGTACCTGAGTCCTAAAGTTCTAAGTGAACTCTAGAGAAATGTTTATTTTCATGGATAGATATTATTTTATTTCTGGGGTGGGAGGAGCAATTCATTGGCTCCAGATCATTAGACATCCACACAACTCAAGCTTGATGCTGTCGTAAGTATTTACTAAGCATTTTACTTAGGACTGCACTAGTCTATTTGTTTCACTCATTTATTCATGCAACATACATTTCGGATATTCTATACTTAACAAAAATTGAGACAGAGTCTTGCTCTGTTACCCAGGCTGGAATACAGTGGCATGATCATAGCTCACTGCAGCCTCGAACTCCTGGGCTTAAGTCATCCTCCTGCCTCAGCCTCCCAAGTAGCTGGGACTACAGGTGTGCACCATCACACTTGGCTGATTTTTCTTTTTTACTTTATTTATTTCATTTATCTATTTTTTGAAGAGAAGGGTGTCTCACTATGTTGCCCAGGCTTGTCTCAAACTCCAGGCGTCAAGTGATCTTCCCACTTCGGCCTCCCAAAGTGCTGGGATTACAGGTATGGGCCACTGCACTCAGCCATAATATTCTGTACTTTAAGTGTATTGATAAATACATTTGTCTGTATGCTGAAGGAACTTTCTGTCTTGCTGAGAATATAGATGAGTTAATCAACAATTATAGTTCTGCAGTGGGTCTTAAAATTAAGCATGCATCAGGCCAGGCACAGTGGCTCACGTCTGTAATCCCAGCACTTTCGGATAGTGAGGTGGGTGGATCACTTGAGGTCACGAGTTCAAGACCAGCCTGGCCCATATGGCGAAACCCCGCCTCTACTAAAAATACAAAAATTAGCCAGGCATGGTGACATGCGCCTGTAGTCCCAGCTACTTGGGAGGCTGAGGCAGGAGAATTGCTTGAGCTGGGGAGGCGGAGGTTGCAGTGAACCAAGATCATGCCATTGCACTCCAGCCTGGGCGACAGAGGGAGGCTCCGTCTCAAAAAAAAAAAAAATTGTGTATGCATCAGAATCATCTGGAGGGCTTTTTAAATCACAGATTTTTGGGCTACACCCCAGAGCTACTGATTCAGTCAGTCTGGGAATCCCAGGAAATGCTGCTATGACTGGCCTAGGGCTCACACTTGGAGAACCACTGCAATATCAGTGCTTAAAAGAGAGGTATATAGGGTGCAGTGGGACCACCTGCAGTGGTCCATTAGTGTTGAAAGCTGTGAAAGTGGAAATGAGATGGCAGACAGCATGGGCCAACGAGGCAGAATTTGCAATCAGCCCATTAGAATCCTGGAAGACTTAGTTACTAGGTAGCTCTTCTCCTCTTTCAGAGCCTGGCAACAGCTATCACCTCTTTCCCTGCTACTCTCTGGGACAGAATTCCCCCAACTCCATTTCTCTCCTGCCTCCTCTCAAGACTCTCTTTAAACTCCAAAGAAATAAAGAAGGGGTTCTACATCCTCTGAAGAGGATAGACTCCAGGCTGTAGGTGGCTAGGAACTGGCCTCAAAACAAAAAGGATGCCAAATCATTAAAACAGTTCTGATGCCATTAGACATGCAAGGAACACAACCTCACCACTCTTGAGTCAGGCACCGAACCATAAGGCCCTTCAAGAAGGAGACGTCACTAATAATAGCATCATTGGCCCTGGCAGAGACTCTTCCAAATGCTTGGGTAGGTGAGGATGGGTGGGAAGGAAAGGATCCGTGTCCCCTCCACTGAAAATGCCTATAAAGTTGACTGTGTTGGATAGATCCTTTGCTGTAGCTGCAGTGACCCCCATTTAGTGACTCTATGAGTACATAATGTAACGAATGGTTTCTCCTAAGTCTGTGTAATCATAAAATGTTGTAAAGCTTTGCTGTATTATTAAGTTAGTAAGGCCACATATAAAATACCTCCTGGGTGAAGGTCGAGTAGATGATTACAGTATTCCCTGAGTGGAAGTTCAGCTGTCAAACAGAAATGGCATGAGCTTTAATTTCTGCAACTGTGAACCTTGTATTTTGTCAGCTGGGTAAATTTAAATGTACCAGGACAGCTAGTCCTTTAAAGTGACCCATAGAATAGATAATTTTGCAGTAGTATACTCATTCTCTAGTTTTTATTTAATATAAACTTGGAGTTTTATGGATTGCATGTGAAGGGTTCTATCTACAATTTTTAATAAGTCTATAAAGGTGAGAGTCAGTACACCACAATATATTTCTTTCTTGAACAAATGTGTGTGTGTAAGGAATAAATGTGAGAATAAATATAGCATATAGAGAGGCGAGGTGCGGTGGCTCATGCCTGTAATCCCAGCACTTAGGGAGGCTGAGGAGCGTGGATCACCCTCTGAGGTCAGGAGTTCAAGACCAGCCTGGCCAACATGGTGAAACCCCATCTCTACTAAAAATATAAAAAATTAGCTGAGCATGGTGATGGTCACCTATAATCCCAGTTACTCAGGAGGCTGAGGCAGGGGAATTGCTTGAACCTGGGAAGCAGAGGTTGCCGTGAGCCAAGATCACGCCATTGCACTCCAGCCTGGGCAACAAGAGCAAAACTCCATCTTAAAAAAAAAAGGGCATATAGAGAAGAAATTTGGGGTACCATTCTTCACAGGTTTCTTTTTTAATCTAGTAAATTTTGCTAGTCACTTGCTTCCTTCCCTTTCTTGTCTTGCAGCTGATCTGATTTATCTTCCTATGTATCTGATGAATGGTTTATCCAGGGACTGGCAAAAGGAGAAAAACAAGATGCAGAGGAATGAGACTGAGAGTACCACAGTGTGAACAGTTTCCCCAAAGTGCTTCATTTTGGCTCCAGGTAAGTTATAATCAACTGAAGCTGTCTTTGGTACATTAATTCAGGGCATCAGATGTCAGAATCCACATTTCAAAGTGCTTTCCTTGCATATAAGAACACACTAGGCTGTTCTCTATAGAAAAAAAAAAAAAGGAGCACAATAGTCTGGCAGGACTTGAGTTCATGTTTTCTTTTTTTTTTGTGACAGGGTCTCACTCCTTTGCCCAGGCTGGAGTGCAGTGGCATGATCTTGGCTCACTGCAAACTCCATCTCCTGGGCTCAAGCGATTCTCCTGCCTCAACCTCCAGAGTTGCTGGGAGTACAAGTGCGCCACCACGCCCAGCTAATTTTTGTATTTTTAGTAGAGCCGGGGTTTCACCATATTGGTGAGGCTGGTTTCGAACTCCTGGCCTCAAGTGATCCACCCGCCTCGGCCTACCAAAATATTGGGATTACAGGCATGAGCCACCGTACCCAGCCGAGTTCATGTTTTCTGTGTGCAATGCAATGATGAGGTGGAAATTATTATCCCCAGTTTACAGATAGGAAAACACAGATGATAAAAATAGAAATATTTGTTTTTTTTAAATGGCCATTTAGTTTTTAAACAGCAAAAATGTCCTAGGAAATATGCTTGACTACATGTGGGAAAAAAGTTAGATTTTTCTTCTTAACACATACGTAAGTAAATTCCAGAAGAGAATACGGAGATTAACTGTAAACATTGAAAATACAAAACTACTAGATGAATAGAATGAATCTTTACCTAATTTCAAATACAGTAGAATTTTCTAACAAAAGCCATGAAAGAAATTACTTCTTTTGATAATATGCATCTTGTAAAAGTTCTAACAGTACTGCAGACAAAATATAAACGTGGAAAATAAATTTAAAGAAATATTTGCAACATAGATGAATGAAGAGATGGTGTACTATAAAAAGAAATTTAAAAAATTTGGGCTGGACATGGCAGTTCACGCCTGTAATCCCAGCACTTTGGGAGGCCGAGGTGGGTGGATTACTTGAGGTCAGGAGTTAGAGACCAGCCTGGCCAACATGGTGCAATCCTGTCTCTACTAAAAATACAAAAATTAGCTCGGTGTTGTGGCGCATGCCTGTAGCCCCAGCTACTTGGAAGGCTGAGGCATGAGAATCACTTGAACCCGGGAGGTGGAGGTTGCAGTGAGCTGAGGTCGAGCCTTTGAACTCCAGCCTGGGTGACAAGACTGAAACTCTGTCTCAAAAAAAAAACAACAAAAAAACAAAAATTAAAATAAACAGTCACCACCAGAAAGGGAGCAAGGAGAAGCAACCAAGTGTTTTTGAAAAGAAGAATTTGACTTTATGTCCTCAGGTTAAAGACAAAAACTGTAAGCAATTATTGTAGTTAGTAGGGTTGTAGGTTTGTTTTTCACAGTGTTATGTGTTAGCCTTCTGAAGCTATGTATATTCCATAATTGACAAAATAATGGAATCCAGGTTTTTTTTTACTATCAAAGAATGGAATTACAAATACACGAAGGGAGAAAGCTACAAAGCATCTTGTAGTGTTGGATTGTAATTGGAGGTATCAGTATAAATATGTGGTTTTAAATATATAGTTATAGAAATCAATATGAATCTCAGGACACAGACATATACCTGGTTCTGTTTGCTGAGAGTGTCTAAAAGTAACGACATTCGGTAGCATTGAGCACATTTAGTGCCCAGACATGGTTTCTAAATACCACCCTCCACTGAAAGGAACCAGAGCTCCTTGGAGAGTTGGCTGAATCCAAAAATGAAACATTTTGCTGTGCAAGTAAGTAAAGAAATGCTCAAGGAATGATAGGGACATGTCACAAAGACATAGGAACCGGATCGAAGAGGCTCCCACTGACCAACTCTGGAACAATTTGAGCGTCAAAATAAAAGATAGCGCAACAGATTATCATTCATTGAATAAAATTAGAATTCATAAGTATCTACATTGATATAAACGAATGAATGAATGAATGAATACATAAATAAATGGATGGAGAGAATGAAGAGTGCTTCCTTAGAGCAGGATGCAAACTAATAAATGAGGAATGATGGAATGAGAGAATTGCCTTTTGATAACCTTCATAATAATAACAGATTCAGCAAGAATCATCAAAGGATGGTAAAAATAGCAAGTAAAATGTTATTTTATTTTATTTTTGAGACAAGGTCTCGCTCTGTCACCAAGCTGGAGTGCAGTGGTGCAATCTCGACTCATTGCAGCCTCAACCTCCTAGGCTCAAGCAATCCTTCCACCTCAGCCTCCCGAGTAGCCTGGACTACAGGCGCACACCACCACACCCAGCTGATTTTTGTATTTTTTTGTAGAGACAGGGTTTTGCCATGGTGTCCAGGCTGGTCTTGAACTCCTGGGCTCAAGCGATCCACCTGCCTTGGCCTCCCAAAGTGCTGGGATTACAGGTGTGAGCCACCATGCCCAGCCACAAGTACCATTTTAAAGATTTAATAGGATACTTACATAATATCTAGTTGCTCCCTATCAGATAGCTTTTAATTTCAAAGAGTAAAATGGCAGCTTTTATATTAGCGCATGTTGGTAGGAGCCACCTTAATCAAATGCTCAGAGTTAACAACATCCGTAGTGTGTCAGAACCACAGCACGTGCCTCCTGCACTAAGAAAAACACTGCATCACTTCTGCAGTATTCCTGCCAAGATGCATGACATGAACCTAACCAAGAGGAAGCACCAAGAAACTCAAAACTCTTTTACAGCATAATTGACCTGTACTCTTCCAAAGTGTCAAAGCCCGACAAGAAAGGCCAAAGAACCCAGATTAAAGGATACCAAGGGTACAAATGTCATAGGTGTTGTTGGATTAGATCCTGGACCAGAATCTTTTATTTTGCTAAAAGAGCAATTGTGAGCCAATTAGTGACATTAAATAAATTCTGTGTAGATTAAATTCTACTATAATCTCAACGTTAACTTTCTGATTTTGATAAATCGAATCTGGGGGTATATATAAGACTGGTCTTGTTTTTAGAGAATACACACAGAAGTATTTATTTATTTATTTTGAGTCAGGGTCTTGCTCTGTCTCCAGGCTGGAGTGCACCTCATAGCTCGATGTGTGGTCATGGCTCACTGCAGCCTCAAACTCCCAGGCTCAAGGGATCCTCCCACCTCAGCCTCCTGAGTATCTGGGACTACAGGTATGCACCACCACACCCCAGCTAATTAAAAAAAATTTTTTTTTGTAGAGATGTGGTTTTGCTATGTTGCCCAGGCTGTTCTCAAATTCCTGGCCCCAAGCAATCCTCCCTCCTTGGCCTCCCAAAGTTTTGGGATTGTAGACATGATCCACTGTGCCCAGCCACACGGAAGTATTTAAAGGGAAGCGGGCTTGAGGTTCGCAATTTACCATCAGATAGTTCAAAAAAAGTAATATACGTAGGAGAGAGAGAAAGCTGGAGAGATATGAAGCAAACATGACAATATCTGTATTTGGGGAATCTGGGTAAGACCGTATTGGAATTCTTTATTCTGTTTTTGCAATCTTTCTATAAGCTTGAAATTATTTCAAAGTAATTGGTAGAGACAGTGAGAATTTTTTAAAAAAGTCTCTCCACAAACACACACAGAGACACACACATGCAAAAACATGACTGACAGAAATTTAGCGAAAGTGTTAATAAAGTTTGTATCTGGATGGTGAGATTACGTAGTAATAAAAACATTACATTTGAAATTAATCTTTGTGTTTTTACATACTACACATGCTCAATCATGTGTATTTATTTTAAAAATATCCATTTATTTAAATTTTTAGAAGCTCTAGCAGGGCCTGTGGCCCTTGCTCTGCCTGTCACGAAAGGCACCTTTTTGATGACAGTTGTTTGTCTTTGTTGCTGCTTGGCTATGCATGGACACACCCATCTTGGCTCCACCAGCAGCTGTGGTGGTGGCAAAATAGTTCTGGGTATGACCATGACAGCAAGACAGCTGTAGTCTCATATGACTGAGAGTGTCACATGCTTTTCCCCTGAGGTGCTGAGTAGACCGTATACCAGAAGGAATTCTAAAAACAGCAATGTGCATGCTTTCTGCTGCGGAAGCACCCTGTCACTTTCTTGTGGCCCAAGCATTCCAGAGTGAGAAACTTGGAGTGTGTCTGCATTGTTAAAAGTATCCTTTGATTTTTTTTTTTTTGAGACAGTTTCGCTCTTGTCGCCTAGGCTGGAGTGCAGTGGAGTGCAGTGGCTCAGTCTCGGTTCACTGCAACCTCCGTCTCCTGGGTTCAAACAATTCTCCTACCTCAGCCTCCTGAGTATTTGGGATTACAGGTGCCCACCACGATGTCCAGCTAATTGTTTGTGTATTTTTAGTAGAGACAGGGTTTCGCCAGGTTGGCGAGACTGGTCTCGAACTCTTGACCTCAGGTGATCTACCCGCCTTGGCATCCCAAAGTGCTGGGACTACAGGCATGAGCCACCACACCTGGCCTGATTTTTAGAAAATTATTATTTATTACAGATTTATAGAGCATGCCTTGTTGTGCCTTGTTGTGCCTTGAAAAAGTATTCTTTTCCCTGTGGTTGTAGTTTTTAAAATAAATTTTTCAACAGCACATCTCATAGTATTGGGTAGAAATAACAGGAAATCAATACATACGAGTCTGATTGGCTCATTAAAATACAATAAGTGAGTCAAAAAGGTAAGCGGCTGGAGTGAGCAGAAAGCGCTGCAGTTCTGGACTTTAAAGTATAGATGATGCAATGAGTTTGACAGCCTCTTTGACCAATTAGTTTCACAGCTTTCTAATTTCTGCCAGTTAGAAGTGACATAGGTGGGTCACTGAGTATTCATTCCTCTGGCCTCAGGCCAGGTGACTCTTAATGTCAGGATGTCAGAGGGTAGGTCGCAACCCAACTTTCTCCAAAACTTCTAGAAAAGTCTCACAATTTTATGTAAGCAGACACCCTGAATTTTTTATCAATCAAAATCCAGACCTAATTGATGAAGCTCCTTAAAACATAAAGCTGAGTCTTTTATTTACTTTGTGGTTTCAGAGAAAGTCACATGTCTAGTTGTTCTAGATTGTTCTACTTTCCTTCTGTCGCTATGAGAGATCATTTCATCTATTTATTCTCAAAGGCTGCCACCATCCAAAACATGGAGAAAAACCCTTAGCCCCTCATTAGAGGAATGAGACTTGGAGTTTCTATTAACCCAATTTCTGAGCAACCTCTGTTTGACTCAACTTGAGACATACTCATGTTAAATGGCATACTCTTTGGGAAACCCAACTGACTTTCTGATATTTACAAAATATTTAAAGAAAGAGAATAAAAAGCCTTTAGAGCAAAACCCTGGAAATATATAATTTACTTCCCAAACATTCAAAAGAGAATTTATGATAGTAAAAAGCTTATTATTCTGGATTAAAACCAACCAATGTGTTTAGTCACTTTACAGAAAATAAATTTAAATCAGGATCTGAAATTAAATATAAAAATATAACGAGATTGGTAAATAGCTTTAAGGTCTTAAAATTCAAGTGTGTCTCTGTTGTTTACATCGTAATGATTTCTGAATTAATGGTATTAATAATTTCATCACCTTTTAGTAATAGTAATATCTAACACATATAGTTATTTTAAGGTGACTTATACAGTAGCCTTACTAAGTAGGTACAATTATATCTTTTTTACAGATGAAGAGATGGGCACCAAGAGTTGATTGCCCAACTCTACACAGCTAATAAATGGCAGAGCTTAATCTTAAACAACAGATTTAAGTCCTAAATCCTGAATACAGAGTCCAAGTTTTTAGCTGCTACATTTGACTTTGTCCGAGTTATTATCAGAAGCAAATTGCCAAACTTTCCTCTTTTGCCTCCCAGCACAATTTATGGGCGGTCTCTCCTTCTCACCCAGGAGTGTTGGGTAAATGTTTAACAACCAACCCTCTGAAGAACTGATTTATAGCATTTGCCAATTTCCATGGTGTAAATATTCCTTCCTGGCCAATTTCACGTTACCAACTTGGTGTCACTGACCATGAGGTTGAGAAAAGATGGGCTAAAAATTTAGCAATTGGCTCTCAAGAGCGAGTCCTATCAGTTCATTTTCTGGGTGTAATTTTAAGGGTAAAACTGAGGCAAGGGTGAAATTAAGGTCTTGGGTTACCGTTTCAATGGTGTCTGCCTCTAAGCCCTTCTCCAGACGAATTTCTGAGGCTACCAAATTTCTTAGGGGAGAAGAACCAGGATGTGGGTTTGCCTTGCGCTCCTGAGAGTTTGGCTTTCTGCTGCGCCACCTGGTGGCTGTAACTGACAGTTGCTGTATTCCCTGCTGCTGTCTTGAATTCAGGCTTTAGGGTTCTTCTCCCCGAGATGGTCAGCATTCTTTGCCCAGGAGCAAGTTCAGTTACTAATAAGGCTTCTCGTGGGTAATTGGACTCTTTAACTGACAATCTCCTTTACTGAGGCCTTTAGGATAAATTCCCAGGCGTTGGGCCAAAGGGCAGTTGAGTAACAAATTAGCAGCCTTGTTGTCCTCCGCTGAAACCACCCCAACTCCACAGCAGTAGAGAGCATCCCCAGGCTTGGTTCATAAATGCCAGAATATCCGGTGTCCTAGCAAATGTCCCAAAGCTCTTGTCACTGTTTTCTAAGAGGCTTAGAGGGTCTTCAGCAAACAGGTCTTCAAGTCTTCCACATTGATATTCGATAGTTCCAAAAGCCGAAGGCATAATCCCATCCGCCATCGCATAAGCCTGCCCTTTCTATCACTACATAATTTTAAGATTATATATAGATATATATAAATTACATACATATATAGATTATATATACACATATATAGATTACATATATATATATATAGATAATAGATAGATGATAGTCAGATAGCAATGATTTGGAGGTTACCTTTTGGTTGCGCTGATCCATACCAATAATCTGCTCCTTAGTGTATTAGTAACTGAGCACTAATCCTATATTTGGGAGTTCCTCAAACATTCTTCCCTTCTTCATTTATTTTATTTTATTTTATTTTTTGTAGAGACGGGGTTTTGCCATGTTGCCCAGGCTGGTCTTGAACTCCTCAACTCAAGCGATCCTCCCGCCTCAGCCTCCCAAAATGCTAGGATTATGGCATGAGCCACTGCACCCAGCCACCTTCTTCATTTTTGTATCTTCTACTTACTATGAATTTATTCATACAACAAGTATCTATTGAGCACAGCTATGTGCTAGTCATGTGGCTAGGATGTGGACACAATGATGAATTAGACATAGATCCAGCCCGGAGCTTGAGGGGCTACCGTGGTGTGGTGGAAACTAGGGAATACATTTGGAAGCCTTAGACAAAGCAGAATGCTGTGGGTGTGATGATGAGGGGCCACTGCACTCCAGCCTGGGCAACAGAGTGAGACCCCGTCTAAACAACAACAACAACAACAAAAAGCCCATACGTTGCTGTAGGTTGCTTCAACAAACAGTTTCACATGTCCCTCTTCCTAAAGATTCCTTTTCAGCTGGTTTGAGACAGAGCCTAGGAATCTTCATGTTAAACATATTGAATAAACACTCAGATAATATTTGATGCAGGTGATCTAGGGAACCCATTTTGAAAAGCATCGTCCTTTAGAGGTGGGTTGCTCCCAAGTCCCGCTGGCATCTTGCCTAAACAGTGCTTTTGTCAGCAGGCTGGATGCTTAGCAAGAACCTGCAGTCCTGGAGTTCTGAATGAATAGATTTTAAACTGGGGCCTATATCACCCTGAGGTTACAGAGAAACTTTACAAGGGTTTCTTGCCAGGTGGTTTTCAGGGCATTCATTTATTGACCCTCAGCTTCCCTTTGTACTGTTTTGTAAAATCCATCCACAGAGGCGCTGCAGGGCCACCAGGTTGGGTCTTCTCTCCCCACCTGCCCTTTTGTCCTCCCACTCTCAGCCTCAAGCTCCTGGGCTCAGTTGATGCTACTGCCTCAGTGATTCTTCCATATTTTTGAATATTTGAGATCATAGACTACATGGATTTGTAACATTAGGTCTCAAACTAACACAGTTTGAGATTCATCTGGGAAACAGAGGATGAAATCAGAGAGGGGTGGACGGTGGGGACGTGGGCTTTCTAGGACAATGGAGAATAGCAGGCAGAGCTGTCATTCAGGGCCATCTAGACACAGCCTCTGCTTTCTACCTGGAAGGGGAGGTGGCCTTGTAGATTGTGAGGCAGGTTCAGGAACAAGGAGAGGCTGATGCTTTCCAATACTACCTCAAATGGAAGCACATGGATTACCAGCGTATATTATTCCAGATTGGCAATGCCTGCCTGAGTCTAAAAGGGTTGTTGCACTACAAGGGTTTAGCTGTTTTCTCAACATTGACGAGGACCTACCTGGACAGAGAATGACACCAGTCCCTTGAGTACTATAGGCAAGTCAGGAGCCAGGACAAACCTCTCCGGGTCTCTCACCCACTCTCTGGGAGCCTCCTTGTTTCTGTTAATTTCTCTCTCTTCGCCGAATTCAATTGGGAAATATAGCAGGTGTATGGGAATGTGTGTATTTCTGAGGGGGAATGTCACTTCTCACTGATCTACAACCCACCTTAAACACTGCAGCATTACATCATGAACAATTTCCCTGGTCAAAACAACAACAACAACAACTCAGTCTAATGAATACACAAGATTTTACTACATGGCCATGTCATACTTTATTTTTCTAGAAGGCAGTATTATTTATATGTATATATATATTAGGTTTCTAAATTTTTATGGTTATATATAAAGTGCTGTATCTTTCAACTTTTAGAAAGTTGCTCTACAAATCTTATGTATTCATTCAAAGAGTATTTATTGATATTTACTATGTGTAAGTCACTGGTCTGGGTAATTTAGAGAGTCCAAAGATAAATCATAATTAGACACTGCCCCAGAGGAGCTTATGACTTACAAGGGAATTAGTACTCTATGGATGGAAGTTATGCTTTATTTCATCTTGATAAGGATCCTCTGAGATGGGCAAGGCGGTGCTACCATCTTCATTGCTTTTGTATGGAGGAACAGGAAGTGCAGACACGTTATGACCCTTGCCTGAGGTCACAGATGGTCTTCAGTCTAGCCTCACACTTGATTGATAGTTTGGCTATGATAATCTAGGTAAATTGTTAAAAATAAATACATTAGGAAAATGCAATGTGATAAACATTTATAAATAAACTTGTGAAATTTTCAGGTTATGTTAAATTAGGTAATAGATATTCACAAAATGTCTGAGTCATTTCTAAGTAAGTTAAAATACTGAAACATAAATTGCTGAACATAAATATATGTTTGTTCTTGGCTTCTTGAATTTTATATAAAGACTAAATATATTTGGGTTTATTAATACACACAAAAATTATGTTTTGGGGAAATGCTTTTTGAAATGATAAAATGGTTCACATCTGCAACATATTGATATGTGACAGACACTAAAAAACATCTTATTTCCTAGGTTTTCAGTAGAAATTAAAGTTATTAAGAGTTAAAAATTCTAACTAATATATATAATTCTGCATATAAAGTTTACCAAAAAATGCGATATGTTTTTAATGAGGATTCTCCTTTTATGACCTTCCCTGGCTCTATTTGTTAGAATTTTAAACATGTGACTGAATTTTGATTCTGACAACTTTCACACACCTGCAAATGATCTTCTAATTTACCTACCTTCGCCCTCCTGTTGTCTTTTTTTTTTTTTTTTTCTTGAGACAGAGTCTCGCTCTGTCGCACAGGCTGGAGTGCAATAGCATGATCTTGGCTCACTGCAACCTCCACCTCCCAGGTTCAAACAATTCTCCTGCCTCAGCCTCCCAGGTAGCTGGGATTACAGGTGTGCACCACCATGCCCGGCTAATTTTTGTATTTTAGTAGAGACGGGGTTTCCCCATGTTGGCTAGGCTGGTCTTGAGCTCCTGACCTCAGGTGATCCACCTGCCTTGGCCTCCCAAAGTGCTGGGATTACAGGTGTGAGCCACCGCACCCGGCCCCTCCTATTGTCCTTTTCAAAAACTATCCGGACCATTTGACCCAGCAATCCCATTACTGGGTAAATATTCAAAAGAAAACAAATGATTCTACCAAAGAGACACATGCAGGTGCACGTTCATCACAGTGCTATTCATAATAGCAAAGACATAGAATCAACAGAGGTGCCCAACAACAGTAGATCGGATAAAGAAAATATGGTACATGTACACCATGGAATACTACACAGCCCATAAAGAAGAAAAAATCATGTCCTTTTTAGAAATATGGATGCAGCTGGAGGCCATTATCCTAAGCGAATTAATGCAAGAACAGAAAACCAATTACCACGTGTTTTCACTTATAAGTGGAAGCTAAACATTGAGTACTCGTGAACATAAATATGGGAACAACAGACAGTGGGGACTACTAGAGGAGAGGAAGAAGGGAGTGGGGCAAGGCCTGAGAAATGACCTATTGGATACTACGTCCACTACCTGGGTGATGGGATCATTCATACCTCAAACCTCAGCATCACACAATACATCCAAGTAACAAATCTGCACTTGAACTCCCTGAGTCTAAAACAAACGTTGAAAAAAACCTATCTGAAAAGATTTTTAAAACTCTATTTTTGAATACTTTTATTGATTTTTTAAGAAAAGTTGTGTCAGACTTTTAATTGTCAAAGCTTTTCTTGTTCTTTGATTTTTATTTTAAGGTGATACTGTTCTTGTTTTATAGATGTCTTGTGTTTGCTTATTTCTCAAACAGTCATAGTTTCTATGGAACTCTCTTATGCTCCCTGTGTTGTCTCTGTTTCTCTGAATTTCTGGTTTCCATTAGTCTGTTTTGGTCTTTTTCTCTTTACTTTTTTTTTTTTTTTTGAGATGAAGTCTTGATCTGTTGCCTAGGCTGGAGTGTAGTGGCATAATCTCAGCTCACTGCAACCTCTGCTTCCCAGGTTCAAGTGATTCTCCTGCCTCAGCCTCCCTGGTAGCTGGGACTACAGGTGTAGCACTACCACGTCCAGCTAATTTTTCTATTTTTAGTAGAGACGGGGTTTCCCCATGTTGTCTAGGCTGGTCTCGAACTCCTGATCTCAAATGATCCACCCACAGCCTCTTAAAGTGTTGGGATTACAGGTGTGAGGCACCGTGCCCAGCCTCTTTCACTTTACTTTTATTTTAGATCTTGTTTTCCCCAAATGCCTGGCAAGTTTGGCCCAGCCATTTATGAGCGAGGCATATTTTTGAGCTGATTGTAGGTTGTGTATCTCATGAGGCTTGTGTCTAGTGGTCTTTACTATAACAGGGTTGGGAAGCGACTGCGCTGCTTTATTGGGCAACCTCTAAGTGTTAATATCCCCAGAGAAGGATGCATGCCCCCGTTTCCTGTTGGGAGAGTGTAAGCTTGGGTGCAGGTGTGACGGACCCGGGCGGAGGAAGAGGCTGGGTGGAGAAAGGTAGGTAGACTCTCACGTACTCCTTGTATTTTTGGATCTGGCATCTCACTCTACTCTTGGAGAAATCTTGAGAATCATCTCTAAAGAAACTTGTGGCTGTTCTTGTGGGTTTCTTGATGACATTGAGTTATTAGGTTGGTGCAATAGTAATTGCAGTTTTCACAATTTTAATGACAAAAACCGCAATTACTTTTTTTTTGGAGATGGAGTTTCGCTCTGTTATCCAGGCTGGAGTGCAGTGGTGCCATCTCAGCTCACTGCAACCTCCACCCCCTGGGTTCAAGCAATTCTTGTGCCTCAGCTTTCTGAGTAGCTGGAATTACAGGTGCTCACCACCACGAGTGGCTAATTTTTGTATTTTTAGTAGAGATGGGTTTCACCATGTTGGCCAGGCTGGTTTTGAATTCCTGATCCTTAAGTGATCCACCTGCTTCAGCCTCCCGAAGTGCTGGGATTGCAGGTGTGACCCACCACGCCCGGCCGCAATTACTTTTGCACTAACCTAATACTAATTTAGCCTGTCTGCATTGTTGCCCTTTTTTTTCTCTCACAATCTTGTGACTTTTAGTCCATGTGGACATTAGAGGCACAGTTGTTGGTTCTGTGATCATGTATCAGGGAGATAAGAGTGATGGCTCAATTAATATATACTCTGAGCTACTTAAATTTCAGTCATGATATATAAGGAAGAAAAGAATCAATAAAATGAGCATATTATTGACAACTGCTCAAACACCTGTCAGTATAAGCTGTCAACAGCAATTGTTTATAACAGATGATATTAAAAGTCTCATGTCATGAGAAAGATAAATCTGTTTAGAAATCTTTTTTTGGTGACAAGTTGTCAAGCACAGCAAATAAAAGTAGTCTGGCATCTTCTAGTTGCTGAAAGTAAAGTTTGAAATGATGCCACTGCTCATGGTTCAATGACTCTGAAAACCATAGGCCAGGAGATCTGCAGTAGATCTTAGGGTCCATGTGGTATCATTTCCTCTTTTTACGAGAAGGAGGCTGAGGTTCGGAGTGGTATATAAATTGACTGTTCCTCATAATTAAATGTTACATACCCTTTTATAACATAGATGCTTTTTTTTTTTTTTTTGAGATGGAGTCTTGCCCTGTCGCCCGGGCTGGTGTGCAGTGGTGCGATCTTGGCTCACTGCAACCTCCACCTCCCAGGTTCAAGCAATTATTCTGCCTCAGCCTCTGGATTAGCTGGAATTACAGGCACCCATCTGTACGCTCAGCTAATTTTTTTTTTTTTTGTATTTTTAGTAGAAACAGAGTTTCACTATGTTGGCCAGGTTGGTCTTAAACTGCTGACGTTGTGATCTGCCCGCCTCGGCCTCCCAAAGTGCTGGGATTACAGGCATGAGCCACTAAGCCCGGCCAACATAGATGCTTTTTAAAAGTTGGACATCTCTGCAACAATTACACTAGGTCTTTTGTGTTTCTCAGATCGTGCTTAGATTGTATGGTGTAATGTCAGGAATGAGATATCTTTCCTTACACACTTGATAAAGCTTAGAATTCATGTGTTAGAAGACAGGGTTTTGCATTCCACGTTGGGAGATGAAGCTTCCAGAGCAAATTCCTGAGCTGTAGTCAACTCCTTTGTTCCCCGGCATTCCTCTAACAAAAGCCCCTCAACAGGCTCACGCACTGACTGCTAGACAGAGCCTGGCTTCTTTGACGGGGTCTGCTATCTAACCCCCACCATGGGTGAACCGTCCAGAGCCTGTGCCCACACCTGCTCCAGAGGTCATGTGGGCTTGCAGTGCCCCTAAGACCCTGGCTCTTAGCCAAGCACATCTAATTCCCTTTGATCCTCCAATCTGACTTCCTCATGGAAGCTGTATGTGTCCTTCTGGCCCACAGTGAGGATAATAGGATGAGGCCCCTTGAAGAAATTGAGTCCTCTGATAAGAAGATACCAAGACAGGATTAGATGTGCAGGAGATTTCCTGCGGGAATGCCTGTGAAGGATGAAGGGGAGAAAGCAGGACCAGGCAAAGGAGCATCAGACAGAGATGCAGGCTGGCTTCTGTAGGGGAGAGGAGGAAGGAGGGAGGGCGGGGGACGAGGAGTTCCAGGCAGCAGTGCAGCTCTGCGGGCATTGCAGCCGGGCTGGAGAGGAGCTCCTGAGCCGAGGGGCCCATAGAGGAGTTCCAGTCATGGAGGACTTGGCAGAGAGCAGCTCAGGGCCAGGAGCAGCGGCTGGGGCTGTCAGTCAACTTGCTCCCTGCAGCAGGAGGCTGGGGCTGTGCATTTCCATGGCTGCTGTGCTTCTGAGCCTTTCGCCATTTGCTACTTTCTCATCGTGCCACGATGACTTGTTATTTAAGCTTGTGTGGGTAGTAATGATCATTATTAACGTTTATGGAGCATTTACTACATGCCCGATGCTGTGCTAAGTGCTTATTTGCTTAGGAGATACAAATGTCTCAGACCTCAAATTCAAGCTTTAGAAATTATTTTTTATCCCTGATTTTATATTTTGGGCCCACGTTGCACTGGTGATAGGAATGCAATCTTAGCCACTTCAGGTATTCTCCAGTTAATCCAGGAGTTTCTCACCTCCCTCCTTCCTCCTCTGGTTGCATCTGAGTTTCAAGGGGGTTTAGTGCCAAGGAGTGGGTGAAGGGCCTGGCCCCTGGGGCTTGTGTGCCCACCCTGGCATCTTTTGCTGAATCCTCATTCTCACTGGCCTCTGATCGTCTGTGCCCATTGGCACCTGGAAGATGTTCAAAGTTTATCTGGTTTCCTAGTGAAAGGCTTTCAGATAACCCTGCTTCCTCCTTTCTCCAGCTCGAGGCCTCTCTGGGCTGCTGGCCTCTGACCACATCTGTGCCCGTCTTGATGGCCACCTGTGCCAGGCTGCATCTGGAGCTGTCTCCTTAATGACTCCACACTGCCATTTATGTGTGACCCTTATGACATCTCCTTCATTTAGGGGCGAGAGATGCTGGGTCCTGCTGCTTTCCCAGGGGGCCACCCAGGAAATAGGGCCCAGGCTCCTTCTGCGTGCAGATTCTCAGCCTTCTCTGAGTGTTGTGTCCTTGCTTTGCCCATATACCCCAGTCTCTGGTTCACTCAGCAGCATTTTAGTGCTTGCTTCCCTTCTGACACCAGAGTAGCTATGATTACAAAGTCAAAAGGGCTGGGCCTGGTGGCTCATGCCTGTAGTCCCAGCACTTTGGGAGGCCGAGGTGGGCGGATCACTTGAGGACAAAAATTTGAGACCAGCCTGGCCAACATGGTGAAACCCTATCTCTGCTGAAAATATAAAAATCAGCTGGGCAGGGTGGCATGTGCCTGTAGTCCCAGCTACTCGGGAGGCTGAGGCAGGAGAATTGCTTGAACCTGGGAGGCAGAGGCTGCGGTGAGCCGAGATCATACCACTGCATTCCAGCCTGGGTGATAGAGCAAGAATCCCTCTCAAAATAAATAAATAAGTAAATAAATAAATAAATAGTAAAAAAATAACTGATGTTGCTGAGGCCGCAGAGAAAAAGGAGCTCTTCCACACTGTTGGTATGGATGGGGATGTAAATTAAATCAGCCACTGTAGAAAGCAGTTTAGAGATTTCTCAAAGAACTTAAAATAGAACGACCGTTTGACCCAGCAAACCCATCACTGGGTATATACCCAAAGAAATAGAAATCATTCTATCAAAAAGAGACATGCACTTGTATGTCCATCACTGTGCTGTTTACAATAGCAAAGACATGAAATCAACTTAGGTGCCCATCAATGGTGTACTGGATTTTTTTAAGCTTATAAGCAACAGAAATTTATTTCTAGTTCTTAAATAATTTCAACTTTTATTTTAGATTCAAGAGGTACATGTACAGGTTTGTTACCTAGGTATATTGTGTGACACTGAGGTTTGGGGTATGAACAATTCCATCACCCAGGTAATGAGTATAGTACCTAAAAGGTAGTTTTTAAACCCCTGAGGCCCGCCTGCCCTCTCTCCTCTAGTGGTTCACAGTATCTGTTGTTCCCATATTTATGTCCATGAGTACCCAATGCTTAGCTCCCACTTGCAAGTGAGAACATGTGGTTATTTGGTTTTCTGTTTCTGTGTTAATTTGCTTGGAATAATGGCCTCCAGCTGCATCCTCTTAGCTGCAAAGGATATAACTTCATTCTGTTTTTATGGCTGCGTAGTATTCCGTGGTGTATATGTATCACATTTTCTTTATCCAATCCACTGTTGATGGGCATCTAGGATGATTCTTTGTCGTTGCTATTGTGAATAGTGTTGCAATGAATATATGAGTGCATGTGTCTTTTCGGTAGAACGATTTATTTTCCTTTGAAAATATACGCAGTAGTGGGATTGCTGGGTCGAATGGTAGATCTATTTCCAAGTTTTTTGAGAAATCTCCAAACTGCTTTCCATAGTGGCTGAAGTAATTTACATTCCTGCCAACAGTGTATAAACATTCCCTTTTTTTCTGCAACCTTGCCAACATCTGTTATTTTTTCACTTTTTAATAATTGCCATTCTAACCGGTATGAGATGGTATCTCATTGTGGTTTTGATTTGCATTTCTCTGATGATTAATGATGTTGAGAATTTTTTCATGTTTGTCTTCTTTTGAGAAGAGTCTGTTCATGTCCTTTGCCCTTTTTTAATGAGGTTGGTTTTTGCTTGTTGAACTGTTTAATTCCCTTGTAGATTCTAAATGTGAGATCTTTGTCAGATGCATCGTTTGCAAATATTTTCTCCCATTCTGTAGGTTGTCTGTGTACTCTGTTGATAGTTTCTTTTGTCGTGCAGCTCTTGTGTTTAATTAGGTTCCACTTGTCAATTTTTTTGTTGCCATTGCTTTTGAGGACTTATGGAGGACTGAGAAAAACAGAAGTTTTCTGAAATAAATTCTTTGCCAAGCCTCATGTCCAGAATGATGTTTCCTAGGTTTTCCCCTAGGACCTTTATAGTTTGAGGTCTTACATTTAAATCTTCAATCCATCTTGAGTTAATTTTTGTGTATGGGGAAGATAAGGGGTCCAGTTTCATTCTTCTTTATATGGCTAGCCAGTTATTCTGGCACCATTTATAAAATAGGGAGTGCCTTCTGCATTGCTTATTTTTGCTGACTTTGTCAAATATCAGATGGTTGTAGGTGTGCAGCTTTATTTCTGGATTCTCTATTCTGTTTCATTGGTCTATATGTCTGTTTTTATACCAGTACCATACTGTTTTCGTTACTGTGGCCTTATAGTATAGTTTGAAGTTGGGTAATATGATGTCTCCAATTTTTTTTGCTTAGGCTTGCTTTGGCTAATCAGGCTTTTTTGTAGGGGGAGGCTCTATGAATTTTAAAATCGGTTTTTCTAATTTTATGAATAGTGACATTGATAATTTGATAGGAATAGTACTGAATCTGTAAATTTCTTTGGGCAGTATGGCCATTTTTATGATATTGATTCCTTCAATCCATGATCATAGAATGTTTTTCCATTTGTTTGTGTCATCTATGATGTCTTTCAGCAGTATTTTGTAGTTCTCCTTGTAGAGATTTTTTACCTCCTTGGTTAGATGTATTCCTAGGTATTTTGTTTTTTTGGTGGCTACTATAAATGGGATTGTGTTCTTGATTTGGATCTCAGCTTGAATGTTATTGGTGTATAGAAATGCTACTGAATTTTTGCACATTAATTTTGTATCCTGAGACTTTACCGAGGTTGTTTATTGGTTCTAGGAGCCTTTTGGTGGAGTCTTCAGGCTTTTCTAGGTATAGAATCATTAAATCTATGAAGAGAGATAATTTGACTTATTTTCTTGTTTGGATGCCTTTTATGTCTTTCTCTTGCCTGATTGCTCTGGATAGAAATTCCAGTACTATATTTAATAGGAGTGGTGAGAGTAGGCAACTCTATCTTGTACCTGTTCTTAAAAGGAATGCCTCCAGCTTTTGCCCATTCACTGTGATGCTGGCTGTGGGTTTGTCATAGATGGATGGCTCTTATTATTTTGAAGTATATTCCTTTGATATCCAGTTTGTGGAGGGCTTTTTTTTTTTTTTATCATGTCCTCTGCTTCTATCCGTCAAGCCAAGGGAATCATCTCTTCTGGGGTTGAAAACTGGGTCAGCAGCATTTTTCTAAAATCTATTACTCATACCAGAGCCTTGGCTTTTGCTCTGTGCTTTGCATGTATTACCTCAATTCTTAGAAGTCTATGATATAGAAACAATGCACAGAAAGATTAACTGGTTTGCTAAATGCCATACAGCATGTAAGTGTGAAGCTGGAATTTGAATATACTTGATCACACTTCAGAAATTATACTTTGTTTTTTTTTTTTTTTTTTTGAGATAGTCTGCTCTGTCACTGAGGCTGGAGTGCAGTGGCATGATCTTGGCTCTCCGAAACCTCCACCTCCCAGGTTCAAGCGATTCTCCTGCCTTAGCCTCCCGAGTAGCTGGGATTACAGGCACCTGCCACCACGCCTGGCTAATTTTTGTATTTTTAATAAAGATGGGGTTTAACTCTGTGGGCCAGGCTGGTCACGAACACCTGACCTCAAGTGATCTGCCCACCTTGGCCTCCCAAAGTGCTGGGATTACAGGTGTGAGCTACTGCACCTGGCCTTGGAAATTACACTCTTATCCACTCCTTGGAATCATCATTGACTTTCTCTTTTAGGGTAGGTTTTGTTTCCTCAATTAACTTTTAATAATTTTAGGAACAGATGATCCAATAAGGATTTATTTAATCTGTAAAATCACTTTATATAGAAGCTGGAGATATATTATTTGGACTTAAGAAAACATCTTTTTACCTACCCTAGAAGACAAAACACAGAAATGTTTTTTACCTGCCTAGGGTCATCACTACGTCTTTGATCTGGAAGATCTTTAAGGGAGAATAATCTGACTTAGAGGCTTATTCAATCACTTGCCATGAGGCAGAGGTTGAAGTAAGAGGGCTCTGAATCCTTTTAGCTGAGTCTGTGGAGTCTGGGAGTTCACTAGGCATCAAAGGAATATACCTCAAAATATTGAGAGCCGTCCATTTATGACAAACTCACAGACAACATCGTAGTGAATGGGCAATGTTATGTTGCTCAGGTTGAGTGCAGTGGCTATTCCCAGGCATGATCATGGCTCACTGCAGCCTTGAACTCCTGGGCTCAAGCAATCCTCCTGCCTCAGCCTCTCGAGTAGCTGGGACTACAGGCGTGAACCACTGCACCTGGATTTTAGTCTATGGATTCTGAGTGGCCAAGAGATTTTATCAAACAATAGCCTTGAAAATTGTATGGGTACACACATAAAGTGGATTTGGGGAGGGGCTTTCCTCTCCAAATGTGTACGTATTTATATGTCTCTACAGGGATATGTAAACATGTAGTACAAAGCATAATGTTTATTATATGTTTTAACTTGATAAGTGGGGATTACTGAGAGGAATGTGAAGAAAAAACAAAGACAGGGTGAAGACAAGCAAAGGAAAAGAAAAAAAAAAAAACTGCCCTGAACCTTCCCTCAGTGATGTATAATACAATCAAATTAATGCATTTAAAGTTACATTATTTAAATGAAATTGAAAACATAAACTTGAAAGAAATAGAAAGAACAATGAAAAGAAAGGCTTTCATTGCCTGTGGGTAAATTCTTTGTAGTTTTTGTGAAAAAGGATTCTGAAGAAGAAAAAACAGAAACTGACTTCAGATTAGTGCTGTTAGGTGACATCATACCCACAGCACACCCCGGGTTCCCCTTATGTCCCTGTGGATGCAGGTACTCTATTGTATCTTGATATGGTTTGGGTGGCTTGCAGGAGCATGTTGGAATAAATGAATGAATGAATGAACGAATGGAAGTATCTTTACCAAGAAGAAGAGCTCATTGAAGCTATTGTGGCCATTTAGTATGGGCACTTACTAATTTTTCTTCCGAAGAATTTAGTAGTTTCATGTGGTCAGTTGCTGTAGATTTTTTGGGAGTTGGACATTGATACCAACAGGAAAATACAGCATGAAAGTAACACATTTTACCCTTCTTCAAGGAAGGTTGTTCAAGTTGCTCGGCAATGGGGTTGATTTTTCCATGAATAAATCAAGGATGTCACACTCTGAAGAGTTGTTGAGTTTGAACTGCAAGATTTGGGTTTAATCCCAGAATCTATCATTTACTAGTTGTATTTTTTGGACAAGTTATTTGGTTTCTCTGAAACTCGGTTTGTTTCCTTGTCTGTAAAAAGAGGTGATGAGAGTTATTATCTCATAGTATTGTTGTGAATAATAAATGAGATAATGCATGGGGAAGATGCCGGGCACATAGGATGCATGGAATAAATGTGGGTGTTTGCAGTGAGAAGTGATGAATTTCCAGGCTGGAAAGATGGCATGATTCTGGGATTCCATGCTCAGTGGTCATCTCAGGGTCCGGCAAGGGAAGATATTCCTGGTGAGAATTAATTGCTTTACCGCTGTCCCTTATATGTAGAGGACGTGTCCCTGTAGCTCCTGTCTGGGGATACTTGCCATATTCATGGAGGCTGGATACTTACTTTGGTTCCTTGGGCAATTTGCAACGTAGACGCTATTTAAGGGACCTTTTGGTATGAGTCAAAAGTGGCATTAAGGGCAAAGTGTGCTGCCCAGATTGAGCCTGTAGGTGGCAGCAAAAACTCAGACTTGGAAAGCCAGCCCACAAAGCTCCAGGTGTATCCTAGAGGGTTCTGCTTTTAGTGGTTTATGGAAAAGACCTGGAAGCTGTAAGCAGCTGTAATTTTAGTGGCGTCAACACACCATTCACAGCTGTAGTCTTTTCTCCAGGGTGAGTAGAGATGTCTCAGATCATTAGAACAAACTTCAGAAAAATCACGTATGCACGTTTCTATACGTTAAAAAAAAAATCAGAACCGTCTTCTCGGCAATAGGAAATTAGGCTGTTAGTGAGAGACCGCCCCCAGATGATGACCAATGAAACCATCATTAATGCCATTTATGCTGGAACAAAGGGGTGGACTGGGTTGTTAAGGAAACGTGGCACACCCTCCTCGGGGTAGAAAGAAAATAGGGAGGTATCAAATGATTTCTCATCACCTGCAAACTCATGTGGCTCTCCTACAGCTGATAGCAAAGTCACTGCTTTTGAATTTCATTTTATTTAAATTATTTGGTTTGCCTGTGCTTGGTATCTCTGCCTATCCCTTAAGTTTCAAATTTTCTGTCAAAAGTTTTACATGTGTGTCTTGTAGGAAGCATATAGTTTGGTATTATGTCTTAATCCGTTCTGAGAGTCCTTATCATCTAATACTGGTGTTCAATCCGTTCACATTTCTCCCTGTATCTCATGGATTTGATTTCACATCTTCTTATTACTTTGCATTTTACTATTTATTATACCTATTGTTGTTCATGCTTTTCTCCTTTTCACATTTCTTCCAGATTAATCAGGACATTAATTTAAAAAACTCTCTGTGTCCTTCTAAAATATAAAGCAATACAAATTTTACTATATATCTTCTGTATTTTAACTCATAGGGTTAGAAGTCTCTGTGAATATGTGACTATACTAAAATAGTCACTCTGACTCTCTAAAGATTCATCATCATTCCTATTCCCCACCAACTACGACATTGAGAAGACATTCACTTTCCCCATGGGTCTCCCATTCCTAACCTCTATATTTTATTAATGAAGTTAAGAATTGAGTTATGGATAATTTTTATAACTTTTTTCTTTTTTGAGATGGAGTCTTGCTCTGTCGCCCAGGTTGGAGTGCAGTGGCACGATCTCGGCTCACTGCAGCTTCTACCTCCCGGGTTCAAGTAATTCTCCTGCCTCAGCCTCCAGAGTAGCTGGGATTACAGGCGCACACCACCACACCTGGCTAACTTTTGTATTTTTAGTAGAGATGGGGTTTCACCATGCTGGCCAGGCTGGTCTTGAACTCCTGGCCTCAAGAGATCCACCCACCTCAGCCTCCCAAAGTGTTAGGATTACTGGTGTGAGCCACCACACCTGGTCAATTTTTATAACATTTTTGAAAACACTTTATAATTAGTAAAATACAATAGTACAAAGAATACTGGTAATGCCCTTTACTCAGATTTACCTGTTATTAATATGTTATAACATTTGCTCTATTCATTTGCTTTCTCTCTGTACACACACACACGCACACACACATACACATGTGTGTGATTATTTTCAGAACCATTTGAGGGTAAGGTACGTATATCATGGCTGTTATCCCTAAACACTTCAGTGTGTACTTCCTAAGAAGAGTGACATTCTCTTACATATCCATAGTATAGTTACAGATTTCATAAATTTCTATTAATGTCATATTTTTATCTAATCTATGGCCCATATTCATGTCTTGTTGGTTGACCTAATAATGTCTTTCACAGGACTCCTCACTGCTCTCCAGGGAGGATCCAGGCCAGGGTTAAATATCACATTTAGTTGGCATGTCTCTTTAGCCTCCTTTGACCTGCAACTCCCCACAGCCTTTCTTAGTCTTTTATGACATCAATAGTTTTTAGGCATACATTCCCCTCTGACATTTTAAAAACAGAATGTTGTTTCGTTTGCATTTTTCTGATGATTCTATTGTGATTAGATTCAGGTTACACATTCTCATGAAGGGATTTTGTGTCTTCTTCAGGACATTCTATCTGGAGGCATGCAGCATCCACTGCCCTTCATGAACCATGTTAATTTTGATCCCCTACGCAGGTTGTGTCCCTGATAATTTTAATTGTTTCTGATATTTATCTGATGTGAATGTAGCCATTCTAGCTTTCTTTTAATTAGTATTTGCATAATGTATGCTTTCCATCCTTTCATTACATTTATCACATTTTAAAATATCAATGTCATTGCATTTAAAGTGGATTACTTACAGAAGGCATATAGTTGGGTCTTTTTGTAAAATGCATGTTTATAAATTTCTGTCTTTTAATTAGTTTGTTTAGATCACATCTTAGTCTGCTGGGTTTTTATAACAAAACACCATAAACTAGGTGGCTTATAAACAACATAAATTTATTCTTCAGAGTTCTAGTGGCTGGGAAGTCCAAGATCCAGGTGCTGGCAGATGCAAAGTCTGGTGAGAGCCCACTTTCTGGCTCACATGGTGGGAGGGGCAGGGCAGTTCTCTGGGACCTCTTTTATAAGGGTATTAATCCCATTCATGAGGGCTCTGGTCTTCATGACCTAATCACCTTCCAAAGGCCCCGTCTCCTAATATCATGACTTTGGTGATTGAGGCTCAACATATTAATTTTGGGGAGATGCAAACATTCAGATTATAACCAATTAGTATAATTTAATGTAATTATTTAAATGGTTAAACTTAGGTCTATCATTTTATTATTTGTTTCCTGTTTGCTTTATACGAAAAAAAGAAAAAACAAACCCTGGCAGGGGTGAAGGTTAATAAACACGTAAACCATACATGTGCAGGGGAATTGATCCATTAAGTAAATGCATGGCAGATGGTGGGAGCTAGTTTTCTCACTGTTGGAGTGAGATGTTACAGATAAGCAAGGGGAAAATGCTAGGATGATCCATATGGTAATGGATTAGAGATGCAGACATGACATTAGTATGAATTCATTTTGTTTAATACAAATACAGATGGTTGTAGATGGAAACATTGATAGATATATGTATATATAGGGGTTAGTATACACACATATGTTTCTTTGCTCTATCATCTGAGAAGGCCTGTAAGCAATAACCTGCCAGTGCAATGGGCATATGTTGCGTCCAGATCTTGATTTCGAATCCCATTCTCCAATAAAAGGAACTAGGGCTTCCTGAGAAATGGCTGATTCTAGGGCTTGAGCAGGAAATATACAAGATGAGCCTGGAGGCTGGGTGTGATGGCCCACGCCTGTAACCCCAGCACTTTGGGAGGCCGAGGTGTGTGCATCACCTGAGGTCAGGAGTTCAAGACCAGCCTGGACAACATGGTGAAAACCCATCGCTACTAAAAATACAAACAAACAAACAAACAAAAAAGCTGGGCATGGTGGTGGGCGCTTGTAATCTCAGCCACTTGGGAGGCTGAGGCAGGAGAATTGCTTGAACCTGGGAGGCGGAGGTCGCAGTGACCCGAGATCACGCCACTGCACTTCAGCCTGGGTGACAGAGTGAGAGTCCATCTAAAAAAAAAAAAAAGAAAAATAAAAAAACAAGATGAGAGTGGAGTATCTTGTAGCATCAGAAAGTGAGGAAATGCTCAAAGAACAGCAATAACAGTAACATTAATGAAGATATGTCAAAAGACTGCAGGAGCACTCTCAAAGGTCAACTTGAGCAACAGTTTTTCTTCTCATATTCATTTTTAAATTTTCATTCATTTTTATTGTAGTGCTTAAAAATATTACAAGATTAGAACAAATCTTTTTTCAAGTCAGTCTTGGAGTATACAAAAATATTAGTCATCTCTCTACCTTCTAATACCACATAGCGAAGAATGGATGTTAACAGCTGATGCATCTTTTTACATTTCTTTAAACTTTTATTTTAGATTCAAGGGTATATGTGCAGGTTTGTTACATAGGTAAACTCATGTCATGGGGGTTTGGGGTACAGATTATTTTGTCACCCAGGTACTAAGTATAGTACCCAATGGTTATTTTTCCTGATCCTTTCCCTCTTCCCACCCTTCACCACCAACATGCTTTCATGTCATGACCATAGCGAAAGGTGCACATAGAGAAAGTATCATTCCCTCCCAGGTTCCTCCTATCCATTTCCTGCTCTCCTCCACTCCTTGTAGGAAATCCACTTCTTTGATATCTGGTTTATCTTTCCTGCGTTTCTTTTTATAAAGATAAGTAGAGAAATGTATGTGTTCTTATTTTTCTTTCTTCTTACATGAAGGTAACATAAATATATGTTTGTTTGCAGTTTGATTATTTTTCACTTACAGTAATAATGTCACCAATTCCAGGTCATTAAAATTTTTTCCTTATAAGATATTTATTTTTCTGTTTCAAAAGCATTTATTATCACTCAGAGTTTACAATTATATTATTTGGGATATAACTGTAGGAAAGTGTCAGATAGGAAAATTGTTTCTTTTTTCTCTTTTTTTTTTTTTTTTTTTTTTTTTTGAGATAGGGTCTCGCTCTATTGCCAAAGCTGAAGTACAGTGGCATGACCCCGGCTCACTGCAACCTCCACCTCCCAAGCTCAAGCCTCATGCCTCAGCTTCCCAAGTAGCTGGAACTACAGGTGCACACCAACATGTTGGCTAATTTTTGTATTTTTTGTAGAGATGGGGTTTCACCATGTTGGCCAGGCTGGTCTCAAACTCCTGGCCATAAGTGATATGGCTGCCTCAGCCTCCCAAAAAGGAACAATTAACACTTGTGTGATGAGGTAGGACCCACAGGGAGAGTACAGACGCCTAGGTGTGCCACAGCAGAGACTTCACTCCAGAGTGTGATGGAACAGAGTGCGGGAGAGACTGCCAAAATTGGGAAGGAGAGAGTAGTGGAGAGTAGTCAACTTAAGAGGCTCAATGGCCTTCTTGAGAGGCACATGGCCAGCCCGGGAGACTTTGCCAGATGGTGAATGAAGACTCTGACCTCACTCTTCCCTTCCTTGAGACTCCTGATGGGGCTCCTCAGTGTCTGAACCCAGTGGTAGCCAGAGGACACAGGGCCTCATTGAAGAGTCCATGTCTGTCAGTCTCCCAGGCAGGGCGGGGAAGACAGAAGGTGACCTTCACACACTTTTGCAGTATCTAATGAAATTGTACTTTTTACAAGAATATATATTCCATTCCCAGTATTCTGTATTCTTATTTTGCTTCCCTGTCATTAAATCTTAGAATTGAATTAATCTTTACTTTCTTTTTGAGCATTTTGTGATTTTCTTTGTAGTGGTACAACAATGATCAACTTCTGAATTCTTGAAAGTCTAAAAATATCCTTTTTTTTTTTTTTTAAATGAGACAGAGTCTTGCTCTGTTGTCCAGGCTGGAATGCAGTGCCATGATCTCAGCTCACTGCAACCTCCAGCTCCTGGATTCAAGCGATCCTCCCACCTCAGCCTCCAAAGTAGTTGAGATTAGAAGCATGTGCCACCATCCCTGGCTAATTTTTGTATTTTTAGTACAGATGGGTTTTCGCCATGTAGCCCAGGCTGGTCTTGAACTCCTGACCTCAGGTGATCCACCTGCCTTGGCCTTCGGAAGTGTTGGGATTACAGGTGTCAGCCACTGCACCTGGCCTAAAAATAGTCTTCTTTTGCACTCATATTTGAACATGATGCATCTGTACAGGATTCTCAGCCCATGGGAAATAAGACTATCAATAGAAACTTCCATGTTTCTTTCTATCGAAAGTCTGAAATGAGAAGTTTGGTGCTAGCCTGGATTCTCTTCCTATTCAAGAACTCGTTTTCTCTGTCTAACATGTTGTACAGCTTGAGGGTCCCTAATCCGAGTATGCAAAATCTGAAAGGCTCCAATATCTGAAACTTTTTGAGTACCAACATGACTCCACAAGTAAAAAATTCCACACCTGACCTCATGTACAGAAAGTTTGTTTCAAGTACAAAGTTGTTAAAATAATGTATAAAATTACCTTCAGGCTATGTGTATCAGGTGTATATGAAACGTAAATGAATTTCATGTTTAGACTTGGTACCATCTCCAGGATATCTCATTATGCATATGCAAATATTCCAAAATCGGAAAAGATCAGAGATCTGAAACATTTCTGGTCCAAGCATTTAGGATTAGAGATACTCAATCTGTGTTTTCTCCATCCTCGGGGTTCAGAAATTTCAGTGATGTATGGCCGAGGATATCCAATCTCATTCATTTTGCTTGGGAATTAATGAACACTTTCTAACAGGAAACAAGTCTCTTCAGCTCAGGGAAGTTTTTCCTTCCTTCCTTCCTTCCTTCCTCCCTCCCTCCCTCCCTCCCTCCCTCCCTTCCTTCCTTTCTTTCTTTCTTCCTTTTTTTTTTCTTTTGAGATGGAGTTTTGCTCTTGTCACCCAGGCTGGAGTGCAATGGCGTGATCTCGGCTCACTACAACCTCCACCTCCCTGGTTCAAGTGATTCTCCTGCCTCAGCCTCCTGAGTAGCTGGGATTATAGGCACCTGCCACCTTGCCCAGCTAATTTTTGTATTTTTCTTAGAGACGGGGCTTCACCATGTTGCCCAGGCTGGTATTGAACTCCTGACCTCAGGTGATCCACCCACCTTGGCCTCCAAAGTGCTGGGATTACAGGTGTGAGCCACCGCAACTGGCTTTTTTTTTTTTTTTTTTTTTTGAGATGGAATCTCGCTCTGTCACCCAAGCTGGAGTGCAGTGGCACCATATTGGCTCACTGCAACGTCTGTCTCCCGAGTTCAAGCGATTCTCATGCCTCAGCTTCCTGAGTAGCTGGGATTACAGGTGCCTGCCACCAAACCCATCTAATTTTTGTATTTTTAGTAGAGACGGGGTTTTGTTATACTGGCCAGGCTAGTTTCAAACTCCTGACCTCAGGTGATCCGCCCGCCTCGTCCTCCCAAATTGCTGGGATTACAGGCATGAACCACCACACCCGGCCTCAGGGAAGTTTTCTTATGTATACATATGTGAACATTACCATTTCCTCATCAAGTGCTTTTTGTCCCTCTGAAACTGCTATTATTCGCAAAATTAAACTCCAGGCTAGGATCTCCATTCTTATCTCTTCTTTCATATTTTCTGTTTCCTTGTATTTTATTTGGTGTTCTCAGCTCTTTCTTCCATTTCTCCTCCCCAAATCACAGTTCATTTATCAATATTTTTCGTGTCCTTTCCATTAAGTGTATAAATCTGTAAATCATACTTTGAATTTCTGAACATCTTATTTTTGCTCCCATTACATCTCCTAAGTGTTCTCTAATGTTTTTTTTATCAACTTTCTCTCCTGTCTTATCAGTGAGTTCTGCCTCAGTAGAAACCACCTGTCTACCCTGGCCAGGCATCCTACCTGTGAGGCAGGTACTTCTTCAGTGTCTGCCTGTTCGTGAAGGTGGGCTCCCTCAGTCACCACAAAAGTCAGGATTTTGAAGAACAATGGCAAACGCTGGACTGGCAGGAAATGATGAATGAGATGGCAGATTGGTTTTATGGTGGACGAGAGGAGGCCTTATTATTTTGAGGGTGAAGAGAGGTGCAAGTTATGGGGCAAAGCTCAAGGGAGAGAAGAAAAGGCACTTACAACCATAGAGCCTTGGAACAAGTCATTTCTCAGCTGTCGCTCAGCCCAGGTTCTTCAGTCTCCCAAAAGATCACGTTCAGCAAACATGCAGAGTACCAAAAAAGGGACCCAGTAGAGTCTCTCAGTTGGACTTCAGCATTTGCAGCCTGTACCTTGGAGGTTCCCTGCTGGGGGGCAAAACCCATCTCATTAGCCTAGGCTTTCTGCTTTCCACATAGCATGTCAAGCTGTGAGTCTCTGCACCTGTCCATCCTCTGGAGAATTCAGTCCTCAGGTGCACTCAAGAATCCCTTTGGAGATCTGTGCTGCGCAAAGAGGGGACACGGGTCAATGGCATTAGCCTTACGTTGGAGTTTGTTAGAAATGCAGAAACTCATGCCTCACCCCAGATCTATTCAAAGGAATGTACATAGTAACAAGATCCCCAGATCATTTGTGTGCACCTTAAAGCATAACAAATGCATGCCCTTGGCCACTGCCCGCAGCCACGGGCACCTGCTGGCATGTCACCCTTATCTCAATTGTTGGGTAGTGCTTGCAAAAAGGTGGGAGGATGAAAGGTCAGGAAATTGCATGCTTAACCTGGCATTTTCTCTGAATCCCTTCCATGTAGATTTTCAAGCATGTTTTTAGACGTTTGTAACAATATGGTTTGGGATGTACAGAATACTGACGTTTGAAAATATCTGAGATGACTGGGTGTGGTGGCTCACGCCTGTAATCCCAGCACTTTGGGAGGCTGAGGTCAGGAGCTAGAGACCAGCCTGGCCAACATGGCAAAACCCTGTCTTTACTAAAAATGCAAAAATTAGCCAAGCATGGTGGTGGGTGCCTGTAATCCCAGCTACTCAGGAGGCTGAGGTAGAAGAATCCTTTGAATTTGGGAGGTGGAAGTTGCAGTGAGCCAGGATTGCACCACTGCACTCCAGCCTGGGTGACAGAGCAAGACTCTGTCTCAAAACAAAACAAACAACAACAAAAACTAAGAGAGGGCCAATCTCTACCTTCTGATTTTACATAAGAATCCCAGAGGGTCTAAGAAACTTAACAAAAATCATACAGCTAACAAGGAGCAGAGCAAGAAATAGAATTCCAGTCTCTTAATTTCTTGGCTGCTGCTTTCTTTTCCCATTTATTGCCTAGATCTTATTGGGGAATAATTTCTGTTGTTCCATAAACAAATGAACATTAATCTTCAAATATTAGAAGGACAAACCTAAATAAGAAGCAAATTGGTAAAAACAAAAACAGCAACAATCACAAAAAAAAAGAAAAGAGAGAAAGAAGAGAGAGAATCTGTTAAATAAAGTAGCAAGCTACACTTTTTAAATTTAACTTTTATTTTCAGGTCGGGGTAGATGTGCAGGTTTGCTATATAGGTGAACTCACGTCATGGGAGTTTGTTGTACAGATTATTTCATCACCCAGGTATTAAGCCTAGTTCCCATTAGTTATTTTTCCTGATCCTCTCCCTCCTCCCACCCTCCACCCTCAACCAGGCTCCAGTGTTTGTTGTTCCCCTACTTAAGTCCATGTGTTCTCATCATTTGGCCCCCACTTATAAGTGAGAACATGCGGTATTTGGTTTTCTGTTTCTGCAAAAGATAAAGGCAGTTTCTGTTAATTTGAAAAGGATAATGGCCTCTAGCTCCATCCATGTTCCTGCAAAGGACATGATCTCATTCTTTTTAATGGCTGCATAGTATTCCATGCTTTACATGTATAAAACAGATGGACTCTTTCAAAGTGACTCAGTTTGCCATATTGCCAAACAAATAGCTGAGAAAATTCACACAGATTTGACTTACTTCATAAACAATCCTCTGTGGCATGTTTCTTTTTTCTTTCAAATTGCTGGTTAAATTTCATCTTGTTCGTGAAATCTTTTCAGGCTAGTATCTCCTGGCACATCATCATTCAACATTCATTCTCTTTAGTTGTTTGATGCACACACCCACACAGCTCTCTGCTATCCAGAATGAAAGAGTATAAAGTATTGGTGAATTGACTCATAGATGGAGATTAATATACTGAACATACATAAATCAGCAAATTTCACAGGTAGAAAACAAAATATAACACTAAATAAAAACATTTGTGTAGCAATTTGCCTCATCTATTTTGTTATTTTATTTTTGTTTGCTATTTGCTTTTTTTTTGTTTTTGTTTTTGATGGAGTTTTGTTCTTGTTGCCCAGGCTGGAGTGCAATGGCATGATCTCGGCTCATCACAACCTCTGCCTCCTGGGTTCAAGCAATTCTCCTGCCTCAGGCTCCTGAGTAGCTAGGATTACAGGCATGTGCCACCACACCCAGCTAATTTTGTATTTTTAGTAGAGAAGGGATTTCTCCATGTTGGTCAGGCTGGTCTCAAACTCCTAACCTCAGGTGATCTGCCTGCCTTGGTGTCTCAAAGTGCTGGGATTACAGGCATGAGCCACTGTGCCCGGCCCTGCTATTTGCTTTTTATTTTATTCATACATAATATATGTACTTATTTTCAGGGTACATGTGATATTTTGATACATTCATATAGTGTGAAAGATCAAATCAGGGTAATTGGGTTATCCATCATCTTAAGTGCTTATCTTTTTTTATGCTAGGAACATTTGAATTACTGTCTTCTAGCTGTTTTGAAATATACACTAGATTAGTGTTAACTATAGTCCCCTGCCGATCTATTAAACACCAGCTCTTACTACTTCTATCTAACTGTATTAATGTATCCACTAATCAACCTCTTTTCATGCCCCCTCCTCTTCCTGGCCTCTGGAAACCACTAGTCTACTCTTTATCTTCATGGGATCTGCCTTTTTAGCTCCCATAGATGAATGAGAACACGCAACATTTGTTAAATGTTCATTTATATGGTTTCAGAGGTTCATATGTTTCCTTAGCTAAATTCCAAGCTGTACATGTATAGGGTGGGATTTCATGAGGCCAGGCAAAGAATGACTACTGAAGAGTTATAAGATAAACAACTCATGGATCTTAACAGGTTTCAGAGACGTTTGAGTTCTGAGCCATTACTGAACACCTGGGATATTTTGTAGGTTCCCGGAAGCCTACTGGCTCTAGAATAAAGGCTTAAGAATTATTAAGGCCTGGGCCCATTGGTGTATGCCTGTAGTCTCAGCTGTTTGAGAGGCTGAGGCCGGAGGACAGCATGAACCCTATAGTTCTAGGCTATGGTGAGCTATGATCATGCATTGCAACTAATCATTAGAAAATTACCACTTCTTGGATTTTGGTGTTAGTATCTACATAAATTTCCTAGGGCCGACATAACACACTATCACAAATTGGATGGCTTGGCAGAACAGAAATGTATTGGCTTACAGTTCTGGAGGTTAGACGTTTGAAATCCAGGTGTCAATGGGTCTGGACTCTCTGGGAAGCCTCTAGGGAAGGATGTTCCTTTTGCCACCACAGCTCCTGGTAGCCCCACACCTTCTTTGGCTTATGGATAATCCTGCCCTCGACCTCCCTCCATCTTTCCATGGCCTTCTCTCTATGTCTCCTCACATTGGTTTCCTTCACAGATAGGTATGTGTCTGTGTCCAAATTTCCCCTTTTCTTTCTTTTTCTGAGATGGAGTTTCACTCTTATTGGCCAGGCTGGAGTGCAATGGCTCGATCTTGGCTCACCACAACCTCCGCCTCCTGGGTTCAAGTTCCTCTGCTGCCTGAGCCTCCCAAGTACCTGGGATTACAGGCATGCACAAGCACGCCCAGCTAAGTTTTGTACTTTTAGTAGAGATGGGGTTTCTCCATGTCGGCCAGGCTGGTCTCAAAATCCCAACCTCAGGTGATCCACCCGCCTCGGCCTCCCAAAGTGCTAGGATTATAGCCATAAGCCAACATGCCCGGCCCAAATTTCCCCTTTTCATAAGGACATTGGACATCTTGGATTAGGCCACATTCTATGAATTTGATTAAATTTGCAAAGACCCTATTTCCAAATAAGGTCATGTATTGAGGTACTGGGAGTTAGGATTTCAACATATCCTTTTTAGGGGACATAAATGAACCCATAACAGCACCAAAGAAGAATATCAGCAATTATCTGAAAGGGCTATTGAAATACTTTTTCCACGGCCAACTGCATATCTGTGTAAGGCCAGATTTTCTTTGTATACTGGAACCAAAACAACACACTAATAGATGGAATGCAAACGCACAGGAGAGTGCAGCTGTCTTCTATTAATGTCATTAAAGAGGCTTTCAGAATGTAAAACAATACTACTGTTGTCATTAGTTTTTTATTTTGGAAAATGTGATTATTCATAAAAATGTGTTATATATGTTAACATGTAATCAGTTTATTATTGCTATTTTAATTGAATTAATAAATAAATATTCTTTACCATTCTTAGCTTTAATTTAGGATACAGTAAGTATTGATAGATTTAGGTAGATATTCATAAACAAAAGTTCTTGGTGGAGGGGGATCCTAAAAATTTTTTTTGTTTGTTTTTTTTTGTTTTTTTTTAGAGACAGTCTATGTTGCTGAGGCTGGAGTGCAGTGACTATTCCCAGGCATGATCATAGCTCACTACAGCCTAGAACTACAGGGCTCAAGCCATCTTCCTGCCTCAGCCTTTCAAGTAGCTGTGACTACAGGTGAACACTTTAGAGCCAGAAGCCTTTTGGGCCCCTGTGAAATATCTCAGGTGTTCAATAACTGCTTAGAACTTAGATGTCTGAAACCTGTCAAAATCTATGAATTGTTGATAACTCTTCGGTAGTCATTCTTTCCCTGGTCTCGTGAAATCTCACCCTATACATGCACACCTTGGGATTTAGCCAAAGATACAAACAAACTCCTGTAAAGATTTTGTAAACTCTTTTATGTAGCTCTTTTTTTTCTTTTCTTTTCTTTTCTTTTTTTTGAGACGGAGTTTTGCTCTTGTTGCCCATGCTAGAGTGCAATGGTGTGATCTCTGCTCACCGCAAACTCTGTCTCCTGGGTTCAAGCGATTCTCCTGCCTCAGCCTCCCAAGTAGCTGGGATTACAGGCATGTGCCACCACACTGGGCTAATTTTGTATTTTTAGTAGAGACGGGGTTTCTCCATGTTGGCCAGGCTGGTCTTGAACTCCTAACCTGAGGTGATCCGCCTGCCTCAGCCTCCCAAAGTGCTGGGATTACAGGCATGAGCCACCGCGCCCAGCCAGCTCTCTTCTCTTTAGTGCTCTGCCTCTCAAGTTCCAGCTGCTTCAGGCTGCCCAAATTCTGATCTCTGTGTATCTCTGTCTCCTTAATTATATGAGACTACTGTGTTCCTCCTCTATTGCCAGGTTTGGCAAATGCCTCCAGATGGAAACTCATGGTGATTGTTTTCTTTCTTTGGGGGATTAATCTCCCTGAAAACAATTTTTTCATGGGAAGTTGACCAGTTTTCTAGGTGTTTATTTAGAGGGAGAGGGTTGGTTCCCTGCCAGTTCCTCTGTCATACCCGTGACCCTATGCCTTTTATAACAACAGCTCTTAATTCATCTTTTTTTTTTTAAGTTCTGGGGAACATGTGCAGAACATGCAGGTTTATTACATACGTATACATGTGTCATGGTCATTTGCTGCACCTATCAATCCGTCATCTAGGTTTTAAGCCCTGCATGCATTAAGTATTTGCCGTAATACTCTCTCTCCCCATTCCCCTTCACCCCCAACAGGCCCCGGTGGGTGATGTTCCCCTCCCTGTGTCCATGTGTTCTCATTGTTCAACTGCCACTTATGAGTTAGAACATCTTAATTCATCTTTTAAACATTTTGAATTTCTTTTCGTAACTACTTTCAGATTACCCAGAGCTCCTAGGGAAACTGAGCCCGCACCTCGCGCGCCTCTCTGCTACTCCCAGCGAGCGCAGCTGCAGCCCGGAGACGCCGGTATCCAGCGCCAGGTCTTCCACGCCCGACCCCTCCCGGGTCTGGGGCGCTGGACACCCGTCCTCCTCCTTTCGCCGGGATTGGCCACGCTGGTAGCGTCGCGGTGTCCAGGTCAGGTGAGTGGGTCGGGCTGCCAAGGGCGCCCAGAGAGAGGACTGCTCTGCAGGGCGCAGGCGTCGCGTGTCGCCGAGGGGCGCGGCAGGGGCCGGCGGCTGGGGCTCCCTCGCGGGGTGTGTCCTGTCCCATGCTGCAGCGTCGGGTTGTCCAGGATCTAGCAGGGCGTGGCTGGGCCTTCTGCAGGGGCCGCCGTCCATGCCCCGGGCTCGGACCACCTGCTTCTCGGCCCTTTACAGACCTCCCAGTGGCTGGGAGGGGAGGTGGGCTCAGCGGACAAATTCAGTGTCTTTCCGTTTTTGCACCCTCAAACAGGTGGGAGAAGAGGTCCGCTCCAAACCTGAGAGCGGGCCGCACCCTCCCACCTGGGCTCTTCCTTCTAACGTCGGGGCCGAGTGGGATTCGCTTTCGCCTAGATCTCGGTGGGTCGGGCCCCGCGCCCCGGGTTTTACAGGCAGCAGGTTTAGCCTCTTGGAGACGCCGGACCTCGCAGACAGGTGCCCAACTCCAGAAACAGCCCAGAGGAAAGGGTGTTGGGGGCTTGAGGTGCATTTAGGAAGACACTTTCTGGAGGCACTTATTGACACCGTTCAGGTGTAGGCAGACCCCAAAGCAGGGGTGAGATGAGTGCCGGTTCCAGGGTGACCCAGACACGCACAGTTCCCGAAGGGTGAAGGCGGTGCCTGGAGATATAGCCCGGCGCCCAGCACTTGTTAAACCACCTGGCCAGGCAGGTGCTCCTGGTTAGCCCCCTATGATTGGAAAGTCGATTTTAAGCCATTTTAACTTATGCAGACTCTTTCTTGGTCAAGATACTGTGAACCAGTTTGGAGGGGGCGCCACTTAGCATCTGAGTTGCATCTCTTTCAGGAAGGATTCTAACCCTCCGATTTTGCTTCAGAATTTTTGCCAAACCGGGTCCAGCCTCTCTGTTGAAGCTGATCTGCCCACACCAGTTCTGAAACAGGAGTCAATGTTACTTACCTTTCTTGCTTCTACCAAGCAGTGATTTCTAACACCTTCTAGTGTGAAGACACCTTTATGATGTCTGTTTTAGAACGGCACGTAGTCATTGTACTTGGTATAGTGACAGACTATGAGAAAGCTACCAGGAATTTAATATGAAAATAAATACATTCATAAATAAATTGCTTATGTATTCACAGCAAGCATTTCCTTAAATTTGGAAAGTAAGGTTTGAGACTCATCTGCAGATAATGTGTAGAATCCACATGCACTTTTGGTCCCTGGACCAAGAATCATCATTGTTCAAGTTGTCACTCACCTGATGTGAGTCTTTGAGGGCTGACTGCAACCTTGTGATCCTTCTGGGAGAATCTGTGGGAAGAGGGAGCAAAAGAGTTACTAGTTTATGAGCATTTATGTGGTGGGTATTGTGCGGAGCGGTTTTGTGCTCACTTAATTCCTGAACCTTCGTAGCGTCACTTATTTACTACCCGCATTTTATGAACAAGAAAACTGAAGTCCAGAGAGAGGAAGGAACTCTCCCAAGGTCGCGCTTCTAGTAAGTGATCCAACTGAAACTTCAACCCAAGTAGCCTGTTGACTGAGCCTGAGCTCCCATGTTAGTTACTGACATCGACTACTCTCAGTTTAATAGTTTTCTTCAAGTCATGTGAGGTACAGATAGAATGTGAGTAGACAGCAAAGTTGTTAGCTATCCATTAAAAACTAATATTGCCTCAGTATTTTATTTTTAATGGTTTTTATAAGCCAGACTTTTAAAATCAAATGACTATCTATACTAAGTACAACTTAGTAAGAACTAAGTACTGGTTTTTTATAAGCCAGACTTTTAAAATCAAATGAGTAACTATACTAAGTACAACTTAGTAAGTAGTAAGTACTAAGTACTTAGTGGTACTACACTAAGTACCACTAAGTATTTAGTACAAGTACAACTAACTACAACTAAGACATGATCCCTTTACCAAGATACTTGAACATTGGTGTTCAATGATCTGTTTGAATTTCTGCTTTCAATTCTCTAGATATAAACCAGAAGTGGAACTGCTAAGTCATATGGTAATTCTGTGTTTAACTTTTTGAGGAACCGCCAAACTGTTTTCTGTAGTGCTTGTACCATTGACAGTCTCACCAGCAGTAATTAAGTGTTTCAGTGTCTCCACATCCTCACCAATGCCTGTTATCATCCTCTTTTGTGGGAACTGCTGGTCAACTGTAGCCTAATGAGAAAACATTAAATTTAACATATTTCTCTTATGGTATTGAAGGGTTTCTGTCATGGAAAAAAATAGATGTTTGTTACTTCATGGCCATGTCTGAGGTACACACCTTGGCATCAGAACAGATTCTGAAATTAGAACCCACTGTATGTTTATCCTTTCGTGTTTCTGCTAGCTGAGCTTCTCCAAGTCTTCAAGTCTCATTTCTCCTCTTTATAAAATGGGATTCTTGTGCCAGAATGGTTGAAATAAATCTCATATATCTTCACCATTCATTAATAATGTGTAAAGGTTATGGCTGCTATTGTAGCACTTGTCCATAAAAATACAGGATGGTATTTTAGGTTAAAATGTGATTAGGAGGTTAAAGGATTTATTGTCTTGATGCTTTGGCCTGTTGGGTAGATCAGTCTTGCCACCCTGAGCCTTAATATCAGTTACCCTTAATCAATAGTTCCCTCTGTCTACATGGGCTCTACCTGCAGCCTTACCTATTTAGGTGGGAAGGTGTATTAGTCTGTTCTCACGCTGCTAATAAAGACATACCCAAGACTGGGTAATTTGTAAAGTAAAAGAGGTTTAATGGACTCACAGTTCCACATGGCTGGGGAGGCCTCACAATCACGGCAGAAGGCAAATGAGCAAAGTCACATTTTACATGGTGGCAGGCAAGAGAGCATGTGCAGGGGAAATCCCCTTTTTAAAACCAACAGAACTCATGTCTTATTCACTATCTCCAGAACAGCACGGGAAAGACCTGCCCCCATAATTCAGTTACCTCCCACAGGGTCCCTCTCATGACACATGGGAATTATGGGAGCTACAATTCAAGATGAGATTTGGGTGGGAACACAGCCAAACCATATCAGAAGGATACAAGAGAAAAGGCCCTGGTTTAATAACATGAGAGTTACAGTCAATGATGATTTTATATTGAGAATTCATCAATAAGTTTTTGTCATATTATGAATAATTATTAAGCCTATTTTGGATAAAACAACTTATTTATTCATTCTTTATTAGGAGTCTGAAGTCAGTTTCTGGTCCTGACCCTGGAGAGGTCTGGGTTTTGTATTATACATACGCCCAGGCTCCTGCGGCATCTTTCCGCAGGCATCCTGCAGCATTCCGGGCCCACTGCAGGACTTGACTGGCCACTGAACTTGACTTGTAGCCATACATTGATTATTCTCCTGGGATGGGAAGGCATCATTCTATTCTAGAACCCCATGGTTTTGGAGAAATGATGTTTTTCTGGCAATGCCCCAAGGAACCACACTTCTTTCTGCCAAACAAACAACAAACACCAAAATAAATCATTCCTGGTCCTGTGACTCATATTCTAAAGGGTCCCTGCCGTCGAGCTTTGAGAAATGATAATACTTGATCTAAATGTCACCAGTTATACCTGGGAAGCTTAAGTTGTTTCCATCACCTTGGACAGGTTGTCCCATGACACCAGTAGTGAAGTCCAGGCAGTAACATTTGTCATTCTGAGTTACACTCTGGCCAGCTTGACATGTGGCATCCCAATAAATGTTGCTAAAGTAACATAAATCAATATTCTGTACCAGTCAAACGTCTGGGGTTCCTATACTGATGTGTCTGTTAAATTATATTCATGTGAGTGGGAACTCTATAGAGAAAGAGACTGTCTATTCTGGCCCCTGGCTCAGTGACTTCCACATAGTACATATTCAGTGAGCATCTGGGAAGTGGCTCCGGAGAACAAAAATACTGAAAAGATTGTTCCTGGGTCCTCTCTAACTTAGGGATCTCTGTCATCACATGTAGACGAGTGCTCTCTGGCATGTGGTCCTAGCAACCGACTATGTCATGATACCCCAGGCTGTTACTCCTGTGGCTGTATTCAAGGTCACCAGCTCTACGATGGCAACAACTGTCCAGTTACAAGTAAGTTTCAATACTGGAGGCAAAGCCTGGCTCCTGCTCTATTCTTAGCAGTAATAGATAAAAGTGATATAGATGATTCATGTGAAAGTCTAGTATAGAAACGACTTTATTTTTTCCATAAGGAAGCTGCTATTGTAACATTCCTTGTTCTGTTTGAGGGTCAGTTGCTATTAAATGTCTTTAAAATAACGTCATCTATAAACTATAGAACTAGGTGCTCCAGAGACCCAGTCAATATAATCTCACCTTCTCCTGTGTTTCTTTACCACTGGGACACTTAATTACATTCAGCTACTGTGTATGAAGCATGGATAGGACTTCTGTTGAGGTGAGAGAGGAGCTGACTCTGAAACCAAGTAAGGCAGTAAAGTTCCGACGATGAGTTATAGTATGTTGAGGTTCAGAGGAAGGAGGGGGAACTAAGGAGATCAACTAGCTTTCTTCTGCACACACAGTCCAGACTTCAGGGATAGGTAGATTTTGAGATAGGAGATGGGAAAACACCTTTAGTTAAAGGAAAAAGTGTGAAGTAAAGCTTCAAAGTAATGTGTCACTACTTCTAGTACAGCTGATAATGTTAAAATTCTTATAGCAGCAGATTGAAAGCTTGATGTCTTGGATCAACAAACAGGCACCTGTGAGATTCTCATATCTTTAAATTCAAGGCCAAGGTTGATTGCATATGATCTTGAGAGAAGCATGTGTATACTTCTAGGTGGATGAAGTCTTAAATGTGTTTGTCCTTGGGAAGTTGAACTCTATTCTCCTCTATCCAAGTATGTTTCTTGGTAGGAAGAGCCTTACCTTCTTCAAGCCACATAACCATAGTCTAAGAAGCATATGTATTTATCCGGACGATCTTCTTCTGTGACTCACCTGTCCTGAAGCATAAATGTATATATAATTTTGATTTGAGACTTCTATAATAACTATTGTCTAAAACTGAGGTCACATTCTCTTGGATTCCTCGGTTATGTTTCTGTTAAGGTCCTCCTCCTTCCTAATGGCCCTCTGTATGTTGGAAACACCTTAGCACATCTCTGGCCATTATTCCTTTTGTCCTATTTCCCTCACTGTAGTATGTGAAATTAGAAAATGCAGAAAAGTTGTGCTGTCTGTTATCCAGGCCTGTTTATAGATGGCAGGGTTTCTGACAAGCCATCAGCATATAGTTTTCAGCTCATCTTTACATTGAGTGTGCCAGTGTCAGTGTTGTTTTTTCTTGAGCATGTTATTCATATTGAAAATTGATGCTAGAAAATACAGACGAAATTTCTAGTGAAAAATGGGAGGCTTCCAAAATTCTGTTTCAGAACTAGAGTGCATGCCTTTAAGAACCAGTGTAGCATTGCTCAAGGAACATTCTGTGACCCTGAGCTTTCAACCTTGAATCTGTGCAGTGCCAAGGCTAAATTTATAACTCCAGAGGAAGGTGCATGTTCTCTGCAAGTGGCAGAGCCCAACAAAGGGGTCAAACCAAATATGGCCAGCCTCATCTTAACAATTTCCAATAATTTCTAAGTCACTTCTCCTTTCCTGGGTAGGAGTAACTTCATGGATGTGGGAGTATACAGAAATGTAATTTTATGGAAGTTCCTCCATATGCAAGTGCGAGGAAATAGTAAAGAAATTCTCCCACTCTAACACCCAGTATGTAGGAAGAATTTTACAGCATGTCAAGCCCTGGGGGTATCAGCGTCCTCATTCTGCTACTCCAGCCCCACCTTCATGCTTTGCCTGTTTGTCAACATCCCTGGTAGTTAATATTTGAGTTCTTACTATAATACCTATTGATGTGCTGGGAAATGTTTAACAATCAGCTCTCTGGGAAAAAAATATGTGCACATATATACCTACATCTGTTTATAATTAAATGTACTGTATAAAGGATATGTAACACAATGTACAAATAAGAAAATACACAATATTCTTTTCTTTGCTTTTTGTTTTGTTTTGTTTTGTTTTCTTTCTTTCTTTTTTCTTTTTTTTTTTTTTTTGAGATGGAGTTTCACTCGTGTCGCCCAGGCTGGAGTGCAATGGCGCAATCTCAACTCACTGCAACCTCCACCTCCCAAATTCAAGCGATTCTCCTGCCTCAGTCTCCTGAGTAGCTGGGATTACAGACACACGCCACCATGCCCAGCTAATTTTTGTATTTTTGTAGAGATGGGGTTTCACCATGTTGGGCAGGCTGGTCTCGAACTCCTGGCCTCAGGTGATCTGCCGGCCTTGGCCTCCCAAAGTGCTGGGATTATGGGCATGAGCCACCATGCCTGGCCTGTTTTGTTTTCTTTTTGAGACAGGGTCTGAGTCTGTTGCCCAGGCTAGAGTGCAGTGGCACAATCATAGCTCACTGCAGCCTTGACCTCCTGGGCTCAAGCAATCCTCCCACCTTAGCCTCCCGAGTAGCTGGGACCACAGGCATAGGCAACCATGCCTGGCTAATTTTTTAATTTTTTGTGGAGATGAGGCCTCACTGTATTGCCCAGTCTGACCTCCACATCCTAAGCTCAAGCAATCGTCCTGCCTCAACCTCCCAAAGTACTGGGTTTACAGGTGTGAGCCACTACACCTGGCCATGATATTTGTTATTACAAATTTCATATAGCTAACTGATTTTCACAGACTGCTTTTTTATTTGGAATTCTTAGATCAGAAGCCAATCTATGGTTACAATTCAAGATTTAACAAAAGCGATGAATAAGTGCTTGATTACTATCTGAGTAGGCAAAGAAGTCAGTGCGTGAGTGTTCTTGACATGAATGTTTTTTGATGATTTTATTTCCATAAACAAGTGAGATGAAAGTGAAGCAATGAAGACTTGTGGGAATTAGTCCATCAGTGACATAAATGACTTCTTTGCTGAACTGGATAATAGATTTCAAATACTATGGCAATATTTCCTCAATTTTTTATGGTATTTAAAATTTAATGGTTATAGACACAATACACATATATTTAGTCTGCCTCATTAATACTTCACCACTTCCTTTAAGTCTAGACTAGGGATTGGCCAACTTTTTCTCCAAAAGGTCAGATAGTAAATATTTTAGGCTTGGTGGATTCTCTGCCATTGTCTCACAGAATTAGCCATTGATAACATGTGAGTGAATGGCCATAGCTTTACTCTGCTAAAACTTTACAAAAACAGGCATTAGGCTGAGTTTGGCTCAAGGGCCATTGTTTGCCATTTCCTGGTCTAGAAATCAAAATGAAAAAAAAAAAAAAAATGAAATCCCCGTTTGTAGTGTTTGCCAATTATCAGGGTGTAAATACTCCCACGATGCCAGATTTCAAGCTCCCAATGTAACATTAAACATACAATTGGGAAGGAATGTGCAGTAGCAAACCTTGACATGGCATTTCCACCATATGCACACAAAAGACACAATTAAATGGGACCCATGCTTTCTCCCATCATAGGTGACTTGTTCAGTATTAGTTAATAAGAACTTGACTCTTAGGGTTGCAAAGTCTGAGTCTTCTCTTTTTTTCTTTTTTTTGAGACAGAGTCTCACTCTATCGCCCATGCTGGAGTGCAGTGGCGTGATCTCGGCTCACTGCAACCTCCGCTTCCTGGGTTCAAGTGATTCTCCTGCCTCAGCCTCCTGAGTAGCTGGGACTATAGGCACCCACCACCATGCCCAGCTAATTTTTGTATTTTTAGTAGAGACGGGGTTTCACCATGTTGGCCAGGATGGTCTCAATCTCTTGACTTTGTGATCTGCCCACCTCGGCCTCCCAAAATGTTGAGATTACAGGCGTGAGCCACTGCGCCCAGGTAGTCTGAGTCTTCTAAGAAATAGAAATAAAACACACTCTTTAAACAAATCCTGGAGCAACGGGATTAGAGGAGCCTACGAGTCCTACCTGGTGACTATGGACAAAGCCGCTCTTGTGCTGTGGAACAAGAGGATGCAGCAGCCTTCTCGGTGTTGAAAGAGCCATATATAAAGAAAATGATCATCTTGGCAGACAACCAGGAGGTGGCCAGCTAGCCTTCCTCTGTGGGGTTATTCTTTGAGATCCACTTTACCTGTCTCTTTTCAGTGTGTTTTTCTAGGATAAAATCCTGGGCATCTTTATGTTTGCACTGGCAGTGGTCCCAACCCACAATTCTTCAGGCCTTCTCTCTAAGTTGTCTATGTTCTGGAAATTTCCCAAAGGCTAAAGTTAGTAGGCTGGGAAGGAAAAAACTCCTTGCCCAAATTCACTGTGAGTTGATGATAGGCTAACGTACCACACTTAACCTAAGGATCCAGGCTTTGGGTCAGTTGCACATTTTCTTCCTGTGAGATAGAAAAATGTATGTACGCAGCCATGACGTGATTTTCTGAAGGAGGGGGACAGTAGGGGCACGTGCCCATTGCTGGAACCTACTGGACTGACTTGCTGAAGCAGCTGTTTGCTTTGGATCCCGGGGTTGAAGGAGCAGCCCCAACCACCGCTCCTGCTCCTCCCGCTCCTCCTCCGTCACATGTGCTTTGCATCCATCCTCTGTTCCCTGTGGGAACGGGGAGGAACGTGTTTCTTGGGAGCACCTCCATGATGGCACATGCACCTGTCAGGATGGCTCAGATAAAGAGTGATCCTCCCAGTCCTGCCACAGGCCAGGTCTGCCACCGTCTTCTCTTCTCAGGCTTCTGTCCAGGCACATTGACTCAGCTTTGAGTGCATGGTATGAATTTCCTGAGTGTTTACTATGATCATACTAACTGTCCCTAGACAAATTAATGTGGATGAAAGCCATCGCATGTCAGAATACTGAATCTGTGCGTGTTTGTTTTATCACAATTAAGTGTTTTACCAGGTATAACTTGAGGGGCAAAGAGAACTCACAATGCGGCCCTGAATGAGTCGGAGTTCCCCTCAGTTTTTCTTAAGCCATCCAACATCTGAACTCCTAGGCTTCTAAAACCATCCTTATCCATGAAGAAAGAATCTCCAGTCATTCAGTATCTAGTTGAGTAAAAGGAATTAAATTGAAGAGCAATCTAATTTGGGGAAAACATTTGGGTCCCGTAACTCTGATAATGTATTTGCAAGAAGTTTGCAGAAGACCTTTAAGAAACCTAATAACTCAGTATGCTTTTCAGGGAGGTGGTGGGAATATTCCACAGGTAGTAACAGGTGCTCAAAAGACCATGGAGGATGTGGCCATATTTGTATCCCAGACCCTGAAGGACAGATTCTTAGATGTCCCAGGGAGTCCTACGAGGCTGATGCAAACACATGCACTGGAGCCGTTGTCTGCTTGGCACCGTCACATCCTGTAAGGATGCTCAGACATGCATTTCCATGGGGCAAGTTTATGATGGTCCTGCTGACTGTGTGGATGCATCTGGTAACATGGGCTGGAGTAATTTATTCATCACCACGCATGACTTATTTTTATTAATATCTAATTCTGCAATATTCCTCAAGTTTTCATCCTATAAATTATTACCTTGTTAATACTGTGGGTTCTTTAAACTGAACAAGATGAAATATCTAACTATCGGCAACAGATATAGACTATGAGGACTCCAGAAAATTCATGTGCTCTCTGATTCTATTTAATTAAATTAATTAATTAATTTGTTGAGACAGAGGAGTCTCACTCTTTGGCCCAGGCTGGAGTGCAGTGGTGCAGTCTTTGCTCACCACAACCTCCACCTCCTGAGTTCAAGTGATTCTCCTGCCTCAGCCTCCAGAGCAGCTGGGATTACAGGCATGTGCCATCACACCCGGCTAATTTTTGTATTTTCAGTAGTGACGGGGTTTCACCATGTTGGCCAGGCTGGTCTTGAACTCCTGACCTCAAAAGTGATCTGCCTGCCTTGGCTTCCCAAAGTTCTGGGATTACAGGCATAAGCCACTGTGCCTGGCCTTGATTCTATTTTAGAACAGACAATAGGATAGTGAGCTCCAAAGGGCTAGACTATTTGTATGTTGTCTCAGAGAACATGCTCTTGATGTAGATTTGATTCAGTCAATTTAAATAGATCACATTGTGACGATAGCCAGGGGTGAAGGAGGTTGGACAAACTATTTGACCCGCCTTGGTGTTCCTCCTTTTAAAAGTGGAAACAGCACTTTCTGCCTTGTAGGGTTGTTAAGGAACACAAAGAATGTGGAGAAAGCTGTCCTGTTACAACTTGATACTGTCATGTTCATACTCGAATACTAGCTGCAGATGGTTACAGAAATATCCTGCCAAGGCGAATCTCTTGAACCAGGGAGTCGGAGGTTTCAGTGAGCTGAGATTGCGTCACTGCACTCCAGCCTGCTTGGTGACAGAGCGAGACTCCGTCTCAAAAACAAACAAACAAACGAAAAAGAAATACCTTGCCAAATAGGGTCTTCACGGAAAGGTGTTGTCACGGGCCGTCAGTTGAGCAACTGTAATATCCAATTCTTCTGTAACCACCATCCTCTAATTCTACAGCTCCAGCTCCAATGGTATCTAAGATTTATAAGGTATAGAATAGAAGAGACAGTGAGCTCAGTATTGAATCTGGTCATAACTAGTAAAGAAAAAGATTTGGAACGGGAATCTTATAGTCAATAGTTCTCATTGACTTCACAATTTAAATTCTCTTCTTCCTAAAACTTCACTAGCTAGACGTCCAAGCAGTTATGACCCCTAGTCACATCATCTTAAATAGGAAAAGAAAATGAATTTTGACTCCCAGAGTTGAATCTAGATGCTAGCAAATGAAGATGCTTTTGTGGAAGACCCTGTGTTGCTGTCACCCGATGCGGGGGGTCATTGAGTGGGGGAATTTGTTACCTTCACCACTTGGTTTTAAAACTAAACCAGAAATCTGATGTACTTCCACTTGCTTTTTCATTCCTGATGGCCTAGGCCAAAGAATTGGCTCTGCTCCTTAATAATTAAGTCACCCTGAGTTTTACATAAAGCTTTGAGAGGGTTGAGGGGAAGGGTAGCAGGTGTATAAAGTTAGGCTGGCTTCCTCTGGATATACCCTGCCACAGAGGTCCCCCAGCTGCACAGGAGTGGAAATAGCCCGGTGATACCAGCTTAAGGCAGAGGCAAGATGTAGTTTTATTGCTAATACTGCTGTCTTCCTACCCAGCTGTTTTGCCTGTAGCGTTCACGAGGGGGAGTAATTCTTGTGCCAATAATAATAAGGAATATGGTGAAATCACTTAAACACAACTTTAATTTTTGGATTTCTCTTTTGTTAGAAGCACGCTGTTGGCTACTTCCTGCCTTATGTGTGCACCTTCTACCACTTCCACCAGATCCGTTTCCATATCTGCAACTTATAGATTTGCTGAACCTACAATTTACGTGGATTCACAATATAAAAATAATTCCAGATACACCTACTTACATGGGAAAAATATTTCTAGTCCATTTACTCACCACTTTGATCTACCACATGAATCCTTATAGAATATAACTTTGGTTAAAACTATGCATATGGCCATTTAAAAATAGATTGGTATGATAAATAGACTGCAGTGGTCCTGAAACCAAATATTTTAAGTGTCTTAAGTTATATAGTTTTAAAAATATATATAAACTTTTGATTGTTTTTCTGTTTGACCAAAAGTAATGGCAGTGATATTGATTTCATAAATTCAAACTTATCTAGTTGAGGTTACTAGAATTCTTGTTCTGAAATGGTTCTTTTTTTTTTTTTTTTTTTTGAGACAGTATCTTGCTCTGTTGCCCAGACTGGAGTGCAGTGGGGCGATCTCAGCTCACTGCAACCTCTGCTTCCTGGGTTCAAGCAATTCTCCTGCCTCAGCCTCCTGAGTAGCTGGGATTACAGGCACACACCACCGCGTCTGGCTAATTTTTTTGTATTTTTAGTAGAAATGGGGTTTCACCATGTTGGCCAGGCTGGTCTCGAACTCCTGACCTCAAGTGATCTGCCCGCCTCAGCCACCCAAAGTGCTGGAATTATAGGCATGAGCCACTGCACCTGGCCTAAAATGGTTCTTAACTAACAAATATGTATGCATATATATCCACACCTCACTACTTGTGTTTGTACGTACCTTGTCCATCACTTAAGTCCATCACTCTGTCTCTGTGACTGGTGGACAGAGCAAGCATCATTAAGTTGCCCTAGAGGCTCAGCTGTATCTCAGAGAAACCATGTCAGCTTCACCAAACTCTCAACTTGTCATACACAGAATGAATCTTACTATCTTCTCCCAAGAGCCAAGCTCACTGATAATTTTGCTTTAGGTAAATCTCTCCCTATGCACAAAATGCATAAAATGACATGAAAAAATCAGGCTCAAAAGCATGTACAAATGATGTACTACAGGACGATCACTTTGTCTGGACAGATTTAAGTTAGTGCCTTGGCCTCCTTTGGACCTTAAGCCTTCCACCAGCCTTTCAGGGCTTGTGTTCCAGCTAGCTCAGCTGACTTCCCCAGGCTCTGTGAGAAATGTTACCCTCAGCCTCTCTCTTCTGCTCTGCAGGTCTCATTTCCTACTTGGATCCAAGAAACACCTGCCATTTCCTCTTCCTGGGAAGGTTGCTGACTATATGCAGCCACATCCCTGTATATCAGATATGTACCCTCTTCCCCTTGCTCTGTCCCTGGCTTATTTATACTATACCTTTTTTTTCCTATCTTTGGTCTCCTATGAATGTATGCCTAGGTGTTACCCTACCAGAACCTAGTTTAATATATCCTGTTATTATGCTTTCTCCATTCAAGAATTTACAAAACACATCCAAATGTCTGTTTTATCAGAAATACTTGATCTTGTAGATGGATACTCAAGATTTTATATTTAAAAATTCTTAGCCATCCCTGTCCCCTAAATAGATTTTCATACATCAATTTTCTAACTGTATCTATTTGTAGAAATGTCTTGTTATCAATTTTAAGAGCCTTCTGTTGTGATCATCTCTACATTACATGTTGGTTTCTCACTTAATTTCTCTACGCCCAATAGATGGAGCAGTGAGCCTGTGGCAGATGCAAAATCTGAATTTCATTCTAGAAACTCAACTTCTGTAATATAGTAATAGGTTTGGGTTTTCTTCTGGAAAAACAAGACGCTTTAGAAAAGTTAATTGGTTCGTGCATTAAGCTGAAAGAGCTCCACACAACGCTTGACTTTTTGTGTATCTAGCAATTAAGAGTTAGATTAAGCACTTTATGTTCATTCTCTTTAGGAAGTAAATGGGTGATGGTCATGGATGGTGAGGGGGAAGTACTAAGTTTCTACTGTTTTAACTACCGAGGAATAGCGACGGAATTCAGAGAAACCAGGAACTAGAATATAGAGTTTGTTGGGTTCAGACTAATAATTAGCTTTTGTTTGTTTGTGTTATGTTTTGTTTTTGAGATGGGGTTTCACTTGGTCCAGCTCAGGCTGGAGTGCAGTGGTGCAGTCATGGCTGTCTGCAGCTTTGACCTCCTGGGCTCAGGCAATCCTTGAGTAATTTGCCGTCAAATTGCCCCTCAGCCTCCTGAGTAGTTGGGACTACAGGTGTGAGCCACCACACCCAGCGAATTTAAAGGATATGAACAGACACTTCTCAAAAAAAGGCATATATGTGGTCAACAACACATGAAAAATAGCTCAGCGTCACTGATCATTAGAGAAATGCAAATCAAAACCACAGTGAGATACCGTCTCATGCCAGTCAGAATGGTGATGATTAAAAAGTCAAGAAACAAGGCTGGGTACTGTGGCTCAAGCCTGTAATCCCAGCACTTTGGGAGACTGAGGCGGGTGGATCACCTGAGGTCAAGAGTTCGAGACTGGCCTGGCCAACATGGTGAAACTCCATTTCTAGTTAAAAATACAAAAATTAGCCACGTGTGGTGGCAGGTGCCTATAATCCCAGCTACTCAAGAGGCTGAGGCAGGAGAATTGCTTGAACCTGGGAGGCAGAGGTTGCAGTGAGCTGAGAAGTGGCCACTGCACTACAGCCTGGGTGACAGAGTGAGACTCTGTCTCAAAAAAAAAAGTGCAAGAAACAACAGATGCTGGTGAAGTTGCATAGAAATAGGAACACCTTCACACTGTTGGTGGGAATGTAAATTAGTTCAACCACTGTGGAAGACAGTATGGTGATTCCTTAGAAATTTAGAACTGGAAATACCATTTGACCCAGCAATTCCATTACTGGATATGTACCCAAAGGAATATAAGTCATTCTATTTTAAAGATACATACACATGTATGTTCATTGCAGCACTATTCACAATAGCAAAGACATGGAATCAACCCAAATGCGCATGATAGACCGGATAAAGAAAATGTGGTACATATACAACACGGAATACTATGCAGGCATAAAAAGGAATGAGATCATGTCCTTTGCAGGGACATGGATGAAGCTGGAAGCCATTATTTTTAGCAAACTAACACAGGAACAGAAAACCAAGCACTGCATATTCTCACTCATAAGTGGGAGCTGAACAACGAGAACACCTGGACACAGGGAGGGAAACAACACTCCCTGGGATGTTTTGGAGGAGGATGGTGGGAGGAGAGCATTAGGGAAAAGAGCTAATGCGTACTGGGCTTAATACCTAGGTGACGAGTTGGTTTGTGCAGCAAAGCACCATGGCACACGTTTGCCTGTGTAACAAACCTGCACATCCTGCACATGTACCCTGGAAGTTAAAAAAAATTATTATTAAAAAAATTTTACACATCATTCAGCTTCCTCAGGCTCCACTGTTCAAATTTTACTTCTCTCCTCTCAGCCTCCTTTAATTCTTAACTGCCACCCTCAGAATAAATTTAGAGAGGCCCTTTGAAAATATCTAATTCATTCTTCCCAGTTTAATGGATGAGGAAACAGAAGCCCAGCAAGGGCAAGGCTTACCCTCTTGGGAGACAGGTATCATCAAAGTTCTAGAAAAATTGCAGTGATCTTGTCTAGCCTCCCTCAGCCCCGTGGTGAGAGCAGCTCTTTGGGAGCCACTGTGAATAGCAAACATGGTGGTGGGGGAGAAGTGTCAGTGGCCTCAGGCTCCATGTCACTTTCTCTATGCAAAACAATGGAGAGTCATTTGGTACCTGTGAAAGGCATCTCCTGGCTTCCCAGGCTCTCAACCCAGCTTATTGGTCACATTGCTTTACAAGAGGGGCTGCTGGCTCACCTTGTCAGCGCCTTGGTATAACTTGGGCCACCAGTAGGACAAGAGTTAAATGGGTTCAATCAAGTCTTAAGCCATTCTCTCCATGTGCCACTGAAGAATCAAGTCCCCTTGTCAGCACTGTCCCCCCTGCTAAGCTCTGTCTATATTTTCCTTGATTTGAACAAATGAAACCTCATTTTCATGTGTTCAGTCCTGCTTAGTGGAGGACTATTCACACATGAAGTTGCTTATTTTTTGCTTACATGGTGGCTCACGCCTGTAATCCCAGCATTTTGGGAGGCTGAGGCAGGTGGATCTCCTGAGCTCAGGAGTTCGAGACCAGTCTGGGCAACATGGAGAAACACACTCTCTACAAAAAATGCAAAAAATTAGCCAGGCGTGGTGGTGTGTGCTTGTGGTCCCAGCTACTTGGGAGGCTGAGGTGGGAGAATCGCTTGAACCTGGGAGATTAAAGCTGCAGTGAGCCAAGATCATGCCACTACACTCCAGCCTGGGTGACAGAGGGAGACCCTGTCAAAAAAAAAAAAAAAAAAAAAAAGAAATTGCTTATTTTTGATTCTGGAAATGTTACCCCCCCAAAATCAGGGTTTGTTGGTCCGATGAATAACAAACCACGCTCCTTGAGAACGCAGGTGTGTGATCAATAGGAGTTTTATTACTTGGCACAAGGAAGAGGGGCACTGGGATTATTCTCCAAAGCAGTGTCTCCCAGAGGGAATGTGACAGGAGGGTTTTAAGGGGTAATGGAGACAGGAGGGACTGCGTCGCATGCCGAGGAGGGGTCCCAGTGGCACCAATGCAGTGAGTCCTCATGCCAGCACATAGGTCGCATGTGGTTGCTGCTGAAGCTGCTCTTCCCCTGGGGTGGAGACTATAGAATGGCCATGAGGAAAGTTCACCGAATTCATCTAAAAGTTGTTGGGGCCTGTCAGGAGCTGCTTTAACCTGCTGGGTGACCACGCAGGGTCTAGGAAGAAACAGACTGCAGGGCACGAGGCTGCAAAACAGGCTGATTGCTCAAGTTGATTAAATTCCTAGAATCCCCAGAGACCCTCCCTGTCTGCTTATGGAAATATTCTAGAAGACAGGGTGAATTTGTTCCAGATGGTATTCCCTCTGAAAGAATCTGTTAGCCTGGCAAAGAGTAGATGACAAGGTTGACTCAGGGTTACTCCGTTGTACCACCAGCTGCTTCTTGGCCTTACCACCCGATTCTAGAAAGAGAAGCAAAACTAGCTGGTAGTAAGACTGAGACGCCCACCTGTTTTCACATTTTCTCTAGTGGAAACTTGAAGTTGTTCCTTCTGCCTAAAAGGCTCCTCTCTCTCTTCTTTCAGTTCTCTGCCCAAGTACCTCCTTCTTCTTGACCACTTTTCCTAAAATATCACCTTTGGCCAGGTGTGGGAGCTTTCACCTCTAATTCCAGCACTTTGGGAGGCCAAGGTGAGAGGATCACTTGAGCTCAGGAGTTCGAGACCAGCCTGGGTGACATAGTGAGATTCTGTCTGTTTAAAAAAAAAAAAAATTAGCTGGGTGATGTGATGCATATCTGTGGTCCCAGCTACTTGGAAGGCTGAGGCTGGAGGATCCACTGAGGTTGGGAGGTTGAGGCTGCAGTGAGCCCTGATCATGTCACTGCACTTTAGCCTGGGTGACAGAGTGAGACCCTGTCTCCCAAAAACAAAACAAAAACAAAAAACACCTTTCTTCCTCCATCCCTTGATTTCTGGCTTAATCTTTTTCATTTTATTTGTACATGATCACAGGAGATTATTTAAGTTCCACACAGAATGGGCCTGGATGGTATTGTTTTTCATGGTGCCCACAAATGTGCTGGCAAAATGTCAGACGCTCAAAAACATACTGGGTGAACGATCTACACAATGAAGGGAAGGATGGTTGCCAAAGCACCCTGACAGCACCTCCCGCAGCCTCCACGGTGGAGAACCAGCTGTGTGCTCAAAGCCACACCCCTCCTTGGTGAGGGCGTGTGTCCAGATAAGAGCCAGATTGGCGAACGGGTAGAGCAGGGATGTGTTAAAGCAGTTTCTGCCTTACCTTCACAGAACTCACCGTCCTCCTGGCATCACTTGAGTAATCTAGAAAAGACTTCATCCATTCAATGGGGACTTATACTTCCTTTGGGGATTGGGAGGATTAAACATGAGTCTGGTAGGTCAGAGGGCTTGATACAAGACAGAAGTGCTTTGAGTGTGTTCTCTGTGGTGCAGTTGCTGGGCTGGTCAGTGGTAAGTTTAGGAAAAGTTTAGGATAAATTCTTGCCCACAGCAGCAACTCCTGAGACTTGCTGTGGCAGAGAATGACCCGCAGGGCAAACGTGGATCCCAGACTGATGCAGGACTCTCTTTCCATGCTCTCCTGAACCTTTTTTTTTTTTTTTTCTTTGAGACAGAGTCTCGCTCTGTCACCCAGGCTGGAGTGCAGTGGCACCATCTCGGTTCACTGCAAGCTCCGCCTCCCGGGTTCACGCCATTCTCCTGCCTCAGCCTCCCGAGTAGCTGGGACTACAGGCGCACGCCACCATGCCCGGCTAATTTTTTGTATTTTTAGTAGAGACGGGGTTTCACCATGTTAGCCAGGATGGTCTCGATTTCCTGACCTCGTGATGGGCCCACCTCGGCCTCCCAAAGTGCTGGGGTTACAGGCATGAGCCATCATGCCCGTTTTTTTTTTTTTTTTTTTTTTTTTTTTTTTTTAATTTAAGAGACAGTCTCGCTCTGTTGCCCAGGCTGGAATGCAGTGATGTGCTTTTAGTTCACTACTGCCTTGAACTCCTGGGCTCAAGTGATCCTGCTGCCTCAGCCTCCTAAGTAGCTAGGACTCTAGACATGTTGCCACTATGCCTGACTAACTTTTAAAAATTTTTTTGTAGACATGGGGTCTAGCTATGTTGCCCAGGCTGGTCTCGAACTCCTGGCCTCAAAGCATTCCTTCCACTTGGCCTCCCAAAGCACTGGGATTACAGGCTGTCTTGAATATTTCTATAGCAAAAAGGAGTTTGTATTTTTAAAGGAGGAGTTTTGGCTTCGTTCTCTTGATAGGGGAAAAGTAGAGTTTTAACTCCCAGCAACCGAATCCTAATCCTCAGGCAGGAAATGTTTTGCATATAAGGCAGTGGAGAATCATTGGGATGGGGAGAAAAGCAAAACACACAAAAGTTTTGTGTGTTTTTACCAAAGCTTCCCTGGAGATAGAATTATGATGCAGCCCAGACTCACCATTTGCCAGGAGCCCAGTACCTGTACGGTGTCTGCTAGGTGCTGACTTCTCAGGTCCCTAATTGCTGCCTTCGGAGGTGTTAGTGGAAAAGAGCCCTGTTGCACTTTCTCCCTTTTGGCTCTGTACCCTCGAGCAAGTCCCCAAGCGCATCTCGGTAGCAGGCACTCAAAGGTCTGAATATGAGCCACCAGTTGGGATTGAAATTTGAGTGAGACAGTCCCAGCGAAAGCCTTGCAACTCCAAGTGTGGTCCATGAGCCGGCAGCATTGGCATCTCCTGGAAGCCAGTTAGGAAATCTTTTCAGGGCCTCACTCCAGATCTACTGAATCAGAATCTGCATTTGAAAGAGATTCCAAAGTGATACCGCCTACACGTTAAAGCCTGGCTTCAGAAAGAGAGAAAGAAGTGATTCCAGTACCAAATGGCAAGGGAAGTGAATCTCTGTCATCCCTTCCACTCTAACAGGCAGCATGTGCTATTAAGTTAGCCTCACTATAGCTATTATCAGTGCTTGCTGAACTGAATGAATGTTCCTACCTCTGAACGGCAGGTTTTAAAGAAGAGATTCAGTTCGGTTAAAGGTACCCTTAAATCAACCACTTGGAATTGAAGCCAGCCCTGCTGGAGACCCAGTCCCCTTCATGGAACACATAGCTGCCTTCCTGTGATTCTAAACACCACTGCTACAAAGGAAAAGATTTCCAGTCTCACCTCAAGTGGAAACTGGTGCTTCTCGTTTTCTCAGCAATAGACTTGGCTTTGCACAGAAATGGCATGAACCTAAAACCAAAGCAATCAGGGACTTAAGTGGGGCCCGTTGGCTTTTTTTAGTAACCTTATGCTAAGAGGTGCAAAGATTTGAGTGCTAGATTTCAGACACAAGTGCCGAGGCAGCCAGGAAATTGTTAGTAATGAATGTTTAAACTCCCAAACGTTGTACTGAAGACAAAAGAGCTTTTGTGGCTATACTGAAACTATTGTTTTAAAATTTTATTTATAAATAAAAGATATATACATATGTGCTTTAATATGATTAACAGGTTCCATTTTGTACAAAATGTTAAACCTAGAGTCCTCTGCGTCCTGGATGAGGCGTCCAAAGGGTGGAATAGTACAGCATTAGGACCTTTGTTCTCCTCTTGGCTTCTGGAAGAGAAACTCTTGCATGCCCTCGACTTTCACCGCAAAAATAAGTGAGAAAAAAGATAAATCCCATTTATGCAATGATATGTAGCTATGAGTTAATCACGGTATTTCATTCCATGAAATCCATTAAGCTGCTGGCATTTGCATGGCTCTAAGTTTATTTTAAGAGGCTCATTCAAACATGGCCAGGAATATATTGGCCTCTTGAGAGTTTGCATGGCAAGGAGTTATACAGCAGGAAAAAGAAAAAAAACCCAATAATTATATTGATGCAAGATTCATCAGTATTTTAGAATATTGTCGTTTCAACATGTTAAATTGTTTCTGAGCACTGCTGATTTCAGCACTGTCCCTGGTCCACGTGACGCAAATGCCACCCTTTCCATATATTCTTCAGCAAAAATATATGAAAAGCCCGTCACTCCCTAAGAGGACCCTGATCCCTCTGGAGAGGAAAACTAAACTCTTTAAGAAGAAAACCAAACCCAACCTGAACTAATCGTCCAAGGAGTCCTGTTTGGTCCCACGAAAGGCAGATTTCCATCCACACCAGTGAGGGGCAAGTGTCCGGGTTCCAACTCGAAGCCAGGCGGGCCTGTGCGGGGGTGAGTCCTTTGCCACCCGGCGCCCCCCAGGCTCTACAAGCGTCTAGAGGTCGGAGTCGCAGGGCAGCGAGCTGTCGCAGGGGTGGGTGCTGCACGAGGGAGCGTCCTGGGACTCCCACCCCTCCCCGTCGAGGACGTCCACCGAGTTGGTGTAGGCCTTGGGCCGCGGCCGCGGCATGGGGAAGCCGACCTTGGGCTTGGGCTTGGGCTTGCGGTGCTGGGCAGGCGGCGGTCGGTGCTGGCCGTCGCTGTAGTACTTGATGGCGGGCGCCAGGTCGGGCTCGGGCCACTCCACTTGGATGGTGCTGACGCTGCTGCGGCGAGGCCCGGCGGAGGGTCCCTTGCGGCGGCGGCGACAACGCTCGTCGCACCAGGGCGCGAAGCTGAGCGCCAGCGAGAAGCCGCCCAGCAGCAGGAGGCAGCTGCCCAGGTAGCCCAGGACCAGGCTGTAGCTGACCTGCACCGTGACCGGGCTGGCCGGGGCGGGCAGCACGTCGCGGTCCCCCAAGAAGTGGTTGTACCAGGACACCGGGATGAGGCCGAGGAGGCCAGCGACGAAGAGCACGACGCCCGAGAGCCCTGCCAGCACGAAGTTGGGCTCGTCCTGCCAGCAGCGCACGCCCAGCGACGCCAGCAGAAGCCCCAGGACCGTGGCGGCCAGCGAGGTGACCATGAGTGCCCGCGCCACCAGCACGGGCTGGGCCTCGAAGTAGCCCCACTGGTCCGTCTGGCCGCACTCGCGCTCGCGGCTGCTCTGCTCGCGACACATGTCCCACAGGCCCTGGTACAACTCCACGTCCACTGGCTGGTTCAGGAAGCCCTTCACCAGCCGCCAGCCGGGCGCCAGGGTGCCGGTCAGGTTGAGCAGGAGCCCGCAGGGCGCCAACACCATGCCCAGCGTCATCACCACCGGCGTCCGCATCCCGGCCCGCCGCGCCGACGGCGCCCCTGCAGCCTGCCTTCCTTCTCCGCTGTCGCCTTCTCCGCCGTCGTCTTCTCCCTGCCGTGCCCCAGGCTCCGGGGACCCGAAGTCAGCGCGGACGCCCCGGGCTCCGGGTCGGGCTCCTGAGCCCTGATCGCTCCAGGGACGCTCTTTGTCTCCTGCACGGGGACCGTCCCCACTTAGGCTAGTTCCCTCCTGGCGTCCCGGCCGCTCCGCCCTCCTACTGGCCCTAATCGAAACCAGCCCGCGGGCGGGTCTGACCGAAACCGCGGGTCCGGGCGCGGGCGCCCAGGGGCGGCTGCCGCGGCCAAACCTGGCCCGGGAGGGAGGGACCCGAGGTGAGCGCAGGAAGCGGCGGGGCCACCTCGCCCGCGGCAGGTGAGATGGGGATCCGAGCGGCGGGGACACCCCACCTTGCAGCCGGGCGGCTGGGCCACGCCTGGCCTGGACTGCTCACGGCCGGAGCAAAGGTCGCCCCGCCCCTGGGTCCTCGCGCCGCCCCGCCGGGCCAGGCGGGCGGTGGGCGGGGAGGGAAAGAGGCGGCGCTGGCGGGACGCGGTGGCTGCGCAGCTTCCCTGCTGCTCAGCGGATCTCGGTTCCTAGAATTTGTTTCCGGTCCCTGCCCGTCGACCCTGCGCTTATAGCTTAGCCCTTTACTCCCAGAGGGTTCCAGATCGCCCCCTGGTTTGCTCTGCAACTTGCAGCCACTCGCAGAGAAGTGGGCGGTGCCGAGCGCTCCCGGGGATTGGAGGTGCGCTGGGTGAGTGTGCAGAAGCCCACCCAGTCCAGGAGCGTGTCCCAGAACGTTGCACCGGATTATTTCCTTAATAAAGGCTCCACACTCTGGATTAAATTCGTCTCTAAAGAATCTGTGCCAGTGTACTTCTGGGCAGAAGGGTTACACAAGGATTTTACTTTCCTTTTTCAGCCTTGTGAGACTTTCAAGGGGACTAGAAAGAGGGACCAGTGTTCCCGGATGTCCTGCTTAGCGTTTTTTGCAGGTTTATTTAATTTTACAGTGTACTGTGGCCTTTCTCGTCTGTAGGTTATTTTACAACTCTATAAATTATAGAAAGCCTGTAGTATTGCAAATGACTTTTGCCAACATCAAGGCTAATGAGTTCGTCCCAGTGGAATGATTATTGTCCAATGGATACTGACCAGTATGGCATTGATTTGTAAATTCATTTTAGCATTCCTGTTTGTCTGTATATGTGTGTCCTTTTGTTCTTTGCTTTTTTTTTTTCCTTTTTCTTTTATTTATTTATTTATTTATTTATTTATTTATTTATTTTAAACAGGGTTGGGGAGTTTCGCTGTGTTGCCCAGGCTGGTTGCAAACTCCTGGGCTCAGGTGAGTCTCCCGCCTCAGCCTCTGGAGTAGCTAGGACTGCAGGCAAGTGGCCAGCTTCTTTGGTTTTAACATCATACTGGTTTCCTTATTCAATAATGAGTTAAATAACCTCTTTCACACATATTCATTTTATATTTGTGTGAAAGTCACGATGTTTACATTTTTTCTAAAAATTATCCTTTAATAACACTTTTTTGTATTTTCTAGATTTTTACAATGAAAACGTATTGCCTTTATAATTGTTTAAAATTAAAACTATTTTTAAAATTCAAGTTAATTTAGCATTGGTTTGAAATAATTTTGAATATTCCAGAGTGGACAACACTAGGAATGACAGTGACTGCTTTTTTTAAAAGAATATTTTTAAATTAAAAAAAAAACCTGTGGTAACATATATGTAACATACAGTTGACCGTTGTAACCATCTTTAAGTGTACAGCTCATTGGTATGACATACATTCACATTGTTGTGATACCCTCACCACCATCCACTCCTGGGATTTTTTCCTCTTCCCAAACTGACACTGTACCCACTAAACACTAACTCTCCTTTCCTCCCTCCCTCACAGGCCCTGGTGATCACCATTCTACTTTTTTCTCTCTATAAATTTAACTACTTTAGGTACCTCATAGAACTGGAATCGGACCGTATTTGTCCTTTCGTGACTGGCTTATTTCACTGAGCTTAATGTCCTCCAGGTTCATCCATATTGTAGCATGTGTCAGAATGTCCTTCCTTTTGAAGGTTGAATGATATTCTATTGTGCATAAATACCACATTTTGTTTATCCAGTCTTCCATCCATAGACACTTAGATTGCTTTTACCTTTTGGCTATTGTGAATAATGCTGTTGCATCATTTATGTAATAGTGATATATACATCACTTTTAATTTTTTTTAATTAAAAAAATTTTTTTTGAGATGGAGTCTTGCTCTGCTGCCCAGCCTAGAGTGTGACGGCAAAATCTCGGCCCACTGCAACCTCTGGTTCCTGGGTTCAAGCAAGCAGTTCTCCTGCCTCAGCCTACCTAGTAGCTGGGATTATAGGCACCCACCACCATGCCCAGATAATTTTTGTATTTTTAGTAGAGACGGGATTTTACCTTGTTGCTCAGGCTGGTCTCGAACTCCTGACCTCAACTCATCTGCCAACCTTGGCTTCCCAAAGTGCTGAGATTACAGGTGTGAGCCACTGTGCCTGGCCTATGCATCATTTAAAATTTGTCTTGTTTCATTAACTGTGTGGTGATTAACTATCTAAAGCAGGAATCAGTCTGCCATCCCTCTCATACATGTCAGAAGGTATCATGTGTGACACTGCCACTTCATAAATGCTTCATGTGATTTGAATCCTCTTCCAACATAGTTTCGTTTTTGCTTAGATCTCTGTGGAATGAGTGAAGCCCAGGTGTTATTTACCTGTGGGGAGGAAGGGCATCCTGGGGGTTCTACCTCCTAAATCTGTCTTTCGTCCTTCCATGTCTCTTTCTTCTCTACTGCCTCTTCCCAGTACAGGCCATTCTCCCATCTTTCTCCTTAAGCTGCTAACTGGTCTCCTACACCGGGCTTTGTGGCTCCCTTTTTATTAGCCACACGAACCTCACAGCTGGCCTGCATCAACCCTTTACAAGACCATTCCCAGTCCCACCCAGCCCTGCATTCCAGCCCTGTCTCTCCCTCCCTGCCGCCTCATCTCCTCACATTATAACCCAAAGAAACTGGATTTCCCCCCACATTTTCCCCGAACATTGTGTGCCCTTTTGCTTCCAGACCTTTGCAAATGCCCTTCTCTTTTCCTAGTGCCCTGCCTATCACTTCCCCACTCCAGTGCATCCTTAGATCTTTGCTTAAGTGCCATTTTCTCTGGGAGGGTTTCCTCATCCCCTAGATGAAGTTAATTAATTTTTCCTTTCATATACTTCCGTGACACCCCTTCTGTCACACCACTTACCACAGTTCCTTAGTCCTTGAATCATTTTGTTTTCTAGCTGGTCTGGGAGTTCTCTGAGGGCAGGGACCACATAGATCTTGTTCTGTTCTGTCCTCCAAACACATCTTGGTGCCTGGGCCACCGCAGCCACTCAACAAATCAATATTATGTCTTTCTGCCCTGAGTTCTTCCACATAGTACCTACTGAATTTTCCAACAAATGACCGTCTGGCCAAAACAGATTGTGACATACATCTCAGTAAGCAGGTTGATTTGTTTGAATGTTTCTTTTTCCTTAGCATAGAAAACAATCTATCCCATACGAGTATGGGATAGCTCCAGATATTTACGACAAATAAGCGTAGGCCTGTGGGGCTCACTTTCTGCGACAATAGAGAAAGAAGTGACTGTGTTAAGCATAGCATCTGGGGATAGAGCTGACCTCTGTTCCCTGGCCTTCTGAGTTCATCTGAAGTCTGAGGGAGAAATAAAGCATGAGTCACTCTGTGGTAGGAATGAATGAATGATTGCTGACATTAGGACCTGGCTGTGTAAGTGGATACCCAGGTTCTACCACAGATTTCTTTTCTGAAGAAGGGCCCGGTAGTAATGCAAGAATCTGTTCACTATGCTGCAGCTTTTGAAATGAATAGTGAGCCCCCAGCAGTGAATTCTGAAGGGACTGATGCTGAGTCCCCTGTTTGCCTGCACTCTAGGCCTCTGCTACCACCTCGCACAAAGGTGCAACCTGCAACAGCTTCATCTTGGAAAGTCACATTACCAACTTTGGCTAGGACAGAGGGTCCACTAGATCATCAGTCCTCAAACTCTTTGGCACCAGGGACAGGTTTCATGGAAGGTAATTTTTCCATGGGGTTGTGGGGGTAAAGATGGTTTCGGGATGAAACTGTTCCATCTTGGATGATCAGGCAACCTAGATCCCTCGCATGTGCGGGTTACAATGGGGTTCACACTCCCATGAGAATCTAAAGCCACCACTGATCTGACAGGAGGTGGAGCTCAGGCAGTAATGCTTGCTCGCCCATGGCTCATCTCCTACTGTGTGGCCCAGTTCCTGACAGGCCACAGACTGGTACTGGTTGGTGGCCCAGGGGTTGGGGACCCCTGCACTAGATCACTTTGCCATAATAAGATGTCCTCAGATTCCCTCTGCCAGGTCTTTATTTTACTTTCTCCAAAGGCTATTTTCTCTTTTTCTTCCTGGAACTCTGAACACCCTTTCCTGTGTTTGCTAAGCGATAAGACAATTTTGTTCACAATGTTATACTATGAGAATTCTGAATAGGAGTGAGAAATGAACTCCACTGATAATCATCCTATGGTAAATCTACTTCAGTGAGTTATAGAATAAAAATTAGACTATGAAAAAACTTAAACTATGATCTTTATTTTTAAATAGCATTAAAACAGCCTGAATTGAACAAAGCCCCTTCAATATTGTATTAGTTTTTCTTTTTGGCCAGTAGTCCAACAGCTGTTTTACCAACTGTGAGTGCCTAATATTGTAGAAAATAAATCAATAACTTTTCACATCGAGTGTGAAATAGCCCTCTTGTTAGCTCAGTATCACTTCCCTCTAATTTGTTCTGTTTATAGAATTTATCACTGCCACGTGTTTTCTAATATGTGTGTACTGACTTATCTATATTGTTTCCTACACCGCATTGTAAGTTTCAAAGACTAGAGATGTTGCTTGTGGCTATATCTCAGCTGCTGGAATAGTGCCTAGCTCTTAGTGGTACTCAGTACAAATCTATTAAATAAATGAAAGAATTTTTGTAAAGTTCCTGCATAGTAACACAATAGAAGAATGTAGCATACATCGCTTTTTAAAAAATTATAGTAACATCCACATAAAGTTTACCATCTTAAACATGTTACATGTACAGGTCACCTAGGTAAAGGTCAGTAGTCTTAGGTTCATTCACCTTGTTGTGCAACCAACTGGCAGAACTCTTTCCATTTTGCACGACTGGAATTCTATCCCCATTCATCAATTCTCCATCCTTGCTATCCCCCAAGCCCCTAGCAATCACCCCTCTATTTCCTGTCACTCTGAATTTGACTACTCTAGATAGCTTATGTAAATGGATTCATACAATATTTGTTATCTTGTGACTGGCTTATTTCACTTAGCATAATGCGCTCGAGATTCATCTATGTTGTAGCATATGTCAGAATTTCCTTCTTATTATGGCAAAAAATAATATCCTATTGTCGATAAATTCCAGATTTTGTTTATCCAGTCATCCATCAGTGAACCCTTGGGTTGCTTCTACCTTTTTTGGTTATTGTGAATGCTGCTGTGATGTATACATTTTTTTTTTTTTTTTTTTTTGAGATGGAATCTCACTCACTGTAGTGATCTTGGCTCACTACAACTTCTGCCTCTCGGGTTCAAGCGATTCTCCTGCCTCAGCCTCCTGAGTAGCTGGGATTATAGGTGCACACCACCATGCCTGGCTAATTTTTGTATTTTTGGTAGAGACAGGGTTTTGCCGTGTTGGCCAGGCTGGGTTCAAACTCCTGAGCTCAAGTGATCTGCCTGCCTCGGCCTCCCAAACTGCTGGGATTACACACGTGAGAGTATACAACATTTTGAATTTGTCTTATTTCATTTCTTGTGTGGCGACTTTAGATGGCCACTAAAACAGGAATCAACTTGCCACCCTCTCACACAAATCAGAAGGCATCCTGTGATACTGTGCCACTATTTCAAAAAATATGCTTAAGTTTTATCTTCTAGTGGCTTCAAACCCTTCTTGGCGTACAGTCACAGTGGCCTCCCTTGACAAGAGGGAAATGCTGGGTGGGAGTTGGGGTGGGAGTTGCTGTTCTAGGAATCAGCAGCTGCCTCTGTCTTGCCATGCTTGCTTCTCTTCAACCCTGGCCCTTCCTGTCTACTGCAGGGCAAACATATTTACCATGCCATGGACAAAATTCATTGAGGTCTTTGAGATAATTTTCAGTTTCTGTTGTTATTTATTTATTTATTTTTATTCACAAGGGGTTTGTTTCATTTTTGGCAAAATTTATCTTTTGAGAAAACCACATGGCCACTGGGCAAAGTCCTAAATGTAAAAACCGAGTACTACACTGATGGTAACCCTTTCCACGTTAATGTACAGACCCAATCCAATCCCAATAAAGTGTCAGACAGGAACTGGACAGGTGATTTCAAAGTTCATTCAAAAAAAAAATAAATGAATGAAACACATCAAGAAACTTTTAAATAGAGCAGTTATGAAAGGGTCTGCACACTCCAGCTGTTAAATGTAGTTTAAAGCTATAATAACTTAAATTCTATGTTAGCACTAGAATATGAAGGTAGATCAATAAAAATATCATCAATTGAAGCAAAAAAGTAGACCTTAGTTATAAATTTATAATATGAGAAAAGTGGGATTTCAAATCATAGAGAAAGGCATGAAAACTCAATAGTATTGTGGCAATTGTTTAGCTTTGGAAGAAGAAAAAAACCTAAGTTCATACATATACATTACAAAATATGTAAAAACAAAGTCTAGGTGGACTACCTAGTTACACGTAAAAACTAATACTGGCCGGGCGCGATGGCTCATGCCTGTAATTTAGCACTCTGGGAGGCCGAGGCAGGTGGATCGCTTGAGGTCAGGAGTTCAAGACCAGCCTGGCCAACATGGTGAAACCCCATCTCTACTAAAAATACAAAAATTAGCCAGGCTTGGTTGCGAGTGCCTATAATCCCAGCTACTCAGAAGGATGAAGCAGGAGAATTGCTTGAACATGGGGGTTGGAGGTTGCGGTGAGCCGAGATCGTGCCACTTCACTCCAGCCTGGGCAAAAGAGCGAAACTCCGTCTCAAAAAACAAAAACAAAACAAAAACAAAAACAAAACAAAACAAAAAACCACGAACAAAACACAACGAGACAAAAAACTAATAATAAAAGAATTAGAAGGAAGTGGAGGTGGAGGTAAAGCTACAGGAGTGAAAAGGTTTTCTAAGCAAAACATCCAAGATGGCAATGATGGAGAAAAAGGTTGATAGATTTAGCTACGTAAGAGTTTAAAATATTTTGATTTCAACATGCCTCACACAAAATTAAGACAAATCTTTATTAGTTTACGTGGCGGAAAAGAAGTTGATGTTTCATCTGTCTGGCAAATCAACAGGAAATCTTAGTATTGCGGTGAAAATTGGGTGAAGAATATGCACAGAGAAAAAGAAAATAGACATCAACTAGTCAAGTTCCAGGGTGATGAATTAAATGACCCTTTTATTCACAAAAATGCCAAATAGAACAAAGAGAAACCATTTTTTTTCTTCTTAGATTGAAATCATGTAGGGGGAAAAATACTACCCAAATTTGGCCAGAGTTGTGGAAAAAAATCACTACTAGAGGTAAAGTAAATAAACATTTATTTCAGACATGATGTTGAAATTTGTTTTTAAAAATCTTAAATATGAACCTTTATTTTGGTTTCTGAATTAACTTTCTAGGTGTTTGCTTCAAGGAAATAAACAGAGTATGTAGAAAGATTTAGTATAAAGATATCCACTAGAGTACCTTTGTTGTTGTTGTTGAGATGGAGTCTCGCTCTTTTGCCAGGCTGGAGTACAGTGGCGTGATCTCTCCTCACTGAAACCTCCACCTCCAGGGTTCCAGCGATTCTCCTGCCTCAGCCTCCCCAGCAGCTGGGACTACAGGTGTGCCCCACCACAACCAGCTAATTTTTTTGTATTTTTAGTAGAGACAGGTTTTCACAGTGTTGACCAGGATGGTCTCGATCTCTTGACCTCGTGATCCACCCACCTCAGCCTCCCAAAGTGCTGGGATTACAGGTGTGAGCTGCCACGCCCAGCCTAGAGTACCCTTTATAATAAGCTGATGATAAAGTAGTGGGGCAGTATGAAACCAATTAAATCTTAAAAAGAATATCTGTGTATACAAAAATACTAGAAGGAACAATGGGATGTACAATTGATTTTTATTTTGTTTGAGATTTTACACATTGTATTTCTCTAGAATTTTAAACATATGAAAAAGATTATTTTAAAAAATCATGATCAGTTAAGTGTCTCCGTTTTTCTAATTTTGAAGTAAAATCTCACATTCCTATGACACACATTTTTTCTCCCATAATTGTGAATGTGCCATAACTAGCTCTAGTCTTTTATGGCCGTAACTAGCTCTAGTCTTATGTGAACAGAGCTAAATTCTATTTTGATACAATAACAGTCAGGCCATTCACAGAAATACATGCAGAATAAATGATGTGCACATATTCCAGGAAAAAATGGAGTGGTATATTTCCACATTTGTAAGTATTTTTTATGTTTAAACATGATATAGAAACAGTCTTTACATGGAAACAAATAGCAATGATGAAATTCAACATACAAATCAGTCATAACAAAATTCATATATGGCATTGACTTTGAACTTCAAGAATATGTTCAGCAAATACGCTGTATACTGGTAAAGAAAAAAACCAGACAGCCTGATTTTTCATCTTTATATTATTTCTTCTTTCCAAAGGTCATTTTAAATATTATCATATTAATACTGGTGAGCATAGCATCCTTAGAAGTATTAACAAACATATTTTCTTATTTTTTTCCTGGAACTCTGAATACCCTTTCTTTCCTGTGGTCGCTAAGCAAATAAGGCAACTCTATGAATGGTCTAATTTTATGTGTACAATATTATGCTATTGGTATTCTGAACTTATGTCCAAAATATGTTGAACCTAGTAACGCAGGGAAACATTGTATATTTCTAGTTCATAAACTTCAGTTACAATGTTTAGGCCAGGCACGGTGGCTCACGCCTGTAATCCCAGCACTTTGGGGTGCTGAGGCAGGTGGGTCACCTGAGGTCAGGAGTTTGAGACTAGTCTGGCCAACATGGCAAAACCATGTCTCTACTAAAAATACAAAAAAATTAGCCGGGCATGGTTGGTGCATCCCTGTAGTCCCAGCTACATGGGAGGCTGAGGCACCAGAATCATTTGAACCTGGGAGGCAGAGGTTGCAGTGAGCCGAGATCGCACCACTGCACTCCAGCCTGGGTGACAAGAGCGAAACTCTGTCTCCAAAATAACAATAGTAGTAATAATGACAAATAATTAAAAGAAAGTTTAAATTATATAAAAGGGAAAATTTTAGCCGACAGATGTCAAATAAAACTGTGGTGGTTCGTAAGAGAAGTATTGCCCCATCCCATAGGACTTACTGTTTTGGAGAAAGTAAAAACTAATTAATTTAACAAGCCATTTTGACTGATGAATGCCCTGGACTTGGGAAAGAAAAAGGAGTATAAAAGCAAGTGTCTCCTTCCATATTTTCAGGGCATAATAGCCTCCCCTTCCCTGAACAGTAATACATTGTCATAATCTGAGTAGCAGGACGGACATGTGATTTTTCACCAGTCATTGCTAAGAGTGGAACGCACTGTAAACCTGCACTGGAAAGTTCTTTATCCTGTCTCACTGCTGCTCTCAGTTATGTTTTACCCAGACAGAAATGGGATAAATTCCACTGAAACAGCTACAATATGAGAAATAGAGGAGTTAATCATTATTAACATTGATTAATACATACTGATTTCAAAAGTACACCATATAGACACATGCAGAAATGCATATTGCTTGCTTTATGGTTGATGTGAGAATTGTTTAAAGTCTAGTAAAGTGAATGTCGTAAAATAGAGACTTTCTAAGCATATGCTTTTGAGAAAGACCATTTTGTCATCAGCTTAGCTTTCTCTGCCACCTCTACCTTGCAGATGCCTTTCAAAACGGAACCTGTTAAACTTACCAAACTTGTCATTTGTTTGCAAAGCTTGATGCCATGGGTTAGGCATTTTATCGGTTTTCAGTTCATTTGGATCAATAACAACATATAATGTTAACAATTGGGCAGGTATACTTTCATTCCTGACCCTGTTACGTGTCACAGAGACCTGGGAAAAATGCCCAGCGATAGGGAACTGGGCACACCTACTATAGTATGTGCAAATAAGCCAACGTTGAGGCTGGAAGGACATTAGAGAGCATGTACTCTAACGTCTTACTTTCTTAATGTAGGTACCATGGTGCAGGCAGAAGTGACTTTCGAACTGATGATGGGAAGGTAATTAGCACCAACTCTGGGAGCCTTTTTTCTTCAATAGTAAGATGAAAGCCAGGTGTGGTAGCTCACACCTGTAATCCCAGCACTTTGGGAAGCCAAGATGGGAGGATCCCTTCAGCCTAAGAGTTGGAGACCAGCCTAGGCAAAGAAGTGAGAAGCTGTATCTATCAAAAATAAAAAAAAAATAGCTGGGTCTGATGTTGGGCGCCTGTAGTCTCAGCTACTTGTGAGGCTGAGAAAGGAGGATTGCTTGAGCCCAAAAGGCCAAGGCTGCAGTGAGCTGAGGTGGCGCCACTGTGTGCCAGCCTGGGTAACAGAGCAAGACCGTGTCTCAAAAAAAAAAAAAAAAAAAAGTAAAATGAAATGGTTTCTACTCAGTAGGATTTCCATAAGGATGGGTGAGAAAACCTTTATAAAATACATAACATATAAAAATCATTTTTTTTTTGTGAGGTGGAGTCTTGCTCTGTCACCCAGGCTGGAGTGCAGTGGCGTGATCTCGGATCACTGCAACCTCCGCCTCCCGGGTTCAAGTGATTCTCCTGCCTCAGCCTCCTGAGTAGCTGGAACTATAGTCATACGCCACCACGCCCGATTAATTTTTTGTATTTTATTAGAGATGGGGTTTCACCATGTTGGCCAGGATGGTCTTGATCTCCTGACCTCGTGATCTGCTCGCCTTGGCCTCCCAAAATGTTGGGACTACAGATGTGAGCCACTACACCCGGCCAAAAATGATATTTTTTGTTAATACTAACAGAGCTGGATTAATCTATATTTGGGTAATATTGAGTTTCAACCTCCTTATACTCATCATCTAGTGTTTCCGAAATTTATAATAAAAATGGGAACCTACAAGAGTATAGCAGAGAGCAGTACATTTGTATTGATGACATTGTTAGTGATGTGAGAAGGCAATATTTAGGTATATCTAGCTTTCTGTACCTATGGAATATAAGCTAAAGAGTCAACATACATTGCAACATTTTTATTTGAGGCAGAGTCTCGCTCTGTCGCCTAGGTTGGAATGCAATGGCGCCATCTCAGCTCACTGCAACCTTCTCCCAAGTTCAAGTGGTTCTCATGCCTCAGCCTCCTGAGTAGCTGGGATGAGAGGCGTGCGCCACCACACCTGGCTAATTATTGTATTTTTAGTAGAGATGGGGTTTCACCATCTTGGCCAGGTTGGTCTTGAACTCCTGGCCTCAAGTCATCTCCCACCTCGGCCTCCCAAAGTGCTGGGATTATAGGCATAAGCCACTGTGCCAAGCCAAAAATATTTCTCTCATTGACATTATAATTGAATATTTCTGAAAGTAGAATTTTTTCATTTTAATTTCACTTAGGTAATTTAGAGATGGGATCTTGCTATGTTGCCCTGGCTAGCCTCAAACTCCTGGGCTCAAGGGATTTTTCCACCTCCACTTCCTGAGTAGCTAGGACTGCAGGTGCATGCTACTGCACCCAGAAGAATATTTATATGTAACTGGACGATTTGAATGTGAAATTTCAAACTGGAATGATAAAATGAAGCTGTGAAAAGGATACAAATTGCAGTGGGTAGAATGGGGAAGATAGAAAATCAAAAGAAAGCAAACACATTAGGAATTGGCAGCCTTCTTTAAGAAACCTACAGTGGCCAGTCAACGCCCTGTTCTGTTATCAGCCCCCAGCCACATGTTATTTGTGTTTTGATTTAAATAGGTTTTAAATCTCTTAGAAAATTGATTCTATTAGAGAGTAATTCATGAACAGTAAATTCTAGTGATGATGTTGCTTGGTTGCCAACTCTGCTCTAAATACCAGATTTAATGAATTTGAAGATATGTGCTCCCTCTCTTGCCTGGGGAATACCCGCTGATCCCATTGGGAGGAGGTGGGCTGGATTTAGAGGATGTGTCAGCTGAAAGATACGTGGGAGAGGTAATGACCTGTGTCACCTGTTAGTCACATTACCTGTGAAAAGTTACTTATTGTGCAGGCAATAAAAGTTACCTCATGGAGGCAAGAGTGCCTATCTGTCACTGGTTGGCAAAGAAGGAAGTTGCTTGAGAGAAACCCATAAAGTATGTGAATTTTGAACTGCATGATAAGGAAGATAGAAAGTAAGGGAGAAGACATTGGTAAGAAATGACATACCAGTGACAGGTTTGTCTAGTTTAAAATAAAATTGCAAGAGACTCTAGAGAAGTTGGCAATCAGTTTCACTAATTAAATTGAGGATGGCCAGTGCTCACCATACACATAGCATGATTTCCATCTTAAAGACATAGAGCATTGAGTTGGTTGGCCTGTGCTGCATAAAAATTATATCCAAATTTTTGTGACAAAGCAACAACGGTTTCTTATTTCTTTCCATTCTCTGGCTGGGCTGGGTAACACTTCTGCTGGTCTTGCCTGGGGTTAGTCATGGGGCTGATGTCAGCTGGGATCTGGGCTTGGCTGGAAGAAATGTGTGAGACAGCATGGCCTGTCTTTCTTTATGGTCTCTCATCCTCTAAAAGGCTGGCCTGGCTGCTTCGCTTGGCGGTTCAGGGTTCCAGCAGCAAGAGAGGGCAACCCTAATACACAAACACTTTTTAACCCTCTGATTGCATTTGCTAAGTCACGTGGTCAAACCCAGAGAAGAGGGGATTATCTAGGGCATGTATAGAGAGAGGTGAGAACAAAGCCAGGTCACAACTCTGACTATGGATCACAAGTACGTTCAACTATCTCCATTTTATTTTATTTTATTTGAGACAGTCTTGCTTGGTTGCCCAGACCGGGTACCATGGCACAGCTCACTGCAACCTCTGCCTCTGGGGTTCAAGCAATTCTTGTGCCTCAGTCTCCCGTGTAGCTGGGGCTACAGGCATATGCCACCACGCCACCATGCTCAGCTAATTTTTTGCATTTTTAGTAGAGAAGGGGTTTCACCATGTTGGCCAGGCTGGTGTTGAAGTCCTGGCCTCAAGCGATCCACCCGTCTTGGCCTCCCAAAGTGTTGGGATTACAGGCGTTAGCCAACGTCCCTGGTCAACTATCTTTAAACAGGAATATCAAAATATCTTAGGAATATGTACAACCAAAGAGTAGAATTCCTCTAGATCAGTGATGTCCAATAGAGATACATGTAGTTATGTATGTAATATAATTTAAAATTTTCTAGTAGTGAGATTAAAAAAGGTAAAAAAAGAAATTTTCATATGATATTTTATTTAATCCAATATATCTAAAATGGCTTCATTTCAACATGTACTCAATATTAAAATTATTGGTGAGAGATCTACATTCTTTTTTTGGTGCTAAGCCTTCAAAGTCTGTGTGTTCTACACTGTGTCACACTTCAATTCAAGCTCACCATATTCAGAGTGTTCAGTAGCATCAGGTGGCATATTGTGATTGGGTTGGACAGCACAGAACTAGATGCTAACAGCTGGGGAAGAGGAAGAAGTGGAACTGGAAGGCTGAAATCCATTGACAGTCTGTATGCAGAATAGTCATCTCTTGACAGCTGAGGGTGGGAGGCCGGAGAGGGAGGATCTGTATAAAAAACAGAATGAATGCTCGGTAGTGAGAAATCTATTCATATAACCCGTTATATTAATTAAAAAATACTAACAGATTCTTTTTGTAAAATTTAAAATCAATTTTTAAACTTTTATTTAGGTTCAGGGATACACTTGGAGGTTTTTATGTGTGTAAATTGCATGTCACGGGGGTTTGGTGTACAGGTTATTTAATCACCCGGTTAATAAGCATAGTACCTGATAGACAGTTTTTCGATCCTCTAAGATTCTATTTTGTTAACATTCAACATGAACGACTAATTAAAACAACAACAACAACAACAACAACAAAAACCCGTGGTGAAATAAAATAGAGGGATATTTCCCTCAGTGGTAAAGAATATTTACTTAAATCAATGATCAACTTTATAAGTGGTTTAATAGCAGAAGCATTCCCAGCAAGTTCAGAACTATTTTTTAAGCATTGAGCTGGAAGGGCTAACCAATTAAATTAGATAAGGGCCTACATTTAAGGGTAAAAATATTGACAGGAAGAGGCAAAATAGAAAAAAGATCCCATTTACAATGGTGGTGACAAGAAAATTAATAGGATTTCAATGAAGTCGTAGTAGATTAAAAATGACTACAAATTATTTGCCACTTTGCTTAGAAAGAGGCTGAATCTAATTCACCCCTCAATGACTAGGCTTGGCCACGTGACTTGCCTCGGTCAATGGGACACCGGCAAGTATGGCGTAGCAGAGGCTTGATAGTTGCTCACGCATTGGAGCTTGTCCAAGTAAAAAAGCTAGTCTAGTGCGTGGAGGATGAAAGGAGGCTTGGAAGAGGACCAAGGTACCCAGCTGCCAGCTCGATCCAAGGCTCCTGACAAGTCCATCTTGGTCCCTGCACTGCAGCCAGCTGAATGTAGTCTCATGAATGAGCCCAGACAAGAACATCAAATGATAGAGAAATGATATATAGTCAATCATTAACTTTGGGGATAGACTGTCATGCAGCAATAATTAACTGATACAGAAGAAAACTGCTTTAGAATCCCGGAGTTGTAGTTATTTTGGAAATCATCTGATGGCCTTGCCTTACAACAAAGGGATACTGGAAACTGGGAGTAGACAGTTTAAGAGAGGGGATGACATGGGCAGGTTTAAGGCCAGCAATTTCATCTCCATTTATGCATTAATTTAGTAATTCTTTCATCAAGCATTCTTTGAATGCTCACTGAGCTTGGTGCTCAGAAAAATGGAACAGGCTGAGTTCAGAGGGAGAGACAGGCATAGGAGGAAACAGCCATGATATCAAGAGATAAACAGTATAATAAAAGTATATGCAGAGGGCTGTTTCCAGGGACATGGGGCCAAAGTGGGAGGGTCACTGAAGTGACATTTGGACTGGGTCATAAAGGATCAATAAGATTTTATGAGTCAGAGAAGGTTGGGGAAGGACATTTCAGGCAGAGACAGGAGTAGCAAAGGCCCAGAAATGTCTTAGTGTAAACCAAATCAAGGAAATGGTAGGGGGTATGGACCAGTCTCTAGCCAGGTGATAAAAGGACATGATTTAATTTGACTTTTGTCCTTGCAGACCTCATTCTGCAAATCCATTGTGGATTGCCTTCCAAGGAATCTTGATTTCAGCTAACTCTTCACCACCCTTTTTGCAACAGGTTTCAGCTAGGACCTACAAAGTGAAAAGGACACCTCCTATAATATTTAGCTAGACGGTTCAGAATTTATACCTTGTCTCGTCTTTGCTGTTCTGTCTTTAACATAATGTAAGTTTCACTGCTGATTCATTTTATCTTAATAGACAGGTAAGCATAATTTTGCACATGACATTTGGAGATGATCTGCACTTGGAAAATGAACTGATTTGTTTTCTTCCCTGCAGAACATGGGAAAGGAGAACTCTAATAGGTTACAACCAGTTTACTTCACCAGCTCCCCCTTTGGCATTGAAATAAGCGTTTTGACTTCTTTGTAATATACCTGAATATCATTTATTAGAATTTGACACAAAGACAAGTGTTCTTCATTGTTTGTATCTGTAACTAGGGAAATATGTTTTCTGAGAGTTTTAACATTCCAATCCATCATCTAGCTAATCCTTTTAATCCCTGTAGATAAGTAAATAGAAAAAAATGTATCAATCATTATTTTTATTTTTACTAGCCCACATCCTCATTCAGAGGTTGCACTGTTGATGATATTAAGGCAATCATGTTCTTTTTTAAACACCTGACTCATTGCTTGTTTCTAGTTAATATGGAAATAAATGGCGCTCTCTCTCTCTCTCTTTTTAATAAAAGGCTGGCTTGTGCTGTTCCAGTGCTTACAGTGAAACTGAATGTCAAGTGAAGCCATCTGAAAATAAAAAGGGACCAGAAATCATCTTGTCTCTTTATTTTGTGACATGTTTCATTCTTCTCTTTCCAGCAACTTTAAAAAATTCATTCAGTTTGCTTCCATTTCTGTTATTTTAAAAATATGTCCTCTTGTTTCTTTGATTTTCTTAAGTAGCATAAGCCACTCCTGCCTGTAGACACACACACTCATTCTGCCTTGTTGTGCTGGGCCGTCAGCAGGAACCACTCTTAACTCTAGCTCCATGTGAGCTCTCTTCCAGGAAGTAATAGAGCTGGGGAGCTGGTACTTGAAGGATGAGACTTCACCAGGCAGTTAAAGGAGAAAAGCGATCCAGGCAGAGGAAACAGTGGGAGCTAAAACCTGGAAGAGTAACTCCTGAGGGTCATGAAGTTTGTCCTACTATAAATGTACAAATGTGTGTGTGTGATCTCACCATCGCCATCACTGTGACGCTGCTGAGGCAGGTTCAGAAAAAACTTGAATGTCACGCTGGAGGGTGTGGTCTTTATTCTGCAGGTGAGAGAACTATGAGTGGTTTTAAAGCCAGGTAATGCCATGCCCTGATTTGGTTTTGAGCCATCACTCTGTAGCAGAACAGAGAGAAAGGGGGGCTGGTTAGGAGGCTATTTAATTGCGGTGTATCACGTGACAGATGTTAGACTTGGAAGTCAGTATTCCAGAAGAGAAGAGCAAAAGTAATGTGGTACTGGGGGTGGTGGTTAGCCTGGGGACTGGGTGCATGGCGAAAGCCAAGTTTCACAGCAAGACAGGGAAAAGAAGGTGTGTGTGAATGGCGAGGCCAGGGACAGGGACGTGGGAGGGGAGGAATTTGGCTTTGGATATTTAGAAAGTTCAGGGAGGAAGATTGCATAGATGACTCTGAGATCTGATAATGGATCAAGGTGAAGTCTGATGCCTTTTGTTTGCTTGCTCGGTTGCCAGCATTTTTAGACACTTGTTTATCTGTTTGGGTGTTGTCTCTTTCCACCTGCAGCTCCCTAGATGTTTACGGTCACTTTTCATACATATATATATATATATATATATATTTTTTTTTTTTTTTTGCGACGGAGTCTTGCTTTGTTGCCCAGGCCGGAGTGCAGTGGCATGATCTCGATTCACTGCAACCTCTGCCTCCAAGGTTCAAATGATTCTCCTGCCTCAGCCTCCTGAGTAGCTGAGATTATAGGCACATGCCACCACACCCAGCCAATTTCTGTAGTAAAGACGGAGTTTCACCATGTTGGCCAGGCTGGTCTTGAACTCCTGACCTCAGGTGATCCTCCTACCTCAGCCTCCCAAAATTCTCAAATTACAGGCATGAGCCACCATGCCTGGCCAACTTTTCATTTATAACAATGAAAGTTTCCCATTGCCTTTTTTTTTTCTTTTTGCTGAAATGTACTCTTCTAGCATTTAAAGTCAAAGTGAATACAATGTCAGGTTAACCCACTTGAAAATAAAAGCAACCAACTGCCATAACAAGACTTAAAAAATAATATAGAGCTGCTGCTTTTCCTCTCTCTCATGTTTTATTTTTACCCTTATGATTTTCTCATAATCACTTTGATTTTTTTCTTCCAATATTCTTTTCCCATCTTCCCACTTAGAAGGAAGCAGTAGATATTGGGGCATTTTTCCTGGTCATTTTCAGAGCATTGGTTCTGCACTGCAGGGTTAGTTACCTACCACCTACCTAGGAGATGGGGGAAGTTACCTCCCCCTCTCTCAAGCTGTCTCGGGGAAATAATTAGAAACTCAGATTAAAATTTTCATTCCCATAGCTTGAGCTGTGAAACAACAAGATACATGACAATATTCTTGGAATATCCTTACTCATAAATGTCAGAAAATGCCTTCCTTAAAAAATAGAAATGTAAAAATTTCTTCTTTTTATTGCAACACTTACCTATGGGCATGTAATAGCCCTCACTGAATAGTTGTTGAATGAATTAAAATATAAATTATTCACTTTTTTAAATTATTATTATTTTTGAGATGTAGTCTCACTCTGTCACCCAGGCTGGAGTGCAGCGGCACAATCTCAGCTCACTGCAACCTCCCAGGCTGGAGTGCAGTGGCGTGATATCGGCTCACTGCAACCTCCGCCTCCCGGGTTCAAGCGATTCTCCTGCTTCAGCCTCCCGAGTAGCTGGGACTACAGGCACATGCCACCATGCCCAGCAAATTTTTTACTTTTAGTAGACACGGGGTTTCACCATGTTGGTCAGGCTGGTCTCAAACTCCTGACCTCAGGTGGTCCGCCTGCCTTGGCCTCCCAAAGTGCTGGGATTACAGGAGTGAGCCACTGTGCCCGGCCTAAAATCTAAATTATTAAAAAAAGGTTTATGAACTCTACGAATGACTTCTCCTTTTTATTACACAGCACCACTGTTGTAACAAAATGATGTTAGTTTTAATCTCCAAACCAGTTCCGTAAAATGCTAAAAACTCATGATGATTCAGAGACATGTTGACTGTCATCTGCCACCAAATCACCATTTAAAAAGATAAAGAGTCCTATATTAGATAGAAAGAGGCCTCATATAGAGTATTTCATCCCCCAAAGCAGGTGCTCATCAAAATAGATTCTAATAATTATGGACTCTAATTCAGTGGATGATAGGCTTATGTTACAGCAATCAAAGTGCCTTTTTTCAATTAGTGCATGTCAAATAGAATAGGAAGGTTTGGGCTTCTCTGTAATGACATGGTTATTACCGATTTCTTAGAGTGTTGCAGTAATGGGCCGAGCGTGGTGGTTCACGCCTGTAATCCCAGAACTTTGGGAGGCCGTGGCTGGTGGATCACGTGAGGTCAGGAGTTTGAGACCAGCCTGGCCAACATGGTGAAACCCCATCTCTACTAAAAATACAAAAATTAGCCAGGCGTAGTGGTGCACACCTGTAATCTCAGCTGCTTGGGAGGCTGAAGTGGGATAAGTGCTTGAACCCAGGAGGCAGAAGTTGTAGTGAGCCAAGATTGCGCCACTGCACTCCAACCTGGGCAACAGGGCAAGACTCTCTCTCAAAAATAAAAAAATAAGTAAATAAATAAATAAATAAAAAGGACGTTGCAGTAATGTAATGTTTTCCAACATTATTTTAACGAGGTTCAGCTGAATCAAGTTACCTATCCATGGTTTGGCGTCAAATCAACACACCTGGGGCAGGTTCTAAATTTGTCTACATTATTTTTCTTTACGGAACTTTCCAAACTCTTGCTAGGCCACAACATGAACCTGACAATTGTTTCTTTCTGAGCGAAGATCCTGTCAGACAAGTGAGCCATTGAGACTGGAACCCGCTGTGGGTTTGTGTGTTGTATGTTGCAAAAGGCAGGGTCCTTTTTGCATAACGGATCCTCCTGAGACTGAGGCTGGACTTGAGTTTGTTAGTCACAATTTTCATTTCCGTAATGAAAAACCACTTTCTTAAAGACAACTTTATTAATCAGAGAGTGGAATTTCAGATTATAGAGACAACTAAAGATTTGGATGAATTTTAGCATCCATTCTGTCTATAGTAAAATGAAGATGCTGTACCTTCCATATACCATTTCCTGGGTGCCAGGCATTGTGCATAGTACTTAGCTCACATCAACTCATCCTATTCTTTTGCAACGGGGTGTGAAATGTGACTTTTCCTGTGCCCTCCTTGTGTTTGGCAGAGGCTTCAAAGCTCAACCACAGCAGGTGCCAGACCATCTCTGCAGAACCAGTTTGGCCACCATCACTCATCATGCTCCTCCAGGCTCCATAAGAAAAAGTGCAAAAATTCCCTAGGAAGATCAGGGCAGAGACATCCCTCTAGAAAGAGTCTTCTGCCATGGTGTGGCCTCCCCATTTTCCCGGTATCTCCCAGGGCTCTTTGTACAAGGCGGGCTCTGCAGAGAGACAGTAAAAACCAACCTGATTCTTCCTCAATATCATGGCATGTATTTTTCCAATAATTGCTCTTCTCTGTCCTTGGATGAATTTCTGAGTTCATTGATTTACCTATCACCTTCAGATATTAAAAAATCTGATACATAGTTGAAATGCCAACACACATTTATTTTTTATTTTTATTTTAAAAAATATTTTTAAAGTAAATACATAAAGACATAGGCTTGCTGTGTTGGCCATACTGGTCTCAAATTCTCAGCCCTGAGCGATCCTCTCGCTTTGGCCTCCTGAATTATTGGGATTATGGACACGAGACACCGCACCCAGCCCCAACCCACATCCAATTCACCACAGTGTTTCCTCTCCTTAGACGCATCCTGCCTCCAGCTAGGAGGTCTACAGTGTGGCCAGGCCACAGTTAACTTCCTTCCTATCCCCTCATCTGTCTTCCACTAGTCCTTTCCCCGAACTTACTGTGCTCCTTTGGGGTTCAAGGGAAGAGAGGAGAAGTGTTGAGGGGCTGAAAAGGCTGTCTTTGACTGGGGCAGTGCTAATCTGCCCACACAAGTGTGGCACATGGCCACATATGGATTGTGTGTCTCCTGGGTCCCTCTTGTGGGGATCTTGGACAGCCCCATTGGGCACAACCAATGATCATTCCTGGGTTGGCCTCTTCAACTTCTATCCACTCTGACTCCCTGTAGGTGGGGATTACTGCTGCCACCTCCCCTCCTCCCAAGATGGTCTTCTCAGATGGAGTCTCCTTCTTTCTTTCTTTGGCCCAGATCAAGGCCATCTGGCCCATGGAAGTCATAGCCGCTGTGATGCCCCTGGTGTGGTGCTTCTAGCTCCTCCTAGAGCCCACTCCTCCCTCTGCCTCCAGGGAAGTTCAGCCACAGCTTCTCGCTTTCAGCCTTTTTATAAAACACAAGTGAGGCTGGGCATGGTGGCTTACACCTATAATCCCAGCATTTTGGGAGGATGAGGTGGGAGGATCGCTTGAGGCCGGGAGTTTGAGACCAGCCTGGGCAACATGGCAAGATCCCCTCTCTAAAAACTTTTTTTTAATTAGTCAGGCATGGTGGTGCACACCTGTGGTCCTTGTTCCTCAGGAAACTGAGGTAGGAGGATTGACTGAGCCCAGAAGTTCAAGGCTGCGGTGAGCTATGATCATGCCACTGCACTCCAGCCTGGGTGACACAGTGACACCCTGTCTCTAAAAAACAAAGCAAAACAAAAACCATGAATGAGACACCAGTCCATGCATACTCTCCACACTTCAAGTTTTCCAACATTTTCTAATATTTTCTGGTTTCTCTCTGATCTGAAGCAGGTGGGTTGCAGAAGGGCACCCCTTTCCTTACCTGCCTCCTCCCATTTGGGTGAACTGCATGGCACCCCAGCAGCCCTCCACAAGGACACTCTCCCTGGCAGCCTCTCTAGCACATCTTATTAATATTCTCTTTTATATCTTGAGAGGAGTAATTGGCTCATTCGGCAATGGCGGCAAATGGGTTTGGGGATAATTCTGCAAGTCTTGTGGAAATGGCCAAAAGCCTGCCTGAAAACGTGGTGGTGCTTGACACTTCTTGTTTTCAGTTTTCGGTCCTTGGTCCAAACTCTGCTAACACTTAATCTGTGGATTAGGAGTTTACAAATGTCCTTTTTACAAATGTTGAAACTAAGACTCAGAAAGATTAAATAAGTTGCCCAAGTTTGCATGACTAATAAATGGTAAAATGGAATTCTGCTTACTGCTGTCTCGTGATTTCCCAGAATCCAGTGAGTGTTTACAAAACCCGGGATAGAGGTTAGGAGAGGTTGCTTGAGTTTCTGACTCAGCAGTTTTGTTGCTATTCATGTAATGGAAAACCATATTCTAAAACACAACTTTTCAAGCACAACCGATCTGTTGTATGGTCCTGAGTTTAGCTAAAATTTTATTTCTTGTAAAAACTGAGGCTATGTGGACTGTAGGTGAGTCCTTTTTGGTTCCCAGAGTTTAGAACAAAGAGTCAGGAGGCTGACCCCACAATCTCCAAAGTCCATTTTTCCATCTGAACAGATAAATAGGGTCCTTTAAGGTGGTGGAAAATAAGTACCTTTTTAACATCTCTCTAGAATAAGAAACACAAGGATATTGTATAACAGCTTAGGACTTTTGTTTCCCTTTGACTTCTCACATTGCTTTTGTGTAATGTTGGCATTCAAAGTTTCTTTATTTTTTTGATTAACATCCGTGTTTTTTCCTAGGGCTGCTGTTGCAGAGAAACACAGAGTGGCTTAGAACAACAGAAATGCATTACCCTGCAGTTCTGCAGGCTATGGTCTGAAATCAAGGTGTCAGCAGGGCCGCGCTTCCTCTGAGCCTCTAACGGAGGATCCTTCCTTGTGTCTTCCAGCTTCTTTTGGCCTTAGGCAATTTTTGGTTTGCAGCGGCGTTAACTCCAATCTCTGCCTCCTTCATTACGTGGCCTTTTCCTTAAGTGTCTGGGTCCACATTTCCCTGTTCTTAGAAGAACACCAGTGATATCTGACTAAGGACCCACCACTCCAGTCTGACTTCATCTTCACTTAGCTAATTGCATCTGCAAGGACACTATTTCCAAGTCAAGTCACATTCAGTGGTACTGGGAGTTGGAACTTCAGCATACCTTTCTAGGGGGCCACAATTCAACCCATCACAACTCTCAGTTACATATTTCCATCCCCATGGAAACAGGAGCTGCAAAGGGCATTTTTGTGAAGAAGCTAAGGTTGTCTTTGAAGCCTGCCTTCTTTTCCCAAGGGCAGAGGAAAACTTCTGCCACTCAGCATCCTACATTCTCAAAGCCCTCCATTTGGGACACAAGGAATTTTATACATTCACACATCCAATGTACATTGGTTTGGCTGTGTCCCCACTCAAATCTCATCTTGAATTGTAGCTCCCATAATTCCCATGTGTTGTGGGAAGAACCCAGTGGGAGATAATTGAATCATGGGAGTGGTTTCTCCTATACTGTTCTTGTGGTAGTGAGTAAGTCTATCAATATCTTTTGGTTTTTTAAGGAAACCCCTTTCACTTGGTCCTCTTTCTCTCTTGTTTGCCTCTATGTAAGACGAGCCTTTCCCTTTCCGCCATGATTGTGAGGCCTCCCCAGCTGCATGAAATTGTGAGTCCATTAAACCTCTTTTTCTTTATAAATTGTTCATTCTCGGGTATGTCTTTATCAGCAGTGTGAAAGCAGACTAATACATACATTGCTAGCCCTAAATTATTTTATGGTTATTCCTCCTAGAATCTTTCCCTTTTAAATGTTGGTAATTTGAGCTGAAGGAAAAGAATTTCTGGTTAAAGCAGAGACAGAGAAGGGGAGAAGGAAGCTGGCCTCGAGGAAGCTTCTTTGGATATGAATATGCCATAAGAACAAATCAGAAACACGGAGCCAATGACTTCAGCTCTCTGTACACTCCTTCTTACAGAACCAGGAAAGCAGACCCTGGGCCCAACCACTCTGCAACACAGGGAGTGTAAAACGCCTCCTGGGTGTCATACTCTACCTCTGTTGACTACTTGTGAGTGCACACCAGCAAGTTGTGCAGAGCCATTAAGAACTGCCCTTCTCAGCCGGGCACCTGTAATCCCAGCACTTTGGGAGACGGAGGCAGGTGGATCACTTGAGGTCAGGAGTTTGAGACCAGCCTGGCCAACACGGTGAAACCCCATCTCTATTAAAAAAAAATTACAAAAATTAGTCAGGCGTGGTGACGGGTGCCTGTAATCCCAGCTACTCAAGAGGCTGAGGCAGGAGAATCGCTTGAGCCTGGGAGGTGGAGGTTGCAGTGAGCCAAGATTGTGCCACTGCACTCCAGCATGGGCAAACAGAGCGAGACTCCATCCCAAAAAAAGAACTGCCCTCCTCAGCCAGATACCACCTGAGCGGGACCTGAATTTGGCAGTTGTGGTCAGCCGCAGTTCTAGCACGAACAGTTTTTGGCATAGTGTATTTTTCTAAGAATAACAGATTAGGTTTATTATCTAAAATGAAAACTTTAATATAAATAGAATACTACATGTAGTATGATTATGTATGCTGTTGTGTTATATAATTTACATAATAATATAATTTTATCTAGACTTAAAACAATTTACTATAACTAGTTCTATTCATAGCATGTGTGTGTATTTTATTCTAAATAGCTGTATATTATTTAATATAAAAAAGTTATAAGAACTTTCAACACGCTTTTTAAAAACTAATTCTAGGACGATTGCAAATAAATAAAAATGCTGTTGCCTTCAGTGCATATAATGATATAATGAATCGATTGTTTTGCATATAAATTCAAATATAGAGTTTTCTCAGCTCACACCAAATAGGTTACTATTCACCCCTAGGCAGATTTCTCCGGGCTGGTTTTCCCAGGGTCTCCCGTGGTTGCTCTGTCACACAACTGCAAGGGCACTGGCAACTTTGTGTTTTCTTTTCTTTTCTTTTTTCTTTTTTTTTTGAGACGGAGTCTTGGGCTGTCATCCAGGCTGGAGTGCAGTGGCGCGATCTCAGGTCACTGCAACCTCTCCCTCCCGGGTTCGAGTGATTCTCCTGCTTCAGCCTCCTGAGTAGCTGGGACTACAGGTGTGCACCACCACGCCTGGCTAATTTTTGTATTTTTAGTAGAGATGGGGTTTCGCCATGTTGGCCACGCTGGTCTCAAACTTCCGACCTCAGGTGATCCACCTGCCTTAGCCTCCCAAAGTGCTGGGATTACAGGCATGAGCCACCGTGCCCAGCCTATTTTGTGTTTTCTACCAGCCTCCCTCTAACACCATTCCTGGCATAGAGCAGACACTTAGTAAATATATGTCTTTTAATCTCAGTAAAATAAATGCTTGAGTTTATTCCTTTTAAGGGTAATCTGTCATGGTTTAAGACAAAATTGGACTTTCTATAGACTGTGTCAGCCTTGATAAGTCTTGAAATCTTGGGTACTACTAAGGTTACCAATTTTAAGAGTTAAAGCAACAATAACAGCAAAATACCTTTTGATGACCTAAAAACTTGTTGCATCATTTCATGTGAAAGATTTGAGAGGCATAGCTAGAAGAAAGACTGCCAGCTTGGAAACCAAATTCAGGCTTGATCAAGGCAGATACTGACCAGTGACTCAAAAGTGACAGAAAGCTTCCTGTATTTAATCAAAGATTCGAAGTCAACAAGTAACAGAAAGATACAAATAAGGCCGCTTAGGCTGCTTGGCATACGACTGCGTCATTCTGTTGAACAGGAAAACAAAAGTACTTGACCTTTGCTGTTGTATTTTATCGGGAGACATGAGGGTCCTGTGGAAACAGTTCAGGTCTCACGTAATAATAGCATTTGCTGTTCTTTAGGTTTTAAAAATTTTGATGCGTGAGGAATTCACTTTTCTGTTTCAGGTTTCTCATGCATAAAATGAGGACAATAATACCTGTAGCATGGTGCGATTGTAAAAATTGAGATAATACAGTATCCTGCGTGGTGCCATCTTTAAAATTTCTTCTGTGGATCGCACATCTCCTTTCCGCTACTGCTCTAGGGCTCTGCTTCTGAACAAAGCGTGTCCTCTCAAAAGACTTGATATTAGGCCTCCATTCTCACAGACTCTTGTCATCATCCTGCTCCAATTAGTTCTTTGGCTCTAGCCCATCAAGTTCCACAATGACCTCCATATCTGTTAAATCTCATGGTCAATTCCTGTCAATTTCCTGTCCTCAGAGCAGCATTTGACACAGCTGAACACTCTGCTTTTCTGGAAATGTAGTTTTCTCCAGGCTTCCAGGATTGCACTGTTGCCTGGAATTCCTCCACTGACACGACTCTTTTACTTATCTCCTTAGTTCCCTTCTCCTTGGTGGATTTCTAAATGTGGGGGTGCTCCAGGATTTTGATCTGGGATATCTTCTCCTCTGTCTCTCCCTGCTGCTAAGGCCATCAAGTCATCTTATGCATATGTTGAAGACCCTTAGCCTCTCATCTGAGCTCCAGAATTGCATATGGAATTGTCCACTTGGATTTCTAAGAGGCACCTCAAACTTAACATGATCCAAAGCAAACTGTCCATGTGAACTTCTCCCCTGTCTTCATCCCACCCACTTCTTGCCTAGTCTTCCTTTTCTTCCTGCATGGACCTCTCTTTAATTTAGCTGCTCAGACAAAAAACTAGAAGTCATCCCTTGTTTTTTTTTTTTTTTTTTTTTGTGATGGAGTTTCACTCTTGTTGCCCAGGCTGGAGTGCAATGGTGTGATCTCGGCTCACTGCAAGCTTCATCTCCTGGGTTCAAGTGATTCTCCTGCCTCAGCTTCCCGAGTAGCTGAGATTACAGGCGCCCACCATCACACCTGGCTAATTTTTGTATTTTTAGTAGAGATGGAGTTTTGTCATGTTGACCAGGCTGGTCTTAAACTCCTGACCTCAGGTAATCCGCCCGCCTTGGCCTCCCAAAGTGCTGGAATTACAGGCGTGAGCCACCGCACCTGGCCTAGAAGTCACCCTTGACCGCTTTCTTTTTCTTTTCATGTCCAGTGCATCAACAGGTTCTATCTGGGCAGCTTCCAAAATGTATCTTGAACCCAACCACTCTTTATCATCTCCCTGACTAAAGCTGTAATCCAAGCCACCATCACCGTTCATCTGGGTTCCTGCCAGTATCTTGTACCTTGATGGCCCAGTAGCCATACAGAAGCTATAGTTATCTCTTGAAAGCATAAGTCAGATCAGGCTTGAAAAGCCCGAAAGCTCTTACTACCCTTAGAATGGAATACCAACTCTTTGGCCTGGCCTGCGGTCCAACATGACCTGGTCCCCCGACTTGTTCTGCACATACCTCTTTCTCATTTTCCTCCTCACCCACTGTGATCTGGCCTCGGTGACGGTTTTTCTGTCTCTCTCACATGCTGTGCTTCTTCTTCCCTTAGAGCCTTTGCAGAGGCTCATCCCTCTTCTAGGAATTTGCTCCCTGAGGTTGTCACACCGTGGTCCTCTCTCATCATTTAGAGCTCAGATGTTATTTTCTCAGAGACTTTCCCTGTTGTGCTTTGCAAAAGGAGTCCCTCACACCATTCAAGCACTTCCCCATGGCCCTCCAGAACCTGGGGTTATATTTACTTTTTTTTCTTTTTTCATTTGTGATAGGGTGTTGCTCTGTCACCTAGGCTGGAGTGCAGTTCACTGCAACTTCCACTTCCCAAGTTCAAGCGATCCTCCCACCACAGCCTCCTGAGTAGTTGGGACCACTGGCACAAACTACCAAGCCTGGCTACTTTTTTGTTGTATTTTTAATAGAGACTGGGTTTTGCCATGTTGCCTAGGCTGGTCTTGAACGCCTGAGCTCAAGCCATCTGCCTGTCTCAGCCTTCCAAAGTGCTGGTGTAACAGCCCAATGGGTTCACCTTGCTTGCTGCCTAGACAGAGCCGATTTATCGAGACGGGGGCGCTGGGCATGGTGGTTCATGCCTGTCATCTCCGCACTTTGGGAGGCCAAGGCAGGTGATTTACCTGAGGTCAGGAGTTTGAGACCAGCCTGGCCAACATGGTAAAACCCTGTCTCTACTACAAATACAAAATTAGCCGGGTGCGGTGGTGTGTGCCTGTAATCCCAGCTACTTGGGAGGTTGAGGCAGGAGAATCACTTGAACCTGGGACGTGGAGGTTGCAGTGAGTCGAGATGGTGCCACTGCACTCCAGCCTGGGCAACAAGAGAGAAACTCTGTCTGAAAGAAAAAAAAAAAAGACGTAGGAATTGCAGTGGAGAAAGTAATTCACGCAGAGATGGCTATGCAGGAGATAGCAGTTTTATTATTACTCAAAGATCAGCATTTTTAAAGATAATTTGGCGGGTAAGGGCTTGGGAAGTGGGGAGTGCTGACTTGGCAGGTTGGAGATGGAATCACAGGGGGTCGAAGTGAGTTTTTCTTGCTGTCTTCTGTTCCTGGGTGGGACGGCAGGACTGGTTGGGCTAGATTATCAGTCTGGGTGATATCAGCTGATCCATCTCTAGTGCAAGGTCTGCGAAATACCTCCAGCACTGATCTTAGGTTTTACAATAGTGATGTTATCTCTAGGAGCAATTTGTGGAGGTTCCGACTCTTGAAGCTAGACACTGCATGGTCCGTAAACCGTAATTTCTAATCTTGTCACTAATTTGTTAGTGCTGCGAAGGCAGACTGGTTCCCAGGCAAGAAGGGAGTCTTTTCGGGAAAGGACTGTTATCGATTTTGTTTCAGTCATCCCACCAACTGAATTCCTTCCCAGAGTTAGTTCAACCTACGTCCAGGAATGAACAAGCACGGCTTAAAAGTTAGAAGCAAGATGGAGTCGGCTGGGTCTGATCTCTTTCACTGTCATAATTTCCTCAGTTATAATTTTTGCAGAGGCAGTTTCGCTGGGATTACAGGCAGGAGCCACCGTGCCTGGCCTATATTTATGATTTATGTCATTTAGCATGTTTCTGTACGGCGTGTGCTCTGTACGGACAGAAGCTTTGTCTTCTTCAGTGATATATCCCAGAGCCTGGCAGAGTGGGCATGCTCATTATACATGTGTGGAGTGAATGAAATTTTAAAAATGCAGATAGTAAGACATCCGATAGATTGGGTCTCTCCAGTTCTTGTTTGCGTGTACATATGCATGTGTTTATAAGGAATTTTAAATCGACGATTTCTGTCTGTGTATTTTTATATTTTTAATTTGATGTCATTTATTTATTTATTTTCTTGAGACGGTGTTTCACTCTTGTTGCCCGGGCTGGAGTGCAATGGCACGATCTCGGCTCACTGCAGCCTCTGCCTCCCGGGTTCAAGCGATTCTCCTGCCTCAGTCTCCCAAGTAGCTGGGATTACAGGCACCTGCCACCATGCCTGGCTAATTTTTGTATTTTTAGTAGAGATGGGGTTTCAGCATGTTGGCCAGGCTGGTCTCGAACTGCTGACCTCAGGTGATCTGCCTGCCTCTGCCTCCCAAAGTGCTGGGATTACGGGCATGAGTCACCACGCCCGGCCGATGTCATTTATTTTAGTTCCTGTGTGTTAGGTTCTGTGTTTGAAGTTGAGGATACAAAAATGAATGAGATCTGATGCTTTGGTAAATTACAATCCAGTGAGGAAGTTAGGTACATAAATAGTTTTTTTAAAATTGTAGTATTATAAAATGTATATACTATAAAATTTATCATTTTAGCCATTTGTAAGTATACTATTTATTAGTACCTCATATAAGTGGAATCATACAGTTCCTTCTGTCCTTGTGTATCTGGCTTATTTCACTAAGCATAATGTTCTCAAGGGTCATCCCTGTGGCATATATAAAATTTCATCCATTTTTGTGGCTGTATAATATTCCATTGTGAGTGTACACCACATTTTGTTTATTCATTTATGTGTTGATGGGCACTTGAGTTGCTTCTATCTTTTAGCTATTGTAAATAAGCTGCTGTGAATATTGTTATACAGGTATCTGTTTAGACCCTGCTTCTAGTTCTTTTGGATATGTATCAAGGATTGGAATTGCTAGGTCATATGGCAATTCTATGTTTAACTTTTTGAGGAACCAAACTATTTTCCACAGCAGTAACACCATTTTAGATTTCTACCAGCCATGTTCAAAGGTTCCAATTTTTCCACTTCCTCACCAACACTTGTTTCCCATTTAAAAAAATAATAGCCATTCTAGTTGGTGTACAGTGGATAAGTAGATGTTTACAATTCATTTTGTGCTGTAGATGAACTAATAGAGGAGTGAATTGGATGCTATGGAAGTTCTGAAAACTAGAATGTAAAGAGATGCTGCTGAGCCATCATAATAAGGTACAAATTTTCAGCTACTTTTATAGTAGTAAAGATGAGTTGTTTTACTCTATCTGTATACTGTCACATAATTCCCTTTGTAACTGATAGTATACATTTCTGAGATGGCTCAGTAGAATAGGAATACATGTAAATTGCTCCAGGAACGAATGAAATTGATTGGTCTACATGGGACCAAATCCTTGGTCTCATAAGCACCACATCTTAACTCACTCTATTTATTGCCCAGATTCTCAGCCATCCATTCATCCATCCACCCATCTATCCATCATCCATCCATTCACCTGTCCATCCATCCATCCATCCATCCATCCACCCATCTCTCCATCCATCCATCCTTGCATCCATCCATCCACCCACCCATCTATCCATTCATCCACCTGTCTATCCATCCATCCACCCATCCATTCACATAACCATCCATTTACGTTCTAACAGAAAATAATTGCAAAATCTGTTGACTCTGGGATGCGAATATTCAAAGTACATGCAATTTAATAATCTAAAATATTGCAAGACGTTTACTTGGAGCCTCAATGGCATTCCTGTAAAAATAGTTTATTAGTGAAGATCGATCAATTCCCAGTGTATTTGAAAAATCCTATTTAACCTATTAAGTAGTTGAATAATGATATTAGGGCTATAGCAAAAAAACAACAAAAACAAAACAAAACAAAATAAAACAAAAAACCAAAACTATTGTTTCTATGGGAAAAGTTTTAGGTTATTTTGGTAAGGAGGAGGGAGATAAGGTGATGCAGGTCAAGGGTCTCATCTAGATAGGGTCTAGAACAGGGTACCCTGAGCATATCTCCCCTTCATAGTGGAAGGAGCGCCAGTCCTCTTCCCTTTCTCCTCTTCCCCAACAACTGGCCTCCCCCTCTTGCCCCTGTGTTCCCAGAGAAAGAGCCCTGGTGTAAGTGAGAGACTATACAACAACAGAAGTAGGGGCGAGATGCTCATGAAATGTAAATTAATCCTGATGTGCCTTCCAACATGCGCTATCCTGTGCTTACCAAGCTCTCTGAATTTCAGTTTCCAGAACTGTGAAGTGGGTATGATAATGCCATTTTACAGTCATCCTAAGAGAATTAAATGAGATAATATATAAAAGTACTTAGCATGGCACTTGGCTTATAGTAAATGTCCCAAAACAGCAGCTATTACGATGATTGCCATTATTATTGGGATCAAGTGACATGTGGAAATGCCTGAAATATAGTCTATTCTCTACGGACATTAGTTTCTTTCCTTTTTCATAAGCAAGGTTGAGAGACAAGTAGCATCTGTGAGGGGGAACATTTTGGCATTTGGATACCCTGATTTGACGATTTTAGGCCTGAGATTGGGGAAAGATTGGAGAGGTGATGGCTACAGGGAGAAAGGCCAGGCATTGCAGGTGGTAGGTCTCATTTATTCATAATGTGGTGGTCGTGGTGGGAGAGTACGTTATGAATAAAAGGACTGCTAATGTGGGGGACATATGAATGGGGTGGATGAATACAAGCTCTTTATAACCTTCTTCACTGATCCCCCGACAATGTAAAGGTTATTAAGAGCTAGAAAATGCTGGTACCCCGCCCTGCCGCCTGGGAGGGCTGAACTGAAATGCGCTTCAGGTGTGATCTTTTGGCTCCACCTACCGGAAAGAGTTGGTACTTCATTCTCTCAAAAGCCCAGACCTCATAGTCGACTTCAGGCCCAATTGTTATCAGAGATTTTGGTTTTGTGTATGGGTTTATGGTTTTTAAAAAATTAATATAAATATACATTATATCAATAAGAATTTAGTTAGGCTGACTCCTAACTAAAGGAGTTGCTCAGGGTTACCCAGTGAGTGGCTAAGGTAGTTTTACTATTTGCATTGTTAGAAATAATCACTGATTACACGTTGCCCAGAATAAAGAACACCTGAGGCCTCTCATCAGACCACGCCTCAGGGCAATAAGGTGCAACGGGAGTCCGTGCACCTGACCGCATGGCCTGGACCAGAGGGGCTGCTCGGATCTCTGCAGACCTACTCCTAGTGCTCTCTGTCCTGGTCTGCATCATCTTCTCCAGAGATGATACGGCCTTTCCTGGGTCTGGGGTTTCCTGCAAGCAGCTCTGATACTTTTTTTTTTTTTCAGACAGAGTCTCAGCTGTGTTGTTGCCCAAGCTGGAGTGCAGTGGTGCAATCTTGGTTCACTGCAACCTCCACCTCCCAGGTTCAAGCAATTCTCCTGCCTCAGCCTCCTAAGTAGCTGGGACTACAGGCGCGCGCCACCACGCCTGGCTAATTTTTGTATTGTTAGTAGAGACGGGGTTTCACCATGTTGGCCAGGCTGGTCTCAAACTCCTGAGCTCAAGTGATCCACTCACCTTGGCCTCCCAAAGTGCTGGGATTACAGGCGTGAGCCACGGCGCTTGGCCTCTAATACCTTTTAATGCAAACTCAGTGCAATCCTCTCATTTGTCTGCAGGTGTCAGCAAATCTCAGGGAGTGACATGCAGTGTACCAAGACACGGTCTTTTGTCACTGCATTGTGGCAGAGATGGGCAGGAGAGGGGAATAAAGAAAATTGACAGTGATTTACGAGCAATGCCTCCAGCAGGGTTTGCCTAGGTTTCCTTCAGGAAGGCAGTGGCATCTTTGAGAAATCCCTTAAGATGTGGTCTAAATACCCGGGCACATCTTTCAGGGACTCTGCCATTTTTGCTGTTTAAATGCCCTAAGCTCTCCAAGCCACAATGTCCTCATCTGCAAAACTGAGAACCATAGTGCACGCACCTCCTAGGATGAAGCGTGATAAAAGATACTGACTTACATTTTATAGATAGCGACTGTACTCTGGAAGTCAGAATACGAAGAAATCCTTTTTGGTGAGAGTCGCCTTTGAGTGCCTCCCCTCATTCCTTCTTCTTGAGCTGACATCTGCCCAACTTATATTAAAAACTGGATAGGCAGCTTCTGCATAGATAGAATTGGTCACATCGGGGTAAACAAGGTGCCTGGAGGGAAGTCTTGGTTTGCAGGAAGGTTCCTGGGGCCTCTGAGAAGGGTCTTTTAGAACATCCGGAGACATTCACTTTGTTGCAGTTACAAGAGACCCAACTCATCCCTCAGACAGTCTCTTTTCCCAGGTCACAGACAGCAGGACAATTGAGTAGAGATTTGTTTTTTCTGACTTGCGTCTTGTGTGGGATGAGGGAGTTCTATGAAGGTGTCTGCTCTATTGGTGTCAAAATGAACAGAGGGTTGGTGGTTAATTTCTTAGTAATTTTACACAAATTCAGAGGCTTAAAAACAACAGAAACGTATTTCGCAGCTCTAGAGGTAGAAAGTTTGAAATCTGGTAGAGCTGTTCTTCCTCTTCTGTGTGTTGAATCTCTCTCTTTTCAAAAAACAAAAAACAAAACAAAAACCACACAACTTGGCAGGGCACAGTGGTTCACGTCTGTAATCCTAGTACTTTGGGAGGCTGAAGTGGGTGGATCACCTGAGGTCAGGAGTTCGAGACCAGCCTGGCCAATGTGGCAAACCCCCATCTCTACCAAAAAATACAAAAATTAGCTAGGTGTGGTGGCGGGCACCTGTAATCCCAGCTACTTGGGAGGCTGAGATAGGAGAATTGCTTAAACCCTGGAGGTGGAGGTTGCCGGGAGCCGAGATAGCACCACTGCACTCCAGCCTGGGTGACAGAGCGAGACTGCATCTCAAAAACAACAACAACAACAACAGCAACAACAAAAACCACCATGATGGCATTTAGGACACACTCAGATAATCCAAGATAATCTCCACATTTTAAGATCCTTCACGCACTCATATCTGCAAAGACTTTTCTTTGTAAGGTATCATTTACAGGTTTCACAGACCTGATATCTTTGGGCAACCATTTTCTACCCACCGCAGAGGAGCTTAGAGAGTCTGCCATTTGTTGCTAAGGGTGGAATCCAGTGGTCAGGAAACGAGGTTACTTAAGCAGAGATTCTGCTGTAATCTCTCCTGTGCTCCAAGACAGGATATGCTGAAGGAGCTGCGAGAAACTTTCTGGCTCAGCAGATGTGAAATTACCAGAAGTGTTAGAAGTATGGAGAATTGCTGTAATGCAATAGCTTTACATAGAGGCAACCAAAATCTGCAATTTGTAAAGAAGTAGGCTGTGGAGGAGGACTCAACACAGATTTCCTTCAGTTGCTCACCTCTGCGTTGCAGCAGGGAAACAGCTGCAGATAACATGTAAAGAAAGGGCCAAGGCTCTGCTCCAGTTAAACTTCTTTTGCGAAAGCAGGATTTCTGCTTCTGGGCAGATGGAGTAGACACACTGTTTTCTATACCTCCCACTAAATACAACTGGACATCATGGGCATTGCATGTCAAAGACAGTAAAACTCTGAGAGGTAAAGAAAAGAAGGCAGACCAGCTTGAAACCCCGGGATCCGAGGAACAACACAGTGGTGAATGCCCTGGTTTCTCTCTTTTTTTTTTTTTTTTTTGAGATGGAGTCTCTCTCTGTTGCCCAGGCTGGAGTGCACTGGCATGATCTCGGCTCACTGCAACCTCCGCCTCCTGGGTTCATGCCATTCTCCTCCCTCAGCCTCCCGAGTAGCTGGGAGTACAGGCGCCCGCCACCACGCCCGGCTAATTTTTTATATTTTTTAGTAGAGACAGGGTTTCACGGTGTTAGCCAGGATGTCCTGGTTTCTCTCTTGTCTTTCTTTCTCTCCCTCTCTCACTGCCTCATATATCTCAGATTTGGAGCTGATGAGGCCAGTAACCCAGAAGTCCCAAGTGGTAGAGGCAAGAAAGCACCAACAAAACCCTGCTCTCTCTAGCTAAAGGACAAGGAAAGACACAAGCTAGTAAGATGGAAAATTTGGGAAATCACTGCTCTTTTCTAGACAAACCCCACCAAAAACTCCCTCCTTGCAAGGCTGAATGGGGAGGCTGGGCTTCTATCCTCATGACACTGGAATAAGGCATCCTGACCTCCCAGCCAGGATAGGGTCACAGAAGTTTAAGTAGCGAACAGGGACATTCTCTCCCCTCCTGTGATGAGCTCCATCCTTGCAATGTCAGCAGAGGCCACATGGGGAGCCCAGATTCCTGCCTCCAAGGGAAGAAATGACATGTCCCTCTACTTCCCCACTAGGATGGTATCAGAGGAGGTCCAAGGAAGAGTCAGGGCTTCTGCCATTACCTGGGGTGATCAAGTTGCTCCAGATGTCTTCCTAGTTAGAACTTCAAAAGTATAGTCAGAGCCCGGGCGCGGTGGCTCACGCCTATAATCCCAGGACTTTGGGAAGCCAAGGCAGGCTGATCACCTGAGATTAGGAGTTCAAGACCAGCCTGGCCAACATGGCGAAAACCTGTCTCTACTAAAAATACAAAAATTAGCCTGAAGTGATGGTGCACTCCTGTGGTCCCAGCTACTCAGGAGGGTGAGGAGGAGAATCCCTTGAAACCGGGAGGCAGGAAGCCGAGATCGCACCACTGCATGCCCGCCTGGGTGACAGATTGAGACTCCATCTCAAAAAATTAATTAATTAATAAAATAAAAAATGAAAGCGTTGTCAGAATTCTGGGATTCTAATCCCAATTCCACCATTTACCAACAGGATAATCCCAGACATATTTCCCCATCTCCACAGGGAAAACGACAGCACTGCCCACACTTCAGACTTCAGTTCACGCTGCTTCTCCCTAGGGTTTGTTTTGGGGCTCAGTGAGATGATGAGGTGTTAAAACACTAAGAGTTATTGAAGAAAGAAGTACAAAATAATGGCTATAAAAATTATTTGAGGGTGGGCACAGTGGCTCATGCTAGTAATCCCCGCACTTTGGGAGGCCGAGGCAGGCAGATCACTTGAGGTCAGGAGTTTGAGACCAGCCTGTCCAGCATGGTGAAACCCCGTCTCTACTAACAATGCAAAAATTAGTTGAGTGTGGTGGCACAGGCCCGTATTTCCAGCTCCCCGGGAGGCTGAGGCATGAGAATTATTGAACGGGAGGTGGAGGTTGCAGTGAGCTGAGATAGTGCCACTGCACTCCAGCCTGGGCGATGGAGTGAGACTGTGCCTCAAAATAATAATAATAATTTTAACAATTATTTGAAAAGAATAAGGAATTGAGTATTATTATTATTATTTTTAGTTGGAGGTCTGAAGTAGCTGTAGAACCTGCAGTATGCAGGCAGGATGGTTCACGACCAGCAATGTTACAGGGACCTCAGCCCCCATGTGTCCCTCCCTTGCCCTGGCCAGGTCTTGGGTGACTCATGAACTTTCCTAGTGTCCTTGCTTCTCCCGCTTGGACTGCAGTGGCACTGTCCCTCTTCTGCTGCCTCCCAGCTCCGCCTCACTGATGGAGATGCCTTTATTTTAATCTCTTACAGTGCCCTGGAGAAATACCACTTGCCGTATTTAATTGAATCTAAAATGTCCTTCATTTTAAGCTCCATCATTAGCTGATGTACCACAAAGAGAGGAAAAATCATTGTCAATGAGACTATGACATGGTGTCTTAATGACAGGCCTGCCTGATGAGTGAATTGGCCACACCAACCTCTTTGTTGCGTTGGAATTTCTTTCATGGATTCTAAAGGGCTTGACAATTTCCCCTGCCTTCAGCTGCACTGCTTGGCTTCTGCTGGGCATTCCCTTTTTATAGCTCGATAATTCGGTATGAATTAGCTTCACTTTATGTTCACTAAAGCAGGGCACTCAGACTTTAATATGCCTGCAAATCAATGGGACTTTGTTAAAATGCAGATCCTGATTCAGTAGGTTTGGGGCAGAGCCTGAAATTCAGAATTTCGATCCATCTCCCAGGCGATGCTGCTGGTCTGTGGACCACACTTTGAGCAGCAAGGTTGTAAAGCACTTGGTTTGTTCTGCAAGAGAATATGGAATTGCAAGCATTCCTCCCGTCATGAATATTCACTTCACAAATAACAAATGTATGTACCCCCCCGCCCCACCCGCTCTGTCTCCTCACCTTTCTGAATACACCGTAAGTTTTCCTTTCAATGCTGAATCATAGTATAATCTTTCTGAAGGCATTTTACATGGCAATTAAACCCGGCACATGAAGTGCCAACAGTGCACATAATCCCGCTGAAGTGATGACAACAGCCACAGCTGTGAACAAGTTTGCACATGCCGCAAAGACAACGAGGTCACGTGGGCGCCTGGCGGGCGGCGATTGTAGGATGCTTTCGATCTATTCCAATGTCAGAGAATTCAGAGCTGTTAAAAGGTGAAAAAAGTCTACATCTTAGAATCATTGCAAAGTGGAAAGTAATTTATTCTTTCAGTTTCTTCCATTTCTCCCTTTCCTACTTCCTGCTCTGCTGTCAACTTGAAGACATTTTTTTTCAGTGGCTGATGCCTGTCACAAATTTCCTTTGCTTTTACGGAGTGAGTTTGCTATCCCATCCATCCGGGCCCATCCAGAGCCCTGCCTGGGAGATGGCAGCTCTTACCCCATGACCTTGTTGAAGGGTTTTTGTGCTGGGACTGTCTGTTACCTTCCAGGCTGGCTGCTCATCCTCTTCCCCAGAAGCCCATGAATTATAATCCCTCCTGGACACTTACTTGGCATGACCACACTTTCTGCGAGCTTGCAAAATGAGTGCCCTGCCTGGGATGCTTGCTGGTAATGCACTGAGCCTAGCGCAAGATAGGTGCTTGGAGAATGTCTGTTGAATGCTTTGGGGAGACAGTACGCAACTGATCAGAATGCCTGGAATTCTTGAGTCACTGAGGATGCATTTTTATCTGCAGAGACCACGGACTGCATGAGTGCTTGACATCAGCTGGGGGTGAGGTTGGGGTGGCAATTTCCATTAGCTATGCTTGGAATTTTTCTCACCACTTGACATATTATCAACCCTTGACCTAGAGTGGAGTATCACCCGAAAGAGGGGACAGGATAAACAAACATGGAAAGAATTTAAATCTCTAGCTCCACATTTCCCAAAATATTTTCTAGGAAGAAACATTTGAGTTTCCAGGGATTTTGATAGGTTTGCTTCCAAAATGACTCTGCCTACTGTGTGAAGTAAGCACACATCTCCACTTGTCTTCCATTGAACTCAACTCTAAAACCTGAACAGAATATGTATCAAATAAGATTGGGAAATTCTGGAATGAAATTGAAATTCAAGTGAAACAGTTTTCTTTCCTGCACACACCTGGGTCATCTTTATTAAGTGTGCATCTCTAAGAAGGGGTTTATTTGTAATTAATAGTTCTCAAACAATTTGATTACATTACAGATTGCTTTTCCCCCCAAGAAGCATCACAAGAGATATGCTGCTTTGTGGCCGGGCGCGGTGGCTCACGCCTGTAATCCCAGCACTTTGGGAGGCTGAGGCTGGTAGATCACCTGAGGTCGGGAGTTCAAGACTACCCTGGCCAACATGGTGAAACCCCATCTGTACAGAAATACAAAACTTGGCCGGGCATGATGGCAGGTGCCTGTAATCCCTCCTACTTGGGAGGCTGAGGCAGAAGAATCACTTGAACCTCGGAGGCAGATGTTGCAGCGAGCTGAGATTGTGCCCCTGCACTCCAGCCTGGGCGACAAAGCAAGACTCCAGCTAAAAAAAAAAAAAAAAGCTACAGTGTTTCAATGTTGTCTGTGTCCCCACACGCAGATTGAATAGATATGACACCTTGCATATATATATATATATGTATATACAAAATCTCACTTTGTTGCCCAGGCTGGAGTGCAGTGTTGTGATCACAGCTCACTGCAGTCTCAACTTCCCTGGCTCAGGTGATTCTCCCACCTCAGCATCCCGAGTAACTAGGACCACAGGCATGTGCCACCATGCCTGGCTAATTTTTGTATTTTTTGTAGAGACAAGGGTCTCACTATGTTGCCGAGGCTGGCCTTGAACTGCTAGGCTCAAGTGATCCTCCTGCCTTGGTCTCCAGAAGTGCTAGGATTATAGGCAGGAGCCACCACGCCTGGCCACCTTGCATATCTTAAATGAAAGTTATACTTTCTTTTGATAGCTGTCATGTTTTGGAGAAAACAACCTATCATTTCATGGTAACTTTGACTTGGCCTATCCTATGAGTGGCTATAAATGGTTACTTCTTCTAGTTTACTCATTATACCAGGCTTGCTATTTGTCCCTGCTGAGTGGCTCATGTGGCAATAATTAATGCAATTATATAGCAAGATTAGCTTTTCTTTCATAAAACTCAGTGAGCTTGATGAACCAAGAGGGCAAAGGAAAAGAAGTAATGAAGCAGCTTGTAATTGCACAAAGATGAGCTGCTAGAGTCTACACTGCTGGAAATTTGATGTTGAGGAGATCTGAATCTTTAAGTTATTTCCCTAATTCTATATTGGGAATACGGAGGAAGGAAAATCAACAAAGAGCTTTGTTAGAAAGCATATTGAGTATTAATCAATACTTAAAGGATAACGTTTGCTCAAACATAGAGTACCTAGAATTTCTTTTTTAAGACACAGTTTCACGTAGGATAAAGTCTATTAAATTTTGCAGTGTAATAAACTGCTATAAACATAGAAGATTGGCCAGGCAAGGTGGCTTACACCTGTAATCCCAGCACTTTGAGAGGCCAAGGCAGGTGGATCACTTGAGATCAGTAGTTCGAGACCAGCCTAGCTAAAAGAGTGAAACCCTGCATCTACCAAAAAATACAAAAAATGGCTGGTTGGGGTGGGGTCCCAGCTACTCCAGGTGGAAGAATCGCTTGAACTTGGGAGGTTGCAGTGAGCTGAGATTGCACCACTGCACTTCAGGCTGGGTGAAACAGAGAGAGATCCTGTCTTTTAAAAAAAAAAGAAGAAGAAGAAGTTTAATACAACATCATTGCTTGAGCCACAGTTTCTGTACGTCAGAAGTCCTGGCAGGCTTTTCTGCCTTAGTTCTCTTTTATTGCTTTTTTTTTGAGATAGAGTCTTGGTCTGTCACCCAGGCTGGAGTGCAGTGGTGCGATCCCAGCTTACTGCAACCTCCACCTCCCAGGTTCGAGCAATTCTCCTGCCTCAGCCTCCCAAGTAACTGGGATTACAGGCATGCAGCACCACGCCTGGCTAATTTTTGTTTTTAGTAGAGATGGGGTTTTGCCATGTTGGCTAGGCTGGTCTAGAACTCCTGACCTCAAGTGATCCACCTGCCTCGGCCTTCCAAAGTGCTGGAATTATAGGTGTGAGCCACCACAGCTGGCTTGATTTTCTGCCCCAGTTCTTACAAGTCTGCAATCAGGTGTCAATTGGGGTCACATTTGAGGCTCAGGGTTCTCTTCCAAGCTCATGTGGCTGTTGGCAGAATCCATTTCCTTGCAACTGGAGAACTCACAGAGGCTGCATCTTCAAGGCTGACATCTATCTGGCTTTGAAATTCTCTGACTCCTTTTAAAGGCTCATCCGATTAGATTAGGTTCATCTAGAATAATCTTTTTTTTATTAATTCAAAGTCAACTGATTAGGGATCTTAATTACATCTGCAAGATCTCTTCTGCCATATAAAGCAAAATAATTATGGGAGTGGTATTCCATTGTACCCACAAATCCTGCTCACATTCAAGGGAAGGGGCTCATAATGAACATGTAACCAGGGGGTAGGACTCTTGGGACCCAGCTTAGAATTCTGCCTACCTCCCACTAAGCCCAACTCTGAAACCTGGACAGGGTACAATGACAGCTATTTGAAAACTCTGCAAAATAAATAACAGTAGGAAATCAGGGAACAACACCAGAATTCTAAGAGCCATAGAACTGGCAGATAGAAACAAGACCCAGCATAATACTGAAAATGTTCAGGATACAAACCAAAATTACTTGTGATATTAAAAAACCTCTAATTGTGAAGTGGCATCGTTGTCTGGGGTAAATACCTGAGGTTCGTTGTCTGACAGCCACAGAAAACTAGGACATTAAGACATAAAGAGTGAGCTTAAGAGCAGAAGTTTAATAGGTGAAAGAAAGAGAAGAGCTCTCTCCTGCAGAGATAGGGGTCCTGAACGGGTCACCAGTCTACGGTGAAATGCAGAGCTTGAGGAGGTAGTGTCTGATGTATACAGGTCCCAAAACATTGGTCGGACCAGGTGTGCCATTTGCATAAGGCACAAAAAAGCTGGTTAGGACTAGGTGTGCCATTTGCATAGGGTGTGAAAAACTGGCTTCTCCCACCCTAATCTTGTATTATGGATGGGTTCTCTACCTGGCTGCAGCCATGTCGCCTGTTTCTTTACTGTACACTTGGTAATAAAGAGAAGGGAAGATGGAGCCTCCATGTTGGATGTGCCTGGCCCCCGGGTAGCCCTTTTCTGTTGGTACACTGCTGGCATTCACACATGCAAGCTTCCAGCTTGATTATCTATCTTTGCAGCTTAAGTTTTCAGGCTGCTCCTTGATAGAAAAAATAATTTCTTGGGCTACTTTTTGTTAGAAGGGAAGCCTTGCTGAAGACTCTTTACCCTCACTATTTGCCTAAATAATTTATTTCTAGCTCCTGTATCATTTGCATGGGAAAAGAAAATCAACAGACACCAATGATTAGATGACACAGATAATAGAATATTCTAGAAGGACATTAAAGAAGCTATTATTAACGAGCAAGTCCAAACACTCTTGTAACTTTGGATTTAATTTGGTCTTACTTTTTCTAGTTTCTTAAGGTTGAAGATGAGGTAATTGATTTCAGAACGTTCTTCTTTCTAGTGTAGGCATATAGTGTTACACATTTACCCTAAGAACTGCTTTAACAGCATCCTGAAAATTTCTATATGTTCATTTTCATTTAACTGAAAATACTTTCTAATTTCTCTTTTGATTTCTTCTTTAATCCATTTAGTATTTACAAGTATATAATTGTGTATTATTTAGTTTCCATCATCCAAATAATTGGGATTTTCCAGAGATCTTTTCATAATCGATTTGAATTTACTTCCATTGTGGTCAGAGAACATACTTAGTATGACATGAACACTTCCAAATTTATTGTAACTTGTTTTATAGCCCAGAATATTGTCTATCTTGGCAAATGCTCTGTGTGTCTTTGAATACACTGTGTGTTTTGCTGTTGCTAGGTGGAGTGTTTTATAAACGTCAATTATGTCAAGTTGCTTAACAGTGACTTTCAAATCTTTGATAAGCTTGATGACTTTCTTTTTACTTCTGTCAATCAGAGAGCTAATTATTGAAATCTCCAAGTATAATTTTGGATTTATTTTGTTCTCTTTGTAGTTCTAACAATTTTTGCTTTATGTAGTTTGAAGCTCTGTTATTGTGTGCCACTGTTACTAATTTGCCACTCCAATTTTCTTTTGATTAGTATTAGTATGGTATATCATTAAAAATAATTTTTAAATTATTTTACTTTACCCATGTTTTAATATATAAAGAACATTTCCTTCTCCTCTTCTTCTTCTTCTTTTGACTTAACAACAGAAATTTATTTTTTCACAGTTCTGGAGGCTGAAAGTCTGAGATCAGGGTGCCAGCATGTTTGGGTTCTGGTGAGGGCTCTCTTCCTGGCTTGCCAACAGCCACCTTCTCACTATGTGCTTACATGGCCTTTCCCTGGTGCCAGTGTGGGTGGGGGCCAGGAGAGCAAGAAGAGCATGTCTTATAGACAGTATTTATTTCGGTCTAGATTTTCAATCCAGTCTGACCATTTCTGCAGTTAATCAAGATTGTTTAGCTCATTTACATTTAATGTGATTATTGATATGATTAGGTTTAAATCTGCCATCTTGCTGTTTGTTTTCTAGATGTCCTATCTGTTCTTTACTCACTTTTTTCTATTTTTGCCATCTTTTGAATTAACTGATCCTTGAAATAATTTTTTTTTTATTATTGGCTTACTAACTATAAATCTTTTTGTCATTTTAGTAGTAAAATATAGTGTATATAGTTTATAGTGGAGAGCATATAATTCTAATTTTTCACTGTCTTCTTTTGTCTGACCTACCACTTTATGTGTAAGAATCATACAATAGAGGCTGGGTGTGGTGGCTCATGCTTGTAATCCCTGCACTTTAGGAGGTCAAGGTGGGTGGATCACGAGGTCAGGAGTTTGAGACCAGTCCGGGCAACACAGTGAAACCCCATCTCTACTAAAAATACAAAAAAAAATTAGCTGGGCATGGTGGGGGGCACCTGTTATCCCTGCTACTTGGGAGGCTGAGGCAGGAGAATTACTTGAACCCAGGAGGTGGAAGTTGCAGATCCGAGATCGTGCTACTGCACTGCAGCCTGGGTGACAGAGCTGAGGTCAGCAGATCGAGACCATCCTGGCTAACATGGTGAAACCCTGTCTCTACTAAAAATAGAAAAATTTAGCCAGGCATGGTGGCAGGTGCCTGTAGTCCCAGCTACCCAGGAGGCTGAGGCAGGATAATGGCGTGAACCCAGGAGGCGGAGCTTACAGTGAGCCGAGATCGCACCACTGCACTCCAGCCTGGGTGACAGAGCGAGACTCCATCTCAAAAAAATAAAATAAAATAAAATAAAAAGAATCACAGAATAGAATATTTCTATTTCCCCCTCCTGGTTGCTCTGCTAGCACTGTAATATATTTTACTTACACGTATGAAGTTTAACTACATTGTTCTTATTTTTGTTTAAATATTCAGTTATCTTGTAAATAGATTTAATAAGAAAAATCACATATAGTTACAATTTTTGGTGTTCCTTTTTTGTGAAGCTCCTTACTTCCTTCTGCCTAAAAGACTCTAAAATGTCTTGCAGTGTGGATTTGCTAGTGAATTCTTTCAGTTTTTCTATGTTTGAAAACATCTTCATTTCATCTTTGTTTCTGAGAGATATTCTTGCTTGGTGTAAAATTCTAGCTTGATAGTTTTTATCTTTCAATGTTTTGAAGATGTCTGTTGGCTTACATTGTTTTCTATTAAAAAAATCTATTCTCATCTTTATTTTTGTTTCCTCTTTATGTAACATCTTATTATTTTCCTCTGGCTGCTCTAATATTTTGTGTCTATTATTGATTTCTTTAACAATTTGATTATGATATGTCTTAGTGTTTTGTTTCATGCTTCTTTTGCTTGGGGGTTTGTTGAACTTCTTGGATCTGTGAGTTTTTAGTTTCAATTAAGTTTGCAATGTTTTCAACTGTCATTTCTTCAAATATTTGTTCAGTTGCCTCTCCTCTCCTCTGGCAACTCCACTGCACGTGTATTAGGCCAGTTGAAGTTGTCTCAGAATTCACTGATCCTCTTTTAATTAAAAATTTTTTTTCCAGACAAGCGTGGTGGCTCACACATGTAATCCCAGATTTTGGGAGGCCGAGGCAGGTGGATCACATGAGCTCAGGAGTTCAAGACCAGCCTGGTCAACATGGCAAAACGCCATCTCTACTAAAAAAACACACAAAAAAATTAGCCAGGTGTGATGGCACACACCTGTAATCTCAGCTACTCAGGAGGCTGTGGCAGGATAATTGCTTGAACCTGGGAGCCGGAGGTTGCAGTGAGCCAAGATTGCACCACTCTACTCCAGCCTGGGCAACAGAGTGAGATTCTATGTCAAAAAAAGAAAAAAAAAATTGTTTTTCCTCTCAGTGTTTTTATTTTGGATAGTTTCCATTGCCATGGTTTCAAATTTACAGATCTATTTTTTTGCTATGTCTAATCTACTATTAATCCCATCAATTTTTTAAATTTTTGATATTGTAGTTTTTTATTTACAGAAGTTCAATTAGAGTATTTTTGTTAAATCATTTTTCTCTACTTAACTTTTTGAATATCTGGAATATGGTTATAATTGCTCAATGTACTCGTCTACTAATGATAACATCTGTGTCAGTTTCGAGTCAGTTTTGAATTATTTCCCCCATCATGTGTTATATTTTCCTTATACTTTCTATGTTTGATAATCCTTATCAGATACCACCCGTTGTGGTTACTACCATTTTTGGATACGTGATACTTTGCTTTCCTATAGCTGTTCTTAAGCTTTTCTCTGGGATGCAATTAAGTTGCTTGGGTATAGTTTGAGCCCTTCAGATTTAGATTTCATAATTTGTGAGGTGGATCTGGAGCAGTGTTTGGTCTGCGGCTAATTATTTCCCACCGCTAAGACAGAATGTTCATGAGTATTCTGCCCAGTGTTCAAAAATGTGTTTTCTCCCTGGCTGGCTGGTGGGAGGGAACAGCTAATAGTCTTGACACTTGGTGAACACTGTGTGCTTTTCTCTGATCCTTTCAGATGTTTTCGCCCCTCTGGCATTGAGTAGTATCTTCACATGCTGTCACGATCAATACTGTGTGAATATTGACAGAACCCCGTCCAGATCCCAGGATTCTCTCTCTGTACAACTATCTCTGCTGGTTCTCTGTCCTGTAAACTCCAGCTGCCTTGCTATCCCTGGACTCTCATTTCCATCTTCTTGCCTAAAGGAGTCCACCAGCTTCTACCTGGGTTCTCCCTTCCTGTGCCACAGTCTGGAAACTGTCTCAAGACAGTGAGCTGGGGCAAAAATAGGGCTCCACTAATTTGTTTCCCATCTCTTGGAGGTCACTGTGCTTCATTGCCTGATAACCAACGTCTTGCAAACTGTCATTTAATACATTTTGCTGTTCTTGTTTGTGTGTGTTCATACTGGTTTCAGGCAGGTGGCAAAATGTGTCCACCTTAAGTCAAAATCTGACTCCATCTTAAGCAGAAACAGTTTTCTTCCAGCAGTGTATCCTTGCCAGGTATACTGAATAATCACAAAATGTTTTGCTGATGCAAAAGTGAGATGCTGGGAGGTTAAAGGCCTCACCACAGAGCCATCTCCCCGTGATGCTACCTCCTGGAGGAAGGGCATGCACTTTTCGTGTCTTTGCGAGAGAAGTTTTAGTAGAATCTTTCCATCCTGGCACGTTACTTGGCTATAATTACATTACAAATGCTAATGGGAGTTATAATCACAATTATGCTAATCTCTGTGTTTAGTGCCTACTGTTGCAAGCAATTATGGCCAATGAGCTCAATTTGTAAGTTAGCATTTATTAAAGTTAGCCACTGAAATATTCTGTCTTAGGCAGACTGCCTCTAACATTTTTGACTAAAGTGATTTACTTAAACAATTTCCTAATAGGGAATAAGTACTTACAAAAAGGCTTTTCATCTTCATTTTCCTTTGATGAAACAGAAAGGAAAACATGCCTGGAGTCAATGTTTTGGCCTGTCTATTAGATAACAAGGGCTCTGTGAAGTTCTTTAAAAATATTTCAGAGAAAGTTTTCTGAACAAACTGCCCAGCTCTGGCTCAGAGCTCTTACAGGAACTGTAGAGGAATTGATGAGGAGAAACCTCACATCCCAAATGGCAGCAAATAAGAGACTTGGCAGCCTGTGTAGGCAGTGGAAGACAATTAGGACAGGAAATTAAACACACACACGATCTCTTTATATTTACGTTTCATGCATTTATCTGGGAGTCCATCAAAAGCAGATATGTTAAATGGATGTAGAACTAGACAGGCAAGATTCTAAAGCATACATTTTTCTCATTGCTAAAAGGAGAACTGTAACTGAGATGGTCTTGAGGGCGTTTGCTTTTTCCAGGAGTTGATAATTTTCTGATCATCAACTCCAGGGTCCAGGACCTCATGCTGGCCTGAGCTTCTCAGGGCCCACCTTGGGGTACCCAGCAGGACTTATTACAGTGGAGCCTGGCATCTACCAACATGTGACCTTCTCTCCCAGTTTCTGTGCTCCATGTCTTTAAGGCCTGATGGTTCTTCTTGGTTTATCTGATCAACGAATACAAGGAAGGCACTGCTTGTATTGTGGGTGCGCTGTGGGGCACAGGCAGGAAATGCACAAGATAACCCCTGAGCACTTCCAGCCTGTGTCCTGCCCAGCGCACCTGCAAGGGGAGGGAAGAAAATCATAGAGCTGTTATTTATATTTATTTTTATTTCATTATTTTCTTATTTATATTTCATAATGTTTATAATATATTAGGTATAGTAATATGAACGTGTGATTCAAACATATATACGTACAATAATACACCCATCTAATTTATACACAGTTAACCCTAAACTTGCCCTAATTGTGTAAATCTCCTTTCTAGGTATTCTATCAATTTGTCGTCTTTTTTTTTTTTTTTTTTTTGAGACAGAGTCTCACTCTGTTGTCCAGGCTGGAGTGCAATGGTGCCCCCTTGGCTCACTGCAACCCCTGCCTCCTGAGTTCAAGCAATTCTCCTGCCTCAGCCTCCCAAGTAGCTGGGATTACAGGTGCATGCCACCATGCCCAGCTAATTTTTGTATTTTTAGTAGAGATGGGATTTCACCATGTTGGCCAGCCTGGTCTTGAACTCCTGACCTCAGGTGATCCGCCCGCCTCGGCCTCCCAAAGTGCTGGGATTACAGGTGTGAGCCGCCACGCCTGGCCAATTTGTCTTCTTGAAGACAACTCTGTCAGAGCCTCCGAACCTGTGCCAATCTGGGTTTCTGGCTCTCTGGGTTTGCCGTATACCTGTCGCCTTATGCTGTCTCTTGGCCAACATTTGGGAATGATCGTTGCTTCTTTCTCTCTTTAGTTGCATGGATCTCGTATCTTGCTTTCTCTGGGTATATTTCTGGCATATCTAGCTTCCTGAGAAAAGAGTAAAAGGAAGGTGTGGTGTTATGATATATATCGGTTTTTGTCCCCAGTTCCTGGCTCATAAGTCCCATAGCCCTTGTTAGTCATTTGTTATAATTCTGGTTTGTGTTAGGCCTCAGGAAACAGAATCTCTCCAACCTTCTCCTGCCCTCCTTTCATCTGCCCCAAGGCAGGACTCTAATCTTCCCCACCTTTCTGATGTGGGTCTTTAGATTCTCCTCAGAAAGGGTCCCACCCAATACCCCGGGGGAAGGCCTGCTGACATGAAGTTTGACGAAAAATCCAAGAAGACAGGGTTCAGTGAGCTTCTGGGTGGCTGAACACAGGGAATTTTCTGGAGGGTGGCACCCAGGGAGGGCATGGAAGCTCTGCACCCCTTCTGTCCTACCTCACCCTATGCATCTCTTCATCTGTATCCTTTGTAATACCTTTTATAATAAACCAGTAAATGTAAGTAAGTGTTTCTTTCAGTCCTGCGATTTGCTCCCACAAATTAATCCAACCCATAGAGGAGGTGGTGGGAACCCCAACTTGAAGCCCATTGATCAGAAATTCCAGAGGCCAGGCATGGTGGCTCACATTTGTAATCTCAGCACTTTGGGAGGCCGAGGTGGGTAGATCACATGAGGTCAGGAGTTTGAGACCCGCCTGGCCAACATGGTGAAACCTGGTCTCTACTAAAAATACAAAAATTAGCTGGGTGTGGTGGTGGGCACCTGTAGTCCCAGCTACTTGGGAGTCTGAATCAGGAGAATCACTCAAACCTGGGAGATGGAGGTTGCAGTGAGCTGAGATCATGCCACTGCACTGCAGCCTGGGTGACAGAGGGAGACTCCATCTCAAAAAATAAAAAAATAAAATAAAAAGAAGTTGCAGAGACCTGGATTTGCAACTGGAGGAGGGGCAGTCTTGTGGACTGAGCCCCCAACCTGTGGGATCTGACATTATCTCTGGGTAGACAGTGTGGGAACTGAATTGGAGGACACCCAGCTGGTGTCCACATATTTGTTACAGAAGTCTTCTGTGTTGATGATTGTTGTGGTGGTGTGAGTAGAGGGGAAATGTGGTATGAGTTTTTCTCTACACAGAAGGAATCCTTAAAGACTTTGTACATTTGAAAAAAAAAACTTTGGTGTTTTTTCACATTTAATCAATAATTTGGCTGGATATGGAAATCACTTTCCCTTAGAAATTTGAAGGCATTGCTCCCTTCTCCTCTAGCTTCTAGTTGTTGTTGAGGAAATTGAGGCCATTCTGATTCTTGATCTTTTGGATAAAACCTTTTTTATTTCTCTTTTCGTGTTGGAAATTTGTCAGATGTTTTCCACAGCTTCCCTCTAAAGAGTAACCACCATGATGACTTCTTGCACCTCCAGCCCTTGGTGAATGTTTTATGGTGGAATCACAGGGTATGTGCCCTTTTGTGCCTGGCTTCCTTCACTTATCATCCTGTTTGTGAGGTGCATCGCAGTGTACAGCAGTGACTACTCAGTCTCATTGTGGTATGAAAATCTATTGTAGGCTGGGCACGGTGGCTCATGCCTGTAATCCCAGTACTTTGGGAGGCTGAGGTGGATGGACCACAAGGTCAAGAGTTCGAGACCAGCCTGGCCAACATAGTGAAACCCCATCTTTACCAAATACAAAAATTAGCCGGGCATGGTGGCAGGTGCCTGTAATCCCAGCTACTCAGGATGGTGAGGCAGGAAAATCCCTTGAGCCTGGGAGGCGGAGTTTGCAGTGGGCTGAGATTAAGCCGTTGTACTCCAGCCTGGGCAACAGACAGAGCAAGACTACATCTCAAAAAAAAAAAAAAAAAAAAAGCAATTGTAGAATAAAGCACAATGTATATATTCCAAATGTCCATTGTGTGTATCATCTTATATTTGTTTTATGGATTCAATATATTGTCTTGTCTTTCTGAGAATATTATTAATTAAGCCCAGCATGGTAGCTCATGCCTATAATCCCAACACTTTGGGAGGCCCAGGCAGCAGGATAGTTTGGAGCCAGGAGTTCGAGACCAGCCTGGGCAACAAAGTAAGACTCCATCTCTACAAAAATGAAAATAAATTAGCCAGGCGTAGTGATACCTAAATGTAGTCCCAGCTACTCAGAGGGCCTGAGGTGGGAGGATCGCTTGAGCCAAGGGGTTCGAGCCTGCAGTGAGCTATGGTAACGCCACTGCTTTCCAGCCTGGGTGACGGAGTGAGACCCTGTCTTGAACAACAATAAAAAAATTAGGTGATTTTTTTCTTAGCTCCTGTGTAGTCTTTATTTCCTAAGTTACTTCTAAAAACTGGTTCAAGTCTTTCCTGTGCTTTCCTCAAATGTCTGGTAATCCTTGGCTTTCTGCTTTTATTTATGCTTGAGGCTCTAAAAAGTTGATTGCTAGAGCTCTGTGCTCATGAGTGGGTCTCTAACTGTGGCGTTTGTTTGTAGGGTGATCTGACTACATTATTTTCTTGGAAGACATCCTTAGTGTTGGTATCTTTAATTTTTTCTCCTTCTCTTGAGCTAATTGTATTACTCAGGAAATAAACATTTAAGCTAAGGTATAATCTTGACTCCCAACAGTTTGAGAGCCAACTGGGAGAGGAAGACTGGGGAAACTCAACTTTGGTACTGCAACTGCCTTTGCAAAATTATGACTGAGACAGTGAAAGAGATTTAACTTCATGACTCCATCTTGCTTCTAACGTCCAAGCTGTCCTTGTTCATTCCTGGGTGTAGGCTGAGCTAACTTTGGGAGAAACTTAGTTTATAGTTTATAGTTTAGACTGGGCGTGGTGGCTCATGCCTGTAATCCCAGCTACTCGGGAGACTGAGGCAGGAGAATCGCTTGAAGTGGGGAGGTGGAAGTTGCAGTGAGCCCAGATCATGCCATTGCACTCCAGTCTGGGAAACAAGAGTGAAACTCCATCTCAAAAAAAAAAAAAAAAAAGCAGGCTAACAGATGAGCTGTTTTATGTTTTAAAAAGATTTAAAAAGATAAGAATGTTTTGTCATTGTGGTGAAATGTATTCTGTCTCTCTCTCTCTCTCTTGCCCACATGATCATTAATTTCTTTCTGCAGAGTTCACCTTGAATGCAAATTTGAACACATCTCTCTGATCCTGCCATATGTTTTCTTGGTTGTTGCCATGATTTCATTAGCTATTGTAGAGTTTAGAACCAGCTGATGCTCTAAAAGTGATTTCTGATGCTGGAACTTATAAGATACAACTACCTTTAACTTTATTTAAAAATTAGAATCTATGTAGAGAAGGTAGGCATGCAGGTGTTAACTCTTTCCTATCCTATAATACTGGGAATGGCAAATGGAATGAGTTGATTTTTTTCCCCCAATTCCAGTGGCCAAAACTGAGCACGACTGAACAACTAAAAAATGAGCCGGGAGTACTGTAGAATTGCATAATCAAGGCAAGCAATTAATATTAATAGTGTGATCTTTACAGTTTTGACAATGTGAAATAAACTTAGTAATTTTTTTTTGTTTTGTTTTGGTTTTTGAGACGTAGTCTCGTTCTCTGGCCAGGCTGGAGTGCAGTGGCACAATCTCAGTTCACTGCAACCTCCACCTCCTGAGTTCAAGTGATTCTCCTGCCTCAGCCTCCTGAGTAGCTGGGATTACAGGCACATGCCACCAGGCCAAGCTAATATTTCTATTTTCAGCAGAGATTGGGTTTCACCATCTTGGCTAGGCTGGTCTTGAACTTCTGGCCTCAAGTGCTTCACCCACCTCGGCCTCCCAAAGTGCTGGGATTACAGGCACGAGCCACTGTGTCTGGCCGGCAAGCCGACTTTAAAGACAGGGAAAGTATACTGATAATATAGGACAGGATTTCTTGCTTCAGGACCAGTTATTGTATTGCGGATTCTTGACGCATTTCTGCACCATGCATAAATAATCCACCTATCGGTCATAAATTGACTCTATTAAGAATAGTATAATAAATCAATGAAATAAAAACAAAGAAATCCACAGTCATACACTTTTCATGAGACTATCGTAAGGAAATGAGAGGGTTGTGATCTGGCCAGGTGAAGTTAGAGCTATCATGAGATGCCTCGAATGCATTGTGAGATGCACTAACAAATGCAGCAATTCAGAATTATTGCAGCGACTGGGAACTAGCCACTTTTGCCAGAAATGCTGTCACATCAGGTGGGGAATACTTTGCTCTTTTTTTTTTTTTTTTGAGACAGAGTCTGGCTCTGTTGCCCAGGCTGGAGTGCAGTAGTGTGATCTGTGCTCACTGCAACCTCTGCTTCCTGGGTTCAAACAATTCTCCTGTCTCAGCCTCCCGAGTAGGTGGGATTACAGATGCTCACCACCACGCCCGGCTAATTTTTGTATTTTTAATAGAGACGGGGTTTCACCATGTTGGCCAGGCTGGTCTCGAACTCCTGACCTCAGGTCATCCACCCGCCTCGGCCTCCCAAAGTGCTGGGATTACAGGTGTGAGCCACTGCACCTTGTCATCACTTTGCTCTTTTCTACAGATCAAGTGACCTTTCAGGACGTGAAAGGTCCTCATGCTTTTTAGGGTCAACTGGGCACCCCTGGCTGAGGCACATTCCAGCAGACTAAAGTCAAGTTGTCTTTCACCTCAGCACACAACCAAGAGAACAAGTCCTGGCATCATGAATGTGACACAGCTCTCCTTGTGTTTGGGGAAAAAAAAAAAAAAGAATTGAATCTGGGCCTGTTAATAATGCAGTCCACCGGTTTGTGCCCAAGACGTTGAATCTGAGAGTAGTGGCCATTTCCGAAAGATGATCTGAGCCTAAAGGAACTACATAACCTTTCCCCCTGCTTGTCTTTGAAGACCCAGTTACCTTGAAGTCACCTCTTTATACCAGCAGCAACACCCCAGTCTCCATTCACAAATTATCTCCGATGCAGCCTCCCTGGGAAAACTTAAAAGCCTATTTAACAAGAGGAGCCTGCTGCCAAGAAGTTGGCTTGGGAGAATGGCGGTAATTAAATGATGTTAATATTTAGGCTCTTGCCGGTATAACAAAGCCTCCTTTCTTTGTCTCAGGTGGGGACATGTTAGCACATTGCCTCTGTCTGGGAAAGGAGGCGAGCAAGGGAGGAAAGAGACTATTGTGGGGGTGTGAGAAAGGGGAAGAGGGGAGCAGCGAGGCAGGGAGGGGAGGCTGACTTCTGAGATCTGAAAGAAGAGATTGATGCTGGGAGAGAGAGAAGCTTAATGTTGATATTCATCAGAGATGAGCCCCTTGGCATTGCAGCCTGAGACTTATCAGAAAAGGTGAGAAGGAACAAAGCTACCTTCTTTGTTAAATGGTTTATTGTCTGTGAGAGGAGGGGCAGGGAGCAGTGCAGGGTTTCGGGGAGAGGCCAAGGGAAAGAAGAATAAAGAGAACTGTCCTAGGAATTTCGCACTTTGTACTTGGCTAGAGCCAGGAGGCTGCTAAATTCTCAGCAGTAGCCTCAGTTCCAGTCTTGCAGTGGTGAGAAGAAAGGACTGGGAAGATGGAAATTGGAGTTCCAATAACCAGCATTTCCTCTTTCTAGTTCTGTGATCCCTTGTGAGTTGTGAAACAATCAATCACATCTCTAGGAATGGGGAGTTGCCCCTCGCTGGCCAGACTCCCCCGCTGCCATGTGCACTAACAGAGGGCGACCCTACCATCCTGTTGGTCTGGGTGCATGAACACGTCTGTGCTGTTTTGTCTGCTCCAGCGTGTGCTTGTCTCATGATTTGAGTTGATCCAGAGGTCGGTGTGATGGATGTATCCTGCACATCTAATAAATAAGTAAATTCGTGCCACTTCCTTTAGCTAAAGCAATTTCATCTGTTCAGCCCACAAAGAGGATAAATGGAATGCACAGCTCAGGGCTCAGGGCCAGGATTCCAAACATGTGGGAAAGAGCCTGTATTCCTCGTTCACTGCTGCCTGAGTTGGATAGACTGCATCTAGGAAGCCTGAATCCAGATCAATCTCTCTCTCTCTCTCTCGTTCTCTCTCTCTCTCTCTCTCTCTGTTAGAATTTAACTCTGGTTGAGACGATCTGAACCTTAGAGGATTATTGTGCAGTCAAAGACCAGGTTGCTGTTTGCAGCTTCTTTCAAGATTCTCTGTGTTGGAGTTAAGAATGAGTAGGGTGGTGGGGCAAGAAAAGAGGAGAGACATTTAGCTAGAGCATCTTCTTTTACTGAAGAAAAATACATTTGGCCTGGCCTTGGTTTCGGATCCAGGATTGCTTACTTTTTGTTTAAGCGTGGGGAAAAGAAGTTGGAAAATTCCACCACTGGAGGACTAGGGTAGGGATGAGGAGGTATAAAGAAAAGAGGAAGCAGTGGGTCCTTCCTTATGCTTCAATTATTGTATTTTTTTCTGATTATAAATGTAGAGAATATTATAGAGAAATTATAAAATATAGAAGAGTCCAAGGAAGGAATTTAAGATGCTCGTAATAGCAACATTAAAGGATAAACACTGATATATTTTGGATATTTGTCCCTGCCCAAATCTCGTGTTGAATTGAAATCCCCAATTCTGGAAGGAGGGCCTAGTGGGAGGTGTTTGGGTTGTGAAGGCGAATTTCTCATGGTTTTGTGCTGTCTTTGAGAGAGTGAGTGAATTCTCATGAGATCTGGTTGTTGTCTTTGAGATAGTGAGTGAGTTATTGTGAGATCTGGTTGTTTAAGAGTGTGAGGCACCTCCTCTTGCTCTCTCTCTTGCTCTTGCTCTAACCATGTGATGTACCTGTTCCCACTTCACATTCTACCATGAGTAAAACCTCCCTGAGGCCTCCCCAGAAGCCGACCAGATGCTGGCACCATACTCGTACAGCCTACAGAACTGTGAGCCAATTGAACCTCTTTTCCTTATGAATTACCTGGTATTCATTGGTATTTCTTTATAGCAATGCAATAATGGCCTAATAAAAAGAGTATTAACCTTTTGGAGAATCTCATCATTTTATTACAGTTTTATATGCTGCTTTTTTTTTTCCTCCTAGTAAGTATTTTGTGGGAATCTTCCAAGGACATTGCAAAATCTGCAAAATCATGTTTTTTTAAAAAGCAGTTGATTAGTACTTCACTGACGGGTAAAATATAATTTATTTAAGCATTTCCGCATGCTGGGCACTAAGGCTGCTTTCTTTCCCGTTACACAAGAAAAGCTCCAATGTACACCTTTGTACACACATTGTGTTTGTGCAAATACATAATTATTTTTTGAAAATGTGTTCTTAGAAGAATTATTAAACTAATTCTTGATTCTCTTCCAAATCCTAGCAGGCAGAAGTGTTTTGGAGAACAGCCTTAGCATTACCCAGAGGGGCTCTAACAGCTCAGCTTTGGAACAGAGGGCATCTCATGTGCTTCTCAGGCTCACTTGAGTGTAGGTGTGTGTGTGTGCTGTGTGTTTGTGTGTGCTGTGTGTTTTGTGTGTGTGCTGTGTGTTTGTGGTATGTATGTATGATGTAGTGTGTGATGTGTGGTGTATGTGTGTGCATGGTGCATGGTGTGTTTGGTGTGTGTGGTTTGTGTGTGTGGTGTGTGTATTTGGTGTGTCTGTGTGGTGTGCAAGGTGTGTTTTTGTGGTGTGTGTATAGTGTGTGTAGTATGTAGTGTATGTGGTATGTGTGTTTATGTGTGTGTGTGATGTGTGTATATCATATGTGTGGTATGTGGTGTGTGTACTGTGTGTGGTGTGTATGTGTGTGTGGTGTGTGTATATGGTGTGTGTGGTGTGTGGCATGTGTGGTATGTGTGCATTTGTGTTGCTACGTGTTGTGTGTGTGGTATATGTGTATTTGTGTGTGGTTTGTGTGGTGTGTGTGGTTTGTGTGTGGTGCGTGTGATATGTGTGTTTGATGTGTGTGTATGTGGTGCATATGTGTGTTTTTTGTGTGTGTGCTAGTGTGTGTTTGGGTAGGAAAGAAGAAGGTGCTGTAGCCTTGCATCAGGTGGTCCCTTGAATTTCTGTGACCTCTGACTTGCCTGGATTCTGGAACAAATCTCCCACAGCTGTGCACCTCCTCAGAGTGAGTGGATGATCCCCTGAGGTGTGACCCCCACCCCCGAGATGTGACCCTCCCTGAAATGTGGACCCCTCTGGTGTGATCCCCTGAGGTGTGAACTCCTGCAGTGTGATCCTGTGAGGTGTGATCCCCTGAGGTGTGAACCCCTGCAGTGTGATCCTCTGAGGTGTGATCCCTTGAGGTGTGAACCCCTTAGGTGTGATCCCCTGAGATGTGAACCCCTGTGGTGTGATCCTCTGAGGTGTGAACCCCTGTGGTGTGATCCCCTGAGGTATGATCCCCTGAGGTGTGAACCTCTGTGGTGTGATTCCCCTGAGGTGTGAATCCCTGAGTTGTGAATCCTTGCGGTGTTATCACCTGAGGTATGAACCCTGAAGTGTGATCTCCTGGGGTGCTAACCCCTGTGGTGTGATTCCCTTGGGGTGTGAACCCCTGAGGTGTGATCCCCTGAGTTATGAACCCCTGTGGTGTGATTCCCTGAGGTGTTAACCCCTGCGGTGTGATCCCCTGAGGTATGATCCCCTGAGGTGTGAACCACTGTGGTGTGATTCCCCTGAGGTATGAATTCCTGAGTTGTGAATCCTTGCGGTGTTATCACCTGAGGTATGAACCCTGAAGTGTGATCTCCTGGGGTGTTAAACCCTGTGCTGTGATTCCCCTGGGGTTTGAACCCCTGCAGTGTGATCTCCTGAGGTGTGAACCCCTGTGGTGTGAACCCCTGAGGTGTGACCCAAGGGGTGGATTTGGGGTATGGCCTGGGATTGCTGGGCGATATGGAAGAGGGGAAGGTTCAGGGTTTCTTAATTTTCTCAGGTAGATGGGAAGCATCTTCTCAGTTCCCTGGGGACTATCAGAGACCACCATTCCCCCATTCTTCCCTGGCTCCCTTGGCACATTTGAATCAGACCTTTGAGATCTCACTATGGCCTTTGTGGGAAAGGCTGTATGAACATAAATGGGTGTCCAGCCTGGGGGCCAGGTGAGGGAAGGCAGAGGCAGAGGGTGGCAGTGCCCCACCAATGTCCAGAGGAGAGCAACACCCTCATGTGGACCACCCAGTGAGAAGGCTTGACCACAGTGGGGTAAGTGAGGCCACTGTGTCGTGCTGCATCTGGCTTCACTCCATGCTCATGACGCATCCTTCTGATTAATGTCAGGAGGCAGTGGCTCTGGGCCCTTGGTAGGCAATGGGGTATTTTTGTTGCTGGAAAGAAACATCCCTTGGTAGAAATGAATACATTGACACTTGGCTTTCCATACTGGAGCGTGAGTGAGTCAGCCTCCCTGCGTCTGTGTCCACCGAGGGCACTGCAGGGCTAGGGGCAGCTTTGATTGTGGTAGAGGCACTGGGGCCCCTGTGGGAGCCTGGAGGTGCTTCTGCCACCCTCTCATGGGGACTCTGTAAACCTCTTGGTGTTACAGCTTGTGCTTCTCTCATGCTGGCTGCCAGCCCACAGAGATGTGTTTTCCAGGCCACACAGGCATTGGCTCGCCTCTTTTTGGTGATTTGGAACTGACATCACAGTCCTCTGACTCCAGCTCTAACACTGGCTGGTCCACATATACGCATCATCTATATGCACATGAAAGCTGTCATTATTCCTTCTGCTATGGAACCTGAATTACTGACAGCTGTAGTGTTGCTTCTGTCCTCAGATGGGTGCAAACAGTTCCTGACTTACAATACTTTTGACTTAAAATTTTTTGATTTACAATGGTGTGAAAATGACATGCATTTAGTTCACCCCCCAACTTATGATTGGGTTGTATCTGGATAAACCTATCAAAAGTTGAAAATACTGTGAGTCAAACACACATTTTCTGTTTCTTTCTTTCTTTCTTTTTTTTTTCTGTTGCCCAGGCTGGAGTGCAGTGGCACAATGATAGCTCAATGTAACCTCAACTCCTGGGCCCAAGCAATCCTCTCACCTTAGCCTCTCATGTAGCTGGGACTGAAGATGTGTGCCACTACACCTGGGTAATTTTTTTAAATTTTTTTTAATTTTGTAGAGGTGGTAGGGGGTCTTACAATGTTGCCCAGGCTGGTCTTGAACTCTTGGCCTCAAGCTATCCTCTTGCCTTGACCTTCCAAAGTGCCGGGATTGCAGGTGTCAGATGCTCAGCCCATGCTTTCAATTTTTAATATTTTCCATTTACAGTGGGTTTATCCAGACATAACCCCAGAGTAAGTCCAGGAGCATCTGTATATGTAAATATAGAACTGTTGAATTCTATCCCCTTTAAAATTTACATATCAAAGTCTTGGCCATTTATGGTGGTTCACGCCTGTAATCCCAACACTTTGGGAGGCCGAGGCACATGGATCACTCGAGGTCAGGAGTTTGAGACCAGCCTTGCCAACATGGCAAAACCCTGTCTCTACTAAAAATACAAAAATTAGCTGGGCGTGGTGGTGTGCGCCTGTAGCTCCAGCTACTTGGGAGGCTGAGGCGCAAGAATCGCTTGAGTCCTGAAGGTGGAGGTTGCAGTGATCTGAGATTGTGCCACTGCACTCCAGCTGGGTGAAAAAGAGAGACTCGGTCTCAAAAAAAATAAAAAATAAAAAATAAAAAAAAAAAGTCCTAACCCCCAATATGTCAGGACGTGACCTTATTTGGAAACAGGGTCACCACAGATATGGTTAGTTAAGATGAGTTCACACTGAAGTAGGGTGGGCCCCTAATTCATTATGACTGGTGTCCTTATAAAAGGAATGGCAAGTAAGGGGGCATAGTACCCAGGGACAACTCCATGTGAAGACCGGAGTTAGGGTGCCTCAAGTCAAGAAACGACCAGAAGTGAGGAGAGAGACGGGGAACAGATCTTTCCCTAGTGCCTTTGCAGGGAGCACGGTTCTGCCAATACCTTGATCTCAGATGTCTAGCCTCTAGGACTGTGAGAGAATAAATTCCTGTTGTTTGCAATATCTTGTGATGGCAGCCCTAGGACCGTCATACACCAATAGCTCAGAAACTTGGTGGATCTTTGAATACCTCTGTTTTATACAGAAAGGCAGGCCAGAGTCATACCTATTTTATAGATGGGGAAACTGCATCCCAGATAAATGAAATGATTTATTTGAAATTACTTTCTTACAAAATGCTTTAAAAGAAAAAAAACAGAGAAATGTTAACTAGGGCAACATACAAATTGTCTGCCAACTGTTAAGCTCATATCGAATGCTCCTGACCACTTTAAGATTAGGCCTTTGGGATCCCTGTTTTTAGAGATGGAGTGGCCACAGATGAGTAGCCCATCATGGGGTGTTCAGCAGTGCACCAAGCCAGGACTCACTAGAATGCTGAAGAATCCATGAATAATCCATTTATTTAAAACCTGCCAAAAGGGAAGGGTGTGTACACCTAAAGTATTTATTTTTGTGCCACGAAATGCCAAAGAATGCTTTGATTTTTTTTTCTTACGTAGTTTTCACCCTGAAGAAGGAACTCTCTGGGCTCTTAAATTCACATGTAAATACCTGGATCAGAATCACATTTTTAGAGCCCAGTCAAGAGGTGTTAAACTTTCAAGACTCTGAAAAAACAAGCTGCAAAGTACAGAGGACAGAGCAGGGCTTTGGAGTCAAGAGATGCCTTTGGGGTTCCAGCTCTGCTCTCCCTAAGGGCATGGCCCTGGGCAAGGTGCATTAATGTCTCTAGGTCTTATCTCAAAAATGGGATGACCAATCACGCCTAGTTCCAGAAGGTTCCAATGGAATAATCTCTATGGAAGTGCTGTATAAAGGGCAAAGTCACTAAGCAGCACAGGTGTTTGGGTTTTAGGATGAAAAGAGGATAGCTCAGAATTTCGAGGCAGTGTGGCACCAGGGAGCACCCAGTGTCAACCCTTGAGTTCAAAAGGAAGAGGGGCTGGCCAGAGTTCAAAAGGTAGGTTGGCCAGAAGCTCTGAGATGGATTTCTGACTTGGTGAAGAGGATAATGAAAATGGAAAGCCTTTATGGGGGGGCCAACACTGAATTTTTTTTTTTTTTTTTTTTGCAAAATATGTCATGTATGTTTATTTTAATGGCGATAGGGGTCTATGACCAATCCATTCTCCCTCCAAAGAGTTAGGTGCCTTTTCTTTAGAAAAGGTGCAGAGGGGGGGCTCACATACAATGGTAAGGGGGCAGTGAGCTGGAGTACCTTGAAAGACGTGCACATGATACACTTTGAGATCTCCATTCATCAAATCTAATCAATAATCCCCTCTTCCCACTTTCTTTTTTTTGAGATGGAGTCTCACTCTGTCACCTAGTCTGGAGTGCAGTGGCGCCATCTTGACTCACAGCAACCTCTGCCTCCCAGGCTCAAGCGATTCTCTTGCCTCAGCCTCCCCAGTAGCTGGAATTACAGCTACATGCTACCATGCCCAGGTAATTTTTTTTTTTTTTTTTTTTGAGACCGAGTCTCGCTCTGTTGCTCAGGCTGGAGTGCAGTGGTGTGATCTCGGCTCACTGCAACCTCCGCCTCCCAGGTTCAAGTGATTCTCCTGCCTCAGCCTCCCTAGTAGCTGGGATTACAGGCGTGTTACACCAAATTCAGCTAATTTTTTTTTTTTTTTTTTTTTTTTTTGTGATAGGGTCTTACTCTGTCGCCCAGGCTGGAGTGCAGTAACTCTCTCTTGGCTTACCACAACCTCTGCCTCCTGGGTTCAAGAGATTCTCCTGCCTCAGGCTCCCAAATAGCTGGGATTACAGGCACCTGCCACCATGCCTGGCTAATTTTTGTATTTTTAGTAGCAACGAGGTTTCACCGTGATGGCCAGGCTGGTCTCAAACTCCTGACCTCAGGTGATCCACGTGCCTTGATCTCCCAAAGTGCTGGGATTACAGGCATGAGCCACCGCACCCAGCCCTAATTTTTGTACTTTTAGTAAAGACGGGGTTTTGCCATATTGGCCAGGATGGTCTTGAACTCCTGACCTCTAGTGATCATCCCACCTCAGCCTCCCAAAGTGCTGAGATTACAGGCATGAGCCACCGTGCCCAGCCCCTTCTTCTCACTTTCTCCACTTTACTCAGCACCCACAATGCCTCTCCTGCCCGCTTTCTATGACTAATTTTCCCCCTCAAGACTTCACCTGTGTTGTCTGGGGAGGAGTAGGAGGTGATACTAGAATAGGAAGTGTCATCTGCGTCATGTGTACCCCCTGGCCCCCTTACTTGGAGTTGGTTGTCCTCTGTACACCGATAAGAGACTCTGAAGGAGTGACCAATGTCAGAGTGGTACTGTGAGGCAGTCAGACTGCCGCTCCCATCCTCCCAGGAAGATGTGAGGGAAGGAACCTGAACACAGATGTTTGTGCATTTGTCTGGGAGTTAGGAGGATGAAGGCTGGAGGCAGAGTGTGTAGGAGGAGGGAGGAGAAGAAGGGAAGTGAGAAGCTGTGACTGACTTTGAAAGAACTGGGTTGTTGGACCTCATACATTCTCAAGGGCTGGGAAAGCAGACGTGAATGTCCTCGAATTTAGCTAATAGAGAACATCGATTTCCTTTATGCAGCTCAGCCAAATGCATTTAACTTCTACTTAAATATTGCCAGCAAGTATTTTTCAGTTCTTACAATAAAATCCTCTTTTTAGGTCACCTTTCAAATTTCCTGGCTGTCCCTTAGAGGGGCTGCATTCAGAGATAATGTCTTAATTCAGCAAGACATCTGACTTAATTACACTGCTAATATGCATTTCTTCCTTCCTCTTTTAGAGAAATAGAGAGGAAGACAAACCCTCATTTTCTAGAACTATTTTCTTGTCCTGTGTTTTAGCACTACTGTATATATATGATGCCCTCTCTGAAAGCTTGCCTCTAGGTTTACCTGTCCACCAACCATTTAGCCAGGCCCAATGTCAATAGCAGAAAAGCAGTGGATTAATAACAAGAGAAACAACAAGAGCAAGAAGAAAGCGTATTCTTCTTTGTTAGTTCTCCTGGCTGCACTACATCATAATTATGGTTTCATACAGCCTCTGTGTTTTAAAAATTGTGACTTTAGGTGACAGTACAGAAAGCCAGTGATGCTTTCACTCTCATATGCCTCAATGGTAAGATGTATACAGAGTGTGTGAACTGAAAATGGTCAGGAACTAAAGAATATTTTATGATCTAAACTAGTCGTCATTGTTACAGTGCATCTAACAAGAGAACATCTTCAACAGCCCTCCTCCTCCGTGGAAGCTGTCTAGGAAACACATCTCAACAATTCAAGAAATTCTCATACCATGGGTGTTCCTGGCTTCCTGCTATTTTCTCACTCCTGCTCCCCTCAGCCTTCACCCCCACCCTAATGAATATTCAGTCTGCATCCTTCAACCAGGATTTTGAATAGGATGCTTCCTGTTTTTCCTATTAAAGATTAACTGTTGTCCTGGGTAAGAGACTGTTTAGTGAAAGCTGGCAGCTGGGAATTCCTGTTTATTTTTTATTATGACCCTGGTTCTGGGGACAACATATATCTCAAAGTTACAAATAAGGCCTTGTATATTCCGATGGCTCTGTTAGTCCTGACTCTGTATTGCATTCTTTTTTTAAAAATCTACATGCCTGTCCCATCTCACTGTGAGCAATTCAAAGGCAGGAATTAAGTCTTATTAATTTCTCTCTTCCGTTGCCCAGCATAGTGACCAGAACAGAGCTCAATAAAATGTGTTGAATAGATAAATGGGCTGTTAAGAGAAAAACTTTAGCAGAATTAAATTTAAAGGAGTTTAATTGAGCAATGAATGATTCACGGATCAGGCAGCCCCCAGAATTACTGCAGATTCAGAGAGGCTCCAGGGGTACCTCATGGTCAGAACAAAAAAAGGGAAGTGACGTACAGAAATCAGAGGTGAGGTGCAGAAACAGGTGGATTGGTTACAGCTTGGCATTTGTGTTATTTGAACACAGTCTGAACACTCAGCACTGTATGAATGGTTGAAGTGTGGCTGCTGAGATTGGCTGAGACTCAGCTATTGTTACAGGCTGTAATCCTAAATTAGGGTTTCAATCTTGTCTGCACACTAAGGTAGGTTGCAGTTCGTCCACAAGGACTCAAATACAGAAGTATGGAGTCCTTCCCAGGCCATATTTAGTTTGCTTTAACAAGGCATAGCAGTGATAAGTTCCAGAGAGAGGTGGTCAGCATGATTCATCACTGTCCTCAGACAAGAAGAGGATGAGGAGGGATGAGAGCCATTTGTGCCTATTTTGTACCTTTTTGGCAAAGTCATGATTACTTAGTCATGTAACATGTAACTTAGCATGACCCATTGGGTACAGAAACTAGGTTTAATTTTTTTATCCAACAGTGAAGTTTTCCATACTTCACTCAAGTACTTAGTAATTGCTGTAGCTTTGCTTCATTGCAGCGGCTTCATAGATCATGGCTGTTGTTCATCGCTTGTGGCGTGCCTGGGAAATCAATAGCTAAAAATGTTTTGTGAACCCTTAGTAGTTGTTACCTGGGTAGGTTTGGAATGTTCCAGGAGAATTAATGAACAATCAGGTGATAGTTTTGTCATTTTACAGGGAATAATAAGCAAATGCGTGTTTGGAAGTGTGATTCTATCAAATCTGTTTATAAATAAGTGCATATTTGCCATTTAAAGTAATTTTTTTATCTGTGACTTGGGCTTCATGGGATTAGCTATAATGACACGTCTGGGAGTCTCCTCACAATTAGAATGAAATCCTCGAGTTTTTTTCCTAAAAACCTTATGGATGGTGTTTTGCATTTGTCATCTGCAAGAAAACATGTAAACACCCTGGTATTTCTTTAGTATTCGTTTTTAAGGGCTGCAAATGGGTTTTACAAACATGATTTCATGAATCCTTAAATAAAGCCTGGGAAACAGTAGATACACTTAACATTTAGCAAAACTCTTCAATAGCTTCTTGCCACCATAGGCATAAATTCCTCCACAGCTCGCCCTTTCTCAGACACTAACCTCCAGTTACACCAAACGATTGCAGGTTTCACCTCATGTGCACTCTCTTGCCTTCAGCCTTTTGTGTATACACTTCTTTCCCCCAGACCCTCCCTCCCCAACTCCTAATCCTCCTTCAAGATGAGAAACTTGAATATCACCTCCTCAGCACAGCTTCCTGATTTCTACACCCAGTTAGGTCCCTTGCTAGTTGCTTCCTCACAGAGGGAATTACACAGAGAAATTAAGGTCCACAATGCAAACATTTCCAGAGTAATCATCACTTTTTAAGTTATTTTCAATGTCAATAGAAAATATTTGAGTTCTGGGCTGTCCTCTTTGTGATAATCCATGTCCTTTTATTTATGTATTTGAATTGATGTTCTGTCCAAAGTTGCTGCCAAAATTACATTTTGGAGGAGCCAGGAAGAGCTTGTCAAACATCTTGATGTGTGGTTTGTATGGTTTCATTTGGTCTGACGATCTTATCTATCCAGAGAAAAAGCAAGTCACACCTCTATCTTTGCCTTCTTTCTCTGGATAGTTTAATATATTATTAATAGTTTGACCATAATTCACATTCCATTTTTAGGAGCATCGGAAGATTATATGACATTTCTGATTTTATTAGAACATTCTTTCATTTAATATTGCTTAAAAAAAACAGCCAGTATGTGGAGGCTGAGAAGCCTTTGGTTATATAAGCTGCTTTATGATGGTTTTATTTTAGTTGTATAACATATTTGTGTTTCTTAATGATATTCAGGACAGCAGAAGGGTCAAGAGAGCAGATTTTGAAGGAAGCCATGCCACGTTCGTTACATAAAGTACTATATCTGAGGCTCAGTTGTCTCATTTATATACTGGAAATGACAATAATATCTATCTCATAGGATTACTATAGGGGTTAAATGTAATAATGAGTTATTACATTAATAAAATGTAATAAAATGTAATATGTAATAAAGAGTTTGATATACAGCTCAAGGTTAGTACTCAGTCAGTGCTAGCTATTTTATTACTCTCTCTCTCTCTCTCTATATATATATATATACACTAACGATGAAGTGGCGTTATTGGGGTAATAATCTGGAGTAAATACCCGAGATTCATTGTCTCACGGCCATGGAAAACTAGGACGCAGGCACACAAAGAGTGAGGTTCAGAATGGAAGTTTAATAGGCAAAAGAAAGAGAGGAGATCTCTGCAGCAGAGAGGCATGCTGGAGAAGTGAGTTGCTGGTTCCACAGTGGAATGCAAGGTTTTTTATAGATGAGCTTGAGGAGGTGGTGTCTGATTTACAGAGGGCATGAAAGATTGGTCAGACCAGGTGTTTCATTTGCATAAGGCGCGAAAAACTGGTTAGGACTCGGTGTGCCATTGCAGGTGGTTCTCTACCTGGCCGGTGCCATGTTGCCTGTTCCTTTACTGTACATGTGGTGACAAAAAAAAGAGAAGATGGAGACTCTATGTTGGACATACCTGGCCTCCAGGTAGCCCTTTTATATTGGCACAGCTGCTGGCATTCACCCATGCAAGTTTCCAGCTTGCTTATTTGTCTGCAGCTCAATTTTTCAGGCTGCTGTTTGTTAGAAAGGAAGTGATTTGGGGCCTGCTTTTTGTTAAAAGGGACATTTTACTGGGGACTCTGCTGCACCTACTATCTGTCTAATAATTTCTTTCTACCTCCTGCATCAGCAAGCAGCTCTTTTTCCTTCCTGATGAAGCAATTTCCTTTTTCAAGTTGACCTCCTGTAGGTGCCACAAAAGTTACAGCAGTCCTAGGGACAGTGAGTTTCATCTCGTTTTCTGTTCCTGTGATGCTAACAAGCTGACCTAAATTCTCTCCGGTCACATGGTCCCATAAGCTCTCTGAGGGTAAGAAGTGTAGCATCCTCATCTTTGGGCTCCCTGTAGCCCATTGTTCAGTGGTACGAGACTGGTCTTTACCATTTGCCTCCGTGCTGGTGTCTTCGTTCTGTTCTTTCAGCATGGTTGGGATGGCCATCTCTCTCCTGCATGGAGCCACCAGCGGACTCATCCTGATCCTAAGGCCCACTGTGTCTTGCCCATAGGTGCTCAATGAATGTTTGTTATTAGGAGCATGCAGATGACAAACATTCCTTTTCAATGAGAGCAGATGAGAAAATAACTGCCTTGTTTTAATCCCAATTTACTTTTCTTCCATTTTATGATCTTGGTAAAAAATGTGAGGAAGGATTTGATCACAATTTTCTTCACTAATTCTTCACCTACCTACCTAACCAATCAACAAAGCCCTCAGGATTCCACACAGGCATCCAGCTCCTACTTTAAGGGACAGCTTAAGTCTTTGTGGTCATTATAACTATTAATGAGTTATTGATTAGCAAACACATCAGTCTGGTATTCAAGCAAGGGCTGCTGATGGAATCGTAAAAGGAAAGATGTTTTAAAAGTTCTATTATGACTGCTGAAACAGATTACATTGGACATCTTTGGTTCTCATTAATTACAGCCATGGTGGACACAATTCTAGAGAATCTCCTGCCTACAGAAGTAATGGAGGAAAAGCCCTCATGGATACATATAGATTTTGTTAATTTCCACCCCTTCTTCAAGAACTCATCACCTGTAAGAGCCAATGAAAACAAATCTATCCATTTATCTATCTATCTTTCTGTTTTTTTTTTTGTTTGTTTTTTTTTGCCACTTGCCAGTCAACAATGACTCCTGCTCCTGATTGCGTAATTGTTTTGAAACTTTCCTCAGGCCTAAGATAGAAGCCTCCACACGCCTTCCCATCTTCTCTGTCTCTCACCATTTATTATATGACATCACAGAGGGACACTCCTCTTAGAGTAACAGATTCTGATTTTTATTTGTCATTTACTATTGTGTGAAAAGAATTCAGAAGGAAGTCAAACTAGCCACTTTTTCAGTCCATAGGGGTCTGAGTGCTATAATCCTGGTTCTCAATTTCCCGTCTGTTGAAGAACTTGCAGGTCACTGGGTGAGACTTAAGCATCCCTAGAGCTGTGACATTTTTTCGTCTGCGTGTAGGAAAAACTGGAAGAGGCCCCCAAAGTTTATAATACCTGAAAGACAAAGTTCCTTAAAACTTTCATTCTGCTAGGACAATGAAAAACCCTCCCATGGAAATACTTGACTTGGATATCATTATCTATTTAGATGGTAAAGTTGTGGGTGCTATGATTTATAACATGAGAGCTGCTTCCTGGGCCAAACTTTGAGTTTGTTTATTAATCCTGGAAACCATTATAACCAAGTTAATAGGAAAAAGGAGATCCCTGAACTCCGTGTACTTGGAAGTTCCTGAAAGCAGCTCAGAGTTAGTAACTGGCTGCCCCCAGGTAAAAATCCATGCAAATAGCAGTGATGAGAAACCTCTCTGGAATGCCCTCCCCCTCCTTCTTTACTTAGTTATTTATGTTCAGTGACTTCCTTAGAATCACGTCCTTTCAAGAAGGATCATTCTAAGAGTATTTTTATTACAGGAAATTTAGAGGCAGAATGCTAAATTTCACAAATATATAAAGATGCAATAAATTTGTCCCTAGCCTAAGGTATGTTCTATTTGCCATGGAATGGGGCTTAACTAAAAGTTAGTCAATTCTGATAACTTGAGGAGAATTCATAATGTTTAAACAGAGGATCTGAGCCAACTTGCAACTAAATCACTTCTTAAAAATTGTTTCAGGCCAGGTGTGGTGGCTTATGCCTATTTGTCCTAGCACTTTGGAAGTCCAAGGTGGAATAATCACCTGAGGTCAGGAGTTCAGAGACCAGCCTGGCCAACATGGTGAAACCCCATTTCTACTAACAATACAAAAATTAGCTGGGCATGGTGGAGGACACCTGTAATCCCAGCTACTCAGAAGGCGGAGGCAGGAAAATCGCCTGAACCCCGGAGCTAAAGTTTGTAGTGAGCCAAGATCGTGCCACTGCACTCCAGCCTGGGTGACAGAGTGAGACTCTGTCTCAAAAAAAGAGAACAAACCAAAAAAGTTTCTTCATCCACCACAAAATGTCTGATTTCATTTGCTGGATTTTCAAATGACTAGTGAAAATGGCCAACATGAATGGAGTTTTCACAGTTAGCCACTGGTAAAGTGAGAATGAGATTTTTCTGCCTTGCCGGCCATGAGGTTGGCATCGTGGTTAATGGGGGTAATCTGTGCAAAGAATTTTGAGGAGTGCCTGGCATACAGATGGTTCTCAAAAATGTTAGGTAGTTTTATCATCATCGTTAATAAATAAATAAGTTCGAATCTATGATCAGTGCTAGAGAAATCTGGTGGTCAATATAAACTCACATCTCAGGAAGGTACAACTGTTCATTTTCCTCTAAAATTCTGATAAATTTGCAGAAACTCCTGTCCTCCACACTTTCTCTCCGAGCCTACTAATTGATGGAAACAATTTGGTTTAAATTTCTAACTGGGATCTGTCAGCAAGACGGAAAGTCAAGATTTCTATCATTATGGAAACAGGTTTCTACAGATCATTTTTATTTTTAAAAAAGTCATGTTTTTAACCATTCAAGAATACACATCAAAATTTAAGGATTACTAGAATAGAATTAAACATTGTAAAAAAAAAAACCCCATATTTTTAGTAAAATGGGCATGTGAAAATATATGTTTGTGTATCTTCACATACCCATTTCATATATATGTGTATAGATGATATTATATATGATATATGATATATATTCATATATACATATATGTATACTTGAAATATATATTTCATATATGTATACCCATTTCATATATATGTGTATATATGATATATATGATACATGATATATATTCATATATACATATATGTATACATGAAATATATATTTCATATATGTATATATATATGAAATGGGTATGTGAAAATACACAAACACATATTTTCACATGCCCATTTTAAATATTTGTTTGTGTGTGTATGTATATATATATATATATAAAATCAGAAAACGGAAAATGTCTAGAGTATCTGCGTTACGAGACTTCAGGCACCTGGGGAAAATTATTTTCTGACCAGCAGTCTCCGGAAGAGGAGCCAGGCCTTGTGTGTGGCCTTGGCCTGGGTCCCGGTCTTGCACTTTCTCCCTCTAGCCTGGTGGGCCAGGGCCAGGGGCCTTTGCTTTAATCCTACAGTTTCTGCTCAATCATTAGCCCTTCCTATGACCCTCACCTGGATGTGATCGTCCCTCTTTTACGCTCTAGTAACAGTATTGTTTTGGGTGGGTCAACATCCAAAACACTAGTGTCCTCATTTAATTAAGGTCAGGTCTCCTTATACTGGGTTAGCACTAAAGTAATTGCAGTTTTTGCAATTACTTTTAATGGCAAAGGCCACAATTACTTTTGCACCAATCTAATAACTTCCTTCATGGCAAAAACTTTTTGCTACCTTTATACTAAGTGTCTTGTACCTAGCAGCTGCTTTCAAAATGTATTAAATGAATGAATGAAATAAAAATAAAATTAAATTCAATGGTATATCATTTATCTTGGCATCTGATGTAAATTAGGTATCAATAAAGGGTAGCTATGATTATGAGGATACATAATTTCAGAACTAAGTTGTGAGGCGTCTTATTTCCATATCTCAACTAGTATTTGAAATGCAGCTTTAGGTGAAAAAGTTTAGGCTTCTAGACCATGTTTTTAAAAAGTTAATCAAACAATGGAAGCCTCAATATATAGTAGAATTTCTCTTGTATGTTGAACTCCCTAGAATATGCTCATAAACATATTTCTTTTTCAAGATAATTTTATTTTTCATGTTATGAAAATGTTAATGTAATTATACTAATCTTAAAATAAACAAAATCATGCTTAGTTTTGTCGTCCAGAGATAACCATATGAATGTGTAAATTTTGTTTTCTAGGCAGGATTCTTTTTTTTCAACATAGCTGTGATTCATTCAAATGAGTGAATTTAACAAATATTTGCATTACGTTTTTTATGTGTCAGGGCTGTGCTTATAGTGTGTACACTGTGTTTACATAGAGAATATAATTTTGTATTCAATTTTTTAGCAAATATAATAATAGACATTTGCCAATGTTATTCAAAACTCTTTGTAAATATAATCATGCTTTTTAAAAACTAAGCATCCTATGGTTGATCATTTTGGTCCTTTTCAATATTATAATACTGCAACATTGTTTTAGATGATTAGGATGCTTTGTTTAGGAAAGATTCCCAGATATAGATTTACTGGGAGGAAAGCTATGAGCATTTTAAGACTTTTGATTTACCAACTTGCTTTCCAAAATGGGGTACAAATTAACTGAATGGAAAGATAGAAATACAGAAAACAAAGAAAGGTAAATAATTGTGATATAGTATTTTGCAAATGTTGAAATAAATTCTTTAGCTAGAAAAAAAAGAAATATAGGAAACATGGAGAAATAGAAAATGTTTCTATATACAGAATACAGAAAAATACAGTTTTAAAAAAGTATACCTTAATATTAAGGCTTCCGCGGCAAACCAGAGTGAAGTGATGTTCAACCCCACTTTGTCAAATGCTTGAAATTCATTTGCAGTTGCCAGGTTATCTGGAGGTTTTGACGGTGCCCAGAGAGAGAAGGAAGTGTCTGTTTGAGGTGCCTTGCTCCTAATCCAGTGTCTCCTAAAAGCACAGAACCTTGGTAATTCAAGCAAGATGTCTTTCTGGTATGCCTAGAGGCACCTAAAACCATGACACAGTTAGGACAAATATAGTAGATTGTACACACACAGGAGTTTCATGTAACAAGTGAAACCAAGGTTTCTTTCAAAGCTTAGGGTTTCTTTCATGTGAAAGATACATTCTTATTTTTAGATAGGAAGAACTCCAGGCTGAAGCAAGCAGTGTGATATAATCTTGTATTGTCTTGAAGGAAATTAGCCAGGGAATTGATACATGTTTAGCCATGTCATTCCAGGAATCCTTTAAGCTGACTATAGGGAGCTAATACTTTCTGAAAGTAATTTTACCCAAAAGAAACACAGACTTTTGGCTGGGCGCGGTGGCTCACGCCTGTAATCCCAGCACTTTGGGAGGCTGAGGCGGGCAGATCATGAGGTCAGGAGATCGAGACTATCCTGGATAACACGGTGAAACCCCGTCTCTACTAAAAATAGAAAAAATTGACAACTGAGTATAAAGCTTAGAAATTTGGCAGTGAATAAAGAGGTAGAATATTTACCAGTCCAACTCTTGGAACCCTTCCCAAAGCATACTCCTAAAGGCTGAGTGTTTAGCTAACTCTTACAAATGCAAAGATTTATCAGGCCTTCACTGGCTGATTGCAGGTGTTATGCACATGAGGTCATGATTTCAATTCCCACATAACACGGTTAACTGTACTTTATTTCATAACCAGCCTACCTTGTCCTACACTGAATTGGTGTTTGTAAGGAGACAGCATGAGGTAGGCCCTGGGAAGGAAGAAACACGGGGTTAGAAGCTCCTTTGATTGATCCCCTAGTATATGCCATTAATTTTATAAGAAAGACCAGGTAAAAGAGGAATGATCAATCATTCACTGTAAATTCATCACCAATGTGGAAGAAGAGTTTATGTGTATGAAGGACAGTTCATTTCAAATTATAGGATATACGAATAAAATAATACTATCATTAACCTCTGCATTTCTTTCTTTTTTTGAGATGGGATCTCGCTCTGTCACCCAGGCTGGACTACAGTGGTGAGATCTTGGCCCACTGCAACCTCAGCCTCCCGGGCTCAAGCGATTCTCGTGCCTCAGCCTCCCATGTAGCTGGGACTATAAGTGTGCACCACCACCCTGGCTAATTTTTGTATTTTTCGTGGAGACAGGGTTTCACCATGTTGGCTAGGCTGGTCTTTAACTCCTGACCTCAAGTGATCTCCCTGCTTCAGCCTCCCAAAGTGCTGGGATTACAGGTATGAGCCACCTCGCCCAGTCCAACCTCTGCATTTCTTATCTAGTGCATTCACTCATTTATTCAATAAATATTTATGAAGGGCCTATCACATGCTAAAGTTTATGCAGGAAAGGTCAATTCCTTTTATCTAGACAGTGTTATGTGACACAACCTTTAGCAAACAACAAAACCAATTCTCTTAGTCCATATGGGCTTCTATAGCAAAATATCATAAACTGGGTGGTATATAATCAACAGAAATATATTCTCACAGTCCAAGAGACTGGGAAGTCCAAGATTAAGGCACCGGCAGATTTGATATCTGGTGAATGTCATCTTTTTACTGTGTCCTCACCTTGCAAAAGGGCTAAACAAGCTTCCCTGGAGCTTTTGTATAAGGTCACTAGTCCCATTCACCCCTAAAGGAACCACACCTTAATACCATGACCTTGAAGATGAGGTTTCAACATGAATTTTGGAGGAGACAGTCAGATCATAGAACCAACAAAAATCTTAATAGATCATTGGCACTGGGAATGACTTGGGTCTCTTGCTTGGAGAGTAACTACACTGATATATTAGCAATCTCGAACTCTTGACTTTTTTTTTTTTGAGGCAGAATCTCACTCTCACCCAGGCTTGAGTGCTTTGGCTCACTGCAACCTCTGCTTCCCAGGTTCAAGTGATTCTCCTGTCTCAGCCTCCCGAGTAGCTGGGGACTACAGATGCGCACCACCATGCCCGGCTAATTTTTGTATTTTTCGGCGGAGACAGGGTTTTACCGTGTTGCCCAGCTGGTCTCAAACTTCTGACCTCAAGTGATTTGCCTGCCTTGGCCTCCCAGAATGCTGGCATTACAGGTGTGAGCCACCGCTCCAGGACTATATTATCAATCTCTATCCGGTAATTGCTTCCCTGGGAAGAGAGAAAGCCAACTAAAATCAGATCGAACGAAAAGGAAAGAAGATTGGATATGAAAACCTACAGAGCCCAACATTCCAGGACATCGGAGTAGCCACTGAAGACAATTTAGAAGGAATGATAGAAAGGCAACCACTTTTTCTCTTCAAATCAAACCAAGGTTTTGGCATACTAGAAATGAAAAGCAGAGTTCCTCCTTTGTAAGTGCAGCTTGACCAGATCAGAGATTTGACTTTCCTGGGGGACTTTGTTTCTAGAGATCAGTGTCTCTCTTCTGCTGTATTAGAGATATTTTTCTCCTCCTATTGAGTTCCGGTTGAAATGTGAACCTCTGACACATTAGTTCCCTGTAGCATGGTCAAGACAAGGTTACTAGATTTCCATAAGACATTCTTAAATTCAGCAGCTTTTTTCAACCTATCCCCCAGTCAACAGTAATAACATGATGGGTGATATTCACTAGGGCCACAGAGGTAAAAAGCAACTATAGGTACACAGATTAAAATAAATGGTAAAACCTATGTTACATGTTAAACTCTATCACAGGCACAAGGAAAAGTAATTTTTGAAAATAAATTAATTTGTTCTATACAGGCAAATTTCAGGATTTCAGGGACAAAGATGACATTCTAAACACACACTCTTGGCTCTTTTTCTCTCTCAGTTTCTCAAAAAAAATGACAAAATAATGTAATTTAAAAAATTCTATAGATTACTGAAGATTAGAGAAGGGACTGACTCTGTTTGGAGGCAAGTCTCTGTGGGTTTCTTATATTTCTGTATATCTCACAAGCAGAGGCAATGGCCACATTGGTTCTGGACTATCTTTTCAAGGATGTTTGTATAGCAAACAGTCTTGGAAGACAGAGATAGTGCCTCCCAACATAACAAATGGCAGGCATTATAAAAGATTCAGATACCCTAAGCTCAGGGTTCCTCTCTTGTAACTCAACCCACTGCATGTGAAGGAGACACCTGGTTGTCTTCTACTCACTCTGTGAGATCTGAGACTCAGAGAATCAGTACAAGATAAAGCAAATGCTCTAGCTACTGCTATTGCTGTAATAAAGTTCTTTGCCTCTGACCCAAGAGTCTCATGTCTTCTGTCAACATCCATGAAACTGGTAGCTTAACCTGTTAATTTGCAAGTAGAGTAAAATCTCAGACCCTTTATAACTCTTGATAATTTTGCTGACATGGATGGGATGCCAACAGAGACCTGACTTTCTGGAAAAGGAAGAATCCTGTGAGCCAATGAATGGGATTTGAGAGAAGTCCGTGGAAAACAGTAGTGAAGATATTGACCACTATTTTTTACTGATGCCTAATTCTAGCCTGTTTTTAGTTTCTTTAGTTATGTCGGTTCCAGATTTTTTAGTGGAATCATAGTTAGTTAATTTCAATATTTTTAAATAATAAAGGCATTAAGTCTATGAGTAAACCATCCCCCAAATCCAGAGAGCAGCATCTCCCCCACTGGGAATGGCCATGGAAGCTCCTGCCACTGGCTCACCAGGGAGGGCAGAAGGAAAATGGCTAGAGTTTGGTAGGTAGAGATTGCATGAGAAAGGGTTTCCTATAACCTGCTAGCTTATGAGGGACCATCAGAAACCCCAGAAAAGTTTGTGGGATTCCAGACAGAAGAGACCATTGCTTGGCTTACCGGGATTTAACTGGGGACTCTAAAAGCCTCACCGAGAAGTTCCATATGTATGTGGGCAATGACTGGACATGTGGCAAGTAGGCAGGTGGACCTGAGAGCAGTCCCTCAGGACGACATAGAAAGATGAGGGTGCCCTGTCATTCAGGATAGGGTTGAGCATGGAAGTCCCAGTGGGGTTCTGTTGAGGAGAATGCAGAGCACATAGAATGAGGAACTAGAAACTGTAATAGGACCATGGACATCGGTGGATATACCATAGCATGATGCCCAAGATCCAGATGCCTTGCCGTGAGAACCAAGAGCCAGGACAGCAAACAAACCCCAGGGAAACAGCTCCCTTCTGGGGATGAGAGAAGGAGGAGAGGGAGGAGGACAATCTTTAATATTCAATTGCCAGTGTTTAAATCCAAACTGACCCTTCTTAGAACCAAAAGCAACAGAGATACTGAGTTGAAATGGGGATTTAGGAGAGAAATTAGGTACTGTCATAGACAAGAAGATCAAGTTGCATGTATAAACACCTGAGTTGCAAGTTTTAAACCTGCTGTATCTTAAATGCATTCTTAATCCCATCTTCGGATGCCTGTTTTGTCCCCTTTCTCCCTGGCGCCTTCAATGTCGGTCCACTGGCTGCTCTGGATTAGTCATGCCCCTGTGATTCATTACCGTGCTCACCAAAAATTCCTTTCCATGACCCCTTGATCCCCTTAAACTACCACTGCATTTCTTATCACTCCCACTTGAATTTCCTGTAAACATACTTATATCTTTAATTATTTAATTCCTGTTCATTCCTAGAGTCACTATTATTTGGTGTTCGTCACCGCTATCCGACTGGAATTGAGCTTTTAAAGTTCACATGCAAAAATCAATCCATAATTCAATCAATCAATCAATCAACTTTTCAGAGTCCCTCCTTTCCCATCTCTCTGTGATATTTATCAGTGTCAATTGAGCTCTCACTCTCCTTGAAACTCTTCATTTAAAAAATTTTTTCTTATTCTACTTTCTCTTAGATTAAATTCGGCCTGATTCTAACTTTCAGTAGGCTTGGGTAATTTATTCGAGACACTGAAGCTTGCCTTTTGGGTTTTACTTATTTAACTGAGATGTTAGATTGAATTGTGCTGTTTATTTTTAAAGATAAAGAAACAAATTACCATGGCAAAGCCTAGCTGGTGGCCGAGGTACACTGCCACCATACTAAAGAGCTGGTGTCTGGAAGTCTTTTTGTGCATAGTAGGAAAGCACTAAATCACCCAGTGATTTGTGCTATCTGGCAGAGACCATCTGATTGATGTTGCATACATTTGCATAAATTAGTCTCACGTTTCTTCTTCCTGCTTAATGTTCTCAAAAGGAAGACTGCCCAGCCTTTGAGAATATTGAAGTCAGAAGGCTGAGCTGCGGTGGCCATCTGACATTGTGGAGTGCTGGCTTGCAATGAACCATGGTAATGAGTGCAGGGAGAGTACTGCACTCTTGACACAGGGAAGGCTAAACCCTCACTTGCTCCACAGAGGAGACATAATTTCTCTTACTTTTGCAGGGATACCATATATTTGGGGATGCTGACAGCTTAACCAACTAAAGACCTCTACTCTCTGATTTGGAAAGGGCATTAGATATAATGCTATTTCTGATTGCTTTTTCTTTTTGTTTTTAACCATATTTTATAGCCAAATAGAAACAGATGCATTTGCTCCCTGAAATAACTTCAGAAGATGTTTTCTTGAAACACTGCTGGTGAAGTAATGTGGTTACCCTACAGAAGTGTGGCTTACCAAATGCAAGCACACGGGTAGGGAGGACAAAACCCCCAAAGGAAAAACCCAGAAGGAACAGAAAAACAAAAGAACCAAACCCCTCGGTATACCCAAATACTTGTTTATATTCATCTCAGAGTATTTTGAAATAAAACATTATCTCCAGAACCTTTTGTGATTTGTGAAAATTTCCTTAAATTCGAAGTGTAGTGTTTACCTTTTGATAGTGAGTCCAAGTACCTGTTGAAGAGTAGGATAGTGAGAGAAGGATTTAAATTGCACAGGATGCAATAGGTCCTCAGAATTGCTAACTGTTATTTATTACCTTTTGGTTTTGCTGTAAGAAGTAGTTGGTGACAATATTACTTAAGTATCACCATCTAACAAACCACCCCAAATCTCAGCAACCTAAAATAATAATTCATTACTACTCATGAGTCTGTGGGCCAACTTGGCAGTTCTGCTGATTTGCACTGGGCTGGCACACATGTCTGTGGTCAGTGAGTAAGGTGGCTGTGTGCTGGATTGGTTAGGAAAGCTACTATGATATATTCGGCTGTTGGCTGGCTGCCAGCTGGGGCAACAAGATGATAGAACCCCTTTGTTCCTCATTATCAGACAGGCTAGCCCAGGCTTGTTTTCACTGTGGCTGGACAGGATTCCAAGAATGAGAGCAGAAGTGAAGCTGGACAGCTCAGAACTACCTCAACACCATTTCCACTTTAGTCCATTGAAAAAAGCAAACCGCAAGGCCAGCCCAGACTCAGGGAATGGGAAATCAGACTCCACTTCTTGATGGGAGGAGCCACACAGTCACATTGCAAAGGGTGGGGTGGATACAGGGAGAAGAGAAGAAATTAAGGAAAAATTTGCAATCAATATACTACAGGGATATCTCTAATAGTTTAATCATTTTTAGAAACTTTGCAGACAGACTTATCCGAGTACTGTGCCCCAAAAGATATGACTGAGCAATTAGATTCACTACAAGAATCTGATAAGTAACATGCGAAAAATAAACATCTTCAGTGTTTCAGAAGAATATGGCATAAATCTGACTTACGTGTTAAAACAGAGTCTTTACAGAAGGAAGTGAACATCACGGGTATGCCTTCTGCAAATAAGTATTGGTGAAAACCCATTTACTTTAAGTAGTTTCTCCTTTGAACAATTAAACTCTGGTCATTCTTCACATGAACACTGTCTGTTACCTGGGAAGTAGCCTAGAGGTTATCTAGTCTAGTGATTTTTCAATTCTGCTCAGTTCTGTGTGCACTAAAGTTTTCATGGAGGCGTCCCAGAGACCCCCTTCAGCTGTGGGGAAATGTTGGAGGGGAAGAGGGGGAATGATCTGGGATGAGAAATTCTTGGGCAAGTATGTCAGAGCTCTGAGTCCTGTACATGAATCCAATTCAATCAGGCTAGGGCTGCCCTTTCCTATTTTGCTTATTGGGTTTTGATAAACGATTTCACTGAAAGTTAATGTTTACACAGCTTTTGAAAAGGTTGGAACTCAACAACTAAAAAACAAACAACCCAATTAAAATATGGGCAAAGTACCTGAGTACACATTTTTCCAAAGAAGACATACAATGGCCAATAAACACATGAAAAGATGTTCAACATTATTAATCATTAGGAAAGTGCTAATCAAAAGCACAGTGAGATACCACCTCATACCCACTAGGATGGCTACTACTAAAAAAGCAAAAAGTAACAAGTATTGGTAAGGGTATGGAAAAATTGGTACCCTGTGTACTGTTAGTGGGAATGTAAAATGGTGCTAAGGATAACAGTATGGCCGTTCTTAAAAAAATTAAAACTAGAATTATCATATTATCCAGCACTTCTCCTTCAGGGTATGTAACAAAAAGAACTGGAAGTAAGGACTCAAGATATTTATATACCCTTATGTTCATAGTAGCATTATTCACAATAGTCAAGAGGTAGAAGCAAGCCAAATGTCCATGTTGGATGAATGGCCAAACAAAATGTATATCCATACAATGGAAAATTATTCAGCCTTAAAAAAGGAAATACTGACACATGTACAAGATAGATGAAGCTTAAAGACCGTATGCTAAGTGAAATAAGCCAGACATAAAAGGACAAATACTCATGTGAGGTCCCTAAAACAGTCAAATTCATAGACACAGAAAGTAGAATGGTGGTTACCAGGAGATAGAGAAGAAGGGGGAATGGGGAGTAAGTGCTTAGTGAGTACAATTTCAGTTTTGGAAGATGAAAAAAGTTCTGCAGGTCATTATCCTTAGTGGAATGACTGGAAAATAAAAAGTAAAACTCATATGTTCTCACTTATAAGTGAAAGATAAACAATGGACACTTGTGAACATAGAGAATGAAGACTCCAAAAGGTGGGAGGGTGAGAGGGTATGAGGGATGAAATGATACCTATTGGGTACCATGGACATTATTTGGGTGACGGATGCACTGAAAGCCCAGACTTTACCACTACAGAATATAACCATGTAACACAACTGCACTTGTACCCCTAAATCCTTAAAGAAAAGTTTTAAAAAAGGAAAAAAACAAAAAAATTCTAGAGATGGATGATAATGATGATGTCAGTACAGCAATATGAATATGCTTAGTGCCAAATAATGTCCAAGGACTTTTAAGTGGGCTGTACTTGAGTTAAACACCTAAAAATGGTTAAAATGCTAAACCTTCTATATTTATATTTTACTTACAATGGAATGAAACAGGTTGGAAAATCTCTGATCAAATCCAAATCCCTCATTTTACATTTGAGAAATGCAGACTTTGCCATTAAAAAAAAACTCATCAGAGTGGTACATTTGTTACCATGAACCTACATCAAAACCTCATCACTCAAGTTCATGGTTAATTTTAAGGTGTACTGTAGGTGGTGAACATTCTGTGGGTTTGGACAAATATGTAATGACATGTAGCCGCAATTATAGTATCATTCAGAGTATTTCCTCTGTGTTCTGCTTATTCATACCTCTATCTCCCCTAACCCTGGCAGTCACTGATAGTTTCAGTGTCTCCATAGTTTTTCCTTTTCCACAATGTCCTATTGTGGGAGTAATACAGCATGTAGCCATTTCCTATTGGCTTCCCTCATTTAGTAACATGCATTTCAGTTTCTTCTGTGTCTTTTCATGACTTGATAGGTCGTTTTTATTTAGTGCTAAATTGTCTGGACATATCACAGTTTATCCTACTGAAGGATATCTTGGTTGCTTCCAAGTTTTGCAATTATGAATAAAGCAGCTACAAACATCCCCGTGCAGTTTTTTGTGGACATAGTTTTCAACTTCTTTGAGTAAATACCAAGGAGTGTGTTTGATGGATTATATGGTAAGAGTATGTTTAGTTTTGTAAGAAACTGCTAAACAGCCTTCCAAAGTGGCTGTAACCATTTTGCTTTTCCACCATCAAAGAATGAGAGTTCCTGTTGCTCTGTATCCTTGCCAGTATTTTGTGTTGTCAGCGTTCTGGATTTTGGTCATTCTAATAGGTGTAAAGTATATCTCACTGTTGTTTTAATTTGCATTTCCCCAATGAAATATGATATCCTTTCACGTTTATTTCCCATCTGTATATCTTTTTTGGTGAAGTATTGTTAAGGTCTTTGACTTATTTTTAAATTGGGTTGTTTGTTTGTTTTTTTATTGTTGAGTTTTAGGAGTTCTTTGTATATTTTGCATAACGGTCCTTTATCAGTATGTCTTGGCAAATATTTTCTCCCAGTGTGTGTCTTATCTTTTCATTTTCACTTGATCTTAGCCAAAAGGCTGAGAAGCAATGTCTTTTCATTTTCTTGGCAGTGTTTTTCCCAGAGTAGAAATTTTCAATTTTAATGAAGTTCAACATAGCAATTATTTCTTTTATGAATCATGCCTTTTGTGTTGTATCTAAAATCATCAGCGTAAGGTCATATAGATTTTCTTCTATGTTATCTTTTAGGAATTTTATAGTTCTGTGTTTTACATTTACATCTGTGATCCATTTGGAGTGTTGTTGTTGAAGGCATAAGGTCTGTGTCTAGTGTGTCTAGATTCACTTTATTTTCTTTTTTATGCATGTGGCTGTATAGTTGTTTGAACACCTTTTGTTGCTTGTCAAAAATCAGTTGACTCTATTTATGTATGTCTGTTTCTGAGCTCTTTATCCTGTTCCATTGATATATTTGTCTATACTTTTACCAATATTTGGGTAGTGTCACTCCTCCAACTTTATTTTCTTCCTCAAATATTGTGCTGGTTATTCTGAGTCCTTTCTCTTTCCACATAAACATTAAAATTAGTTTGTGGATATATGCAAAATAATTTGCTGGGATTTTTATTGAGATTGTATTAAATCTATATATCAAGTTGGGAAGAACTGACATTTTGACAATATTGATTCTTCCTATCTCTGGGCATGGAATATCCATTCATTTATTTAGTTTTTCTTTCATTTGTTTTCAAAGAGTATAGCTTCCTTCATAAAGATCTTGTACATATTTTGTTAGATTTATACCAAAGTATTTCATTTTGGGGGGTGCTAACATAAATGGTGTTGTTTTAATTTAAATTCCACTTTATTATTGGTATATAGAAAAGAAATGGACTTTTGTATATTAACCTTGCCTCCTGAAAACTTGCTGTGATTTCTTATTAATTAGTTCCAGGAAGTTTTTTTGTTGTTGCTGTTGTCGATTCTTTTGAATTTTCTACATAGACAATCATATCATCTGTGAACACAGACAGTTTATTTCGTCCTTCCTAATCAGTATATCTTTTCTTTCTTTTTCTTTTCTTGTTACATTAACTAGGACTTCCAGTACAAGTTTGAAAATGAGTGGCGAGGGGGATATCCTTGCCTTGTTCCTGATCTTAGTGGGAAAGCTTCTGGTTTCTCACCATTAAGTATAATGTTAGCTGCAGGCTTTTTGTAGGTGCTTTTTATCAAGTTGAGAATGTTTCCCTCTATCCTTAATTACTTGAGAGTTTTTGTCGTGAATGAGTATTGTGTTTTGTCAAATGCTTTTTCTGTATCTATTAGTAAGATCATATGATCGTTCTAATTTAGCCTGTTGAAGTGATGGATTACATTAATTGATTTTGGAATATTGAAATAGACTTATATACCTAGGATAAATTTCAATGGGTAATGGTGTATAATTCTTTTTATATATAGTTGGATATGATCTGCTAGAATTTTGTTGAGGATTTTGCTGTCTATGTTTATGAGAGATATTGGTTTGTAGTTTTCTTATAATGTCTTTGTTGGCTTTTGTATTAGAGTGACGTTAGCTTGGTAGAATGAATTAGGAAGTATTCCCTCTGCTTCCACCTTCTGAAAGAGATTACAAATAATTGGCATAATTTTTTCCTTATACTTGTGGTAGAATTCATCAGTGAATCCATTTGGGCCTGGACTTTCCTGTTTTGGAAGGTTATTAATTATTGCTTCAATTTTAAAAAATAGATATAGGTCTAATAAGAGTGTCTATTGCCTCTGGTGTGTGTTTTGGCAGATTATGTCTTTCAAGGAATAAGCCCATTTCATCTACATTGTCAAATTTGTGGGCACAGAGTTGTTTATTATTGTTTACATGTCCATGGGATCTGTAGTGATGTCCCTCTTTCATTTCTGATATTAATAATTTCTTTCTTCTTACTCTTTTCTAAGCCTGACTAGAGGCTCATCGTTTTATTGATTTGTTCAAAAAAACAGATTTGGGATTCTTATCTTCTCTATTTCCTGTTTTCAGTTTCATTGGTTCCTGCTCTAATTTTAATTTGTTTTCTTCTGTTCCCTCTGGAATTTTGTTTGTTTGTTCGTTTTTGAGACAGAGTCTAGTTCTGTTGCCCAGATTGCAGTGCAGTGGCATTATCTCAGCTCACTGCAACCTCTGCCTCCTGGGTTCAAGTGATTCTCATGCCTCAGCCTCCCAAGTAGCTTGGGATTACAGATGCATGCCACCACGCCCAGCTAATTTTTGTATTATTAGTAGAGATGGGGTTTCGCCATATTGGCTAGACTGGTCTCAAACTCCTGACCTCTAGTGATCCGCCTCCTCAGCCTCCCAAAGTGTTGGGATTACAGGCATGAGCCACTGCGCCAGACTGTTTCCTCTGGATTTAATTTTCTCTTCTTTTTCATGTTTCCTAAGATGGAAGCTTAGATGATTTTTAGATCTTTCTTATTTTAAATGCCATAAGTTTCTCTCTAAGCATTGCTTTTCCTGCATATCACAAATTTGGCTAAGTTGTGTTTTCATTTTCATTTAGTTCAAAATGTTTTAACATTTCTTTTGAGTTTTCCTCTTTAAACCATTTTAATTAGAAATGTGTTATTTAAACTCCAAGTATTTTGTGATTTTTTCCAGTTATTTTTTGTTATTGATTGCTACTTTAATTCCTTTGTGCTCTCAGAGCAGGCCCTGTATGATTTTTATTCTTTTTAATTTGTTCAGGTGTGTTTTATGGCCCCGAATGTGGTTTACCTTGGTGAATGTTCCAGGTGAGCTTCAGAAGACCATGTATCCTGCTCTTGTTGAGTGAAATAGTCTATGGATATCAGTTATACTCAGCTGATTGATTATATTGTTGAGTTCACATGTGTCCTTACTGACTTTCTCCCTGCTGGATCTTCATTTCTGGTAAAGGAGTGTCTAAGTCTCCAACTATGATAGTGGATTCATCTGTATCTCCTTGAAGTTCTATCAATTTTTGCCCAATATATTTTAACACTTTGTTGTTAGGCACATATATGTTAAGAACGTTTATATCTTCTTGGAGAATTGCCTCCTTTATCATTATGTAATGCCTCTTTTTATCCATCGTAACTTTCTTTGCTTTGAAGTCTGCTTGTCTGAAAGTAAAATAGCTACTTCTGGCTTCTTTGGGTGAATATTAGCATAGTCTTTCTTCTGCATGATTTACTTTTTTTTTTTTTGACTGAGTCTCACTGTGTTACCAAGGCTGGAGTGCAATAGCGTGATCTGGGCTCCCTGGAACCTCTACCTCCCAGGTTCAAGTGATTCTCCTGCCTCAGCCTTCTGACTAGCTGGGACTACAGGCACGTGCTACCGTGCCTGGCTAATTTTTGTATTTTGGTAGAGATAGGATTTCGCCATGTTGGCCAGGCTGGTCCTGAACTCCTGACCTCAAGTGATGTGCCCACCTCAGCCTCCTAAAGTGCTGGGATTACAGGTGTGAGCCACCGTGCTTGTCCATCATTTACTTTTGATCTATGTGTATGTTTATATTTGAAGTGGGTCTCTTGTAGGCAATAGATAGTTGGGTATTAATCCATTTTTGAATCCATTCCAATAATCTCTGTCTTCTAATTGGTGCATTTAGACTACTGACATTTAAAAAGGATTATTGATATAGTTGGATGGATATCTACCACAGACACTTCACTTTTTTCCCCTGGCAACATAACTTGGAGGACTTTCCATATCAATCAGTACATGTAGATCATCCTATGATTATTTTAACAACTGCCTGCTATCCCACTATATGGATGTACCACAATTTATTTAACCAGTTCTATGATGACAGGCATTGAGGTCATCAAATCTTTTGCCCTTGTATCTATCTTTTTAGTTGTACCTCCCCTTCTGGACTGTTAGTGCTTCTGAGGGCATAGACTACAACTTACTCATTGTTGTTCTTTCAGAACTCTGCACAGTGCCCCAGCCTTAATATTACTACTTATTAAGGAAACGAATAAATGAATTTAGCAAGCTGGGCCCAGTCACTTTAGATTCTGGTCCTGATTCCCTATGCGTGGGCTTTCTGAGCATGGGTAGGTCACATCACCTTTCAGGCTTCAGTGTCAACACTGAAGTAAGTAGATAAAATGACACAGTGCTTCTAGCTCTGAACTCCTATGATTCCTGGTGTTAGACTGACCTAGGAGCTGATCCCCTTTTCAGTCTCAGGACTTGAGGTGAGGAAAAGTTCCTCTCCTGCTGTTGAATAAAGCCCCATCTTACCTGGGCCACCACTCAGAGCTTGGTCTGTTCAAAACCTGGTCATTTTCATTTGGGAGTAGACATGAAGGGTTGGCTGGTCCTTTAATCCTCAGGGCCATGTGAGGTGGCTCTGCACTGGGATGAAGATCTTTCTGTAAGAGGTATTTGCCTGGGCTACAGTGTCTGATACAGAGTTTCACACAGCCTAAGTGCTATTTGCATAAAATGTCCCCATAATGCAGGGCATTGTGCCTTTTCTGCAAAGAAAACCCATTAACAAAGGGCCTCACAATGATGGGAAAATGGATGTTAACATTTCTGCCTGACTGATAATCTCTGATGTTACCCTTGGGAAGCCCCAGCTTTCAGAATGATTTATTTGTCAGGTTTTGGCGTTTTTTTAGTCCCATAATCGGTTATCTGGCAAATGCAGCAGTGGGCAGTAGCAGGAGGTTCAGTGCTGGAAACAAAATTAAGAGAGTTTTATGTTTTCTGGGGATTTAGTTGTTTCTGTTTTCTGGGGTGAAGTTTTCATTTCAAACAAAATAGAAAGGGACAAAGAATCAGTAGGCTTTTTTGGGTTTGTTTTGTTGTTCTTTGCATGTCCTTTTTTCTTACTGCCAAACTCTCAAGTTGAATATTTGGCCCTCAGGGGTGAAGCTGGGGATGAGGGGTTTTTTTTTTTTTTTTTTTTTTTGACATTTCCTGTGATATCTTTGGTTTTATATTTCTTTGTTGTACAGAAACCTTATAGTGATATTATTGGAGAATTCGTCAGGTGATATCTTGGCAAGAGGCCAGAGCACAGTCTGTTTTGCTGCACATAACAGGCATTGGGTGGGAGAGATGCCCAATGGCCAGAACCTTAGAACTCCTTTCTGAGGGAGAATACAGGAGATTATTTGGATTAGTTACCTGCTCGCATTTTCCTCTTGCATTTGAAAGCATATTACCTCAGTTAAGGTCCCTGTGTGCTTCTATATAATGTCCATACATAGGATAGCTTTTTTTCCCCAGTGGCTTCTCAAAATCCCCCAGTTTTATGAAATAAATATTACACTTAATGCCTGAACTTTTGAGTCCAGGGTTCATATCAATAACATTAGCAACAGTGCTAATTATGGCCTCTAGTGGCTTCTCAGAGTTGGACAGAGTCTTTGTTGTATGGACGAAGGTCCACTTACCACTCAACAGATACATTATTTATGGTTGGCATTGAAATAGGTGTTTTGGGGTAGAGCATATGGTTTCTTCTCTCACTAGATTTACAATGTAAGAGAAAGAAGAAAAATTAACCATATAAGATAGATCTGAAGTCTGTTTTTGATTATGTCAACAAAAAGTCAAACTTTGTAAAATATTTGAAGACATTTACTCTGAGCCAAATATGAGTGACCAATGGCCCGTGACACAGCCCTGAGCAGGTCCTGAGAACATGTGCCACAGCTTGCTTTTACAAGTTTTAGGGAGACGAGGCATGAATCAATACATGTAAGAGGTACGTTGGTTTGGTCCAGAAAGATGGGACATCTAGAAGTGGAGGCTTCCAGGTCATAGACAGGTTGAAAGATTTTCTGCTGGGCAATTGGTTGAAAAAGTTATTATTTATAGAAAGGAATGTCTGGGTTATGAGAAGGGGTTGTGGAGACCAAGGTTTTATCATGCAGATGAAGCCTCCAGGTAGCAGTCTGCAGAGAGAATAGATTGTAAATGTTTCTTTTGTTTTCTTTCTTTCTTTCTTTCTTTTTGAGACGGAATTTTGCTCTTGTTGCCCAAGCTGGAGTGCAATGGCACGAGCTCAGCTCACTGCAACATCCGTCTCCTGGATTCAAGAGATTCTCCTGCCTCAGCCTCCCAAGTAGCTGGGATTACAGGCATGCACCACCATGCCCGACTAATTTTTTGTATTTTTAGTAGAAACTGGGTTTCACCACGTTAGCTATGGCTGTTCTCGAACTCCTGAACTCAGGTGATCCACCCGCCTTGGACCCCCAAAGTGCTGGGATTACAGGCATTAGCCACCATGCCCAGTCTTGTAAATGTTTCTTATCAGACTTAAAGAGTCTGTTCTAAAGCAATTCCAAAAGTAAGGAGGCTGCAATGAAGCATATCTAGTTCCCCCTTCCCATCATGTCCTAAACTAGATTTTTCAGGTTAATTTTTGGAATGCACTTGGCTGAGACGAGGGGTCCACTCAGATGATTGGCGGGGGCAGCAGGGAAGGGGGGGCACATCTTAAAATTTTATTTTTGGTTTACAATTAAGTACCAGGGGAGTGAAAGAAATAGTAATATATGCTGACTGTGATGTCCAAGATAATCTGTGTCAAGAGGAATCAAAACTCCATGGTCCAGATAGAGGACCCTTATATCTTTAACCTCAAAAATGTGATGTAACCTGGTGGGCAGCTCAGAGTTCAGACTCCAGTAACTCCACTGACAACACTCCCTGACCTTGAACTTGTCTCACACATGAAAGGTTTTTGCTCCATTAGGAAAGAAAGATGACTAAAATGACCTCCATCAGGGGGATAAGATGTCTCATTCATTAATTAAAGAAAAATTCTTCAGGGAGCCTTACACACTCCTTGGGATAAGAATTGCTAGAGCCTCCCTTCCGACTGATCATGAAACATGTTTTAGGACAAGGTTTTGGCACAGAAAATACAATCAGAATCTCTCCTACAAGAAGTGTAATTACAGGGGGCTTTGAATTGACAGTGGCTGACAAGATTTCAACCAGCGCGTTAGAAAATCAATGACAAACACGCTTTTCGACATCAGGGAGCTGTGATGGGCTCCGCTTGATTGACAGCCAGGGAGATATGTGTAACTATTTGCAGTTTACCTAATATTGGTTTATAGGCTTCTTTACTGGCCATCAACAGTGTTTCTCACTTTGCTCTGCCTTCCGTTTGCCAATTCCCTGTAGATGAGATGAAACTGAATCTTATTATCACTCCACCTTGAAGGGGAATTCAAACCCATCACTTTGAGGTCTAAAAAAAAGTCTCTAATCAACAGTAGGTAAATGAAAAAGTGAAGTAAAATATGATTCATAAAAACTGTTCCCACGCAATAGTTAAGCCGCTCTGCTGATTTAGACAGGGGCATGTTTTAAAAGTTTCTATCTCTATACTTTAAACAAATATTAAGAGGGATCAGCCATCATTTGTGTGTGTGTGCGTCTGCATATTTGTCACAAAGATATCTGCAGTTTTTCTAAATAAAAATGAAAATTTAAAATTGGCCTCATGGTTTTTTAAAAAGCATTTTCTAGTCACCCAGTTGGTTCTTAGAAGTAAAACTCAGAATATTCGTTCATTTTCTTGGCTGAACCCTACAAAACGTCTACTTTGCAGGACAAAAGCAACTGAATATTGGCAATTTCATAAGGATCAACCAAATAAACCAGCTAAAAGCCTTATGATATCTTGTGCATTGTGATTTCAGGAGCTCTGCAAAGGACCTATAACCTTAATACTAGATAAAACCACCTGTTCTGTAATCTAAAAAATGATTATATAATAATACATAGTAAATAGTATGTAAATAAAACATTGAGAACAACACATCTCTCAACCTGAACTAAAGTATCCATGACCAACATCAGAGTCATTCCTTGGAGCTAAATGAGGCAGGCACACAGCAGAGCCCAGATGGCATAAAGGGGTGGTGAGTGGAGGCACAGGGACATGGAAAGGGTGGCCTGTCCTCTGCAGAGCCTCTGGAACAACTCTGTCAATGCTATGATGCTTACCTTTCTGAAAGGTCATCCTCCCACGTTATAGTCAGTGTCTTGGCTGAGGAGTGGTGTTCCCAGATCTACATAGGTAGATTGCATAGTCACTGACTCTGCTGGGAAGAGACCGGGTTGTTTCTCATTCAAAGTCCTGACCGCTAAGATGTGACTGATCCTATATGGCCTTTTGGGCCAAAATGGAGAGACTAAAGACACAATTGAACAATGGCCAGACCACATATAAAAACAGAACACTGATCTAAAACCTGCTCCAGAAACCAACCCCCTTATCTACACTAACCAGCCCAGCAACAAGTCGAAACTGTAGGAGGCCAGATTGCTATCTCTAGTAACAGTCCTGAAAGCCAAAAAATCACTTCTGTATCAGTTGGCTCCAAATGGCCAGGACTTGATTAATAAATCACAGCTTATCCTCATTTTTGTCCCTGCTTCCAATTTAGGACCCACCAGAGAAAGCCAAATATGCTTCCCTAACCAATCCCATAGGATGCCCTGCTCTGAGTCTGCCCGCCTGCAGCCTCCCCATGCCAGCAGTCTCCAATCAGGACACACCTGATGCCTTCACTTCTTGCCACTGTGAAGCTCTTCCACTCCATTGCCTGTCTTTGAGTCTCTGCCAAAATGCAGTTGATGCTGGCTAACTCTCTTGTTATAGTAAGCTCTAAATAAACGGTCGTTCTGTTTTCCTATGGTTGGTCTTCGTTTATTTCCAAAAGACACTTCACCTCCCACCTGTGGTTCTGAACATCCGCACATTTTAAAGTTACTGCTTCATCAGCTTCTTTGTCCTGGCGCCAGGCCTCTGTCAGTCCTCAGGCACTGGAGGTTTCCATCCCCTCTGGGCCACTGTATACCAGGCGAGGGAGGCAGGAGCACTGCCCTAAAGCTGTTTATCTACGTTCCTTCCACTGCCTCCCTCTGACTATGGCTCTGGTGCCATTGTGGAGGTGCCCGCGGGTAAGGCGGGGGAAGCAGAAAAAGTCCCTTTTATTCTTGGTTGTTTCTAAATAATCCCCTTTCCGACAAGGTCAGGTGTAAAAAGTGGAGTGGGGATGAACGTTCCGGCTTCTGCTCTCCTTGCTTTCCCTTTGTGTCTCCTCCTGTCTCCTCCCCTAGAATCCTCGGGCAGACTTTGGGCTTCGTTCCCTTCCTCTGTGTCTTTTTGTCCACCTCCCATAAGGCAACACCCGTCTCTATGAAACATCCTCTACACTATGAAAGAAACAGTTCGGGCGCGGTGGTTCATGCCTGTAATCCCAGCACTTTGGGAGGCCGAGGTGAGTGGATCACCTGAGGTCAGGAGTTCGAGACTAACCTGGACAATATGGCAAAACCCCGTCTGTATTAAAAATACAAAAATTAGGCGAGTGTGGTGGCCGGCACCTGTAATACCAGCTACTTGTAGAATTGAGGCAGGAGACTCACTTGAACACGGGAGGTGGAGGTCTCAGTGCGTGGAGATCCCGCCATTGCACTCCAGCCTGGGCAACAAGAGAGAAACTCCTTAAGGCCCAGCACTTTGGGAGCCGAGGCGGGTGGATCACGAGGTCAGGAGATCGAGGCCATCCTGGCTAACACGGTGAAACCCTGTCTCTACTAAAAATACAAAAACAAAATTAGCCAGGTATGGTGGTGGGCACCTGTAGTCCCAGCTACTCAGGAGGCTGAGGCAGGAGAATGGGGTGAACCTGGGAGATGGAGCTTGCAGTGAGCCGAGATCGCGCCACTGCACTCCAGTCTGGGCGACAGAGGGAGACTCCATCTCAAAAAGAAAAAGAAAAAGAAAAAAGAAAAAAGAAAGTGTCTCTAGGTCTTGTAGAACCAAGTCTGCATCCACATCGGTAGATGACTAGCTGCTGCCCCAAGCCCCCTCATTGTCCCACCAGCGCAACCCCTCCCCAAGTACACCTGGAGTAACAGGTGGCAGCTGAACTCTGCTCCAATGGTAAGGCCTGGACTGTTCTCATTGGCTAGTACCTGGTCTATTCTCATTGGCTGGTTCCCAGTACTTCGGTTCCTGGACTGTTATGGTTCACTGGAGCCTGGTCTATTCTCATTGGCTGGTGATTGGCCTGTTCTGATTGGCTGGTGCATGTGCAGCACTGGTTGTTGAATAATTCAAATTTCGTATCTACCCTAACTCCTTATCTCAGGCTGCCTGGGAGGAAGGCAAGACATACAGAAGTGCAAATGAAAACACATGTGAATATTTTAAAAACTATTACTCCTTTATAAGCAGAGCTCCTAAACTCCTAAGCCAACCCCCAGTGAAGCTAGGTAAGCAAGGCGCGAGTCTTACTTTCTGCATGCCAGCATGTTGCATTGTGCTTACGGCCCACGCCCTTGAAATCAGACAAGGCTGTGCTCATTCCAGGCTCTGCCACTGACCAACAGGATAACCTTGGGTCGGCTATTGACTTGTCTGAGCTCCAGAGTCCTGATCTGTAAAGCAGACCAATGATGCTTACAGTGATGTGAGGATTTAATGAGGTGATGTGTAAAATACACAGCCCAGTGCTTGGTTGATAGACAGTACCTATTGGTATTTTTTTAAAAGGATTTTTTCCAATATTTTGAATTTTAACAGAATCTTATGAAGCTTTGGTGTAGAGTACATGAACATAATATCAACTTTGTGGATTTGAGTTTTAACAGCATGAGTTGGGGTGTTCTTATCAAGGTTCATGGTTGTAAATATGAGAGTTGGAGTCTGTCTTGCATAAGCAGAAGGCGGATTTAATACATTCATTCTCAATAGGGGTTACATTGCCCAGAGAAGGAGTGAAAATTAGTCTCTGAGGACCAAAGAAAAGCTTAGATATTGCAATAGTCCGTTACCCTCCACAGGGTCATCGTCTTTAAACAGATGTACTGAATATCTGTGATATTAAAATGTCATTGGAGGGGATGGGGAAATGGGAATGATCAGAGGAAAAAAAAAGTCTTAAAAAGTGTTTTAGTGGTTATGGGGGTGTGTGAAAAGGTTAAGAAACGTGGGAGGAAGTGGGTAGCTCTTAGAGTCTATGTGTCTGTACACTGGCCAGAATACCAGGCTCAGATCAGGGGACATCTGTCAGCCAGACAGAGGTAGGCTGGTTAGGACATGCCATGATTGCCACCAGGTCACAGTTATTTGGGCTCAGTGTCTGCCATCTTCTCATTTTCAGGCAGGTGTATTTCTTATCTTCTAATCTTTGACCTGCCTTCCGGGAGGCGAGTGGAGATGCCACTCATTCCTTTCAGGCTTTCCCTTTCTCCCTGAGGGGGATGGGTCCTTGGTTGCTAAGCCTGTTCTAACCTCTGACCAGTCTATGGAATTTTCTTGACTCATCCTTTCTTACTCAACTTTCTTATTCTCAGTGCCTCCTTCATCAACTGTGCTCAGGTTCCCTAAGAGGGGAGCCCATGGTTTTCTAAACTCAGACTGGAAAGGGTTGGGTAGCTGGGGCCAGGGAAGAGCAGGGGGCAACTGAACAGCTCTAGAGAGGCTTTTGTGGTTGTCGTCATCGGGATTGCCTGGCATGCTTCTTGGAGACAGTACTTTGTCTTGTCTGGCATAATTAGTGCATTCGTGTATTTTGTACAATGCTTTAGTGTTTAGCATTTCACATACGTTATCTTATTTGACAGCAACAACACTGTGATGGAACCCTTGTTATGAAATTCATCTTCTAACTGAAGACATATGTGTACAGGAAGTACAAACTATGAAGATATAAAGGTTCAAAAGGAGAGTTGGAAAGAATCAAGATGTATTGTACATTCTGAGACTAATCAAGGTCTTCTCTGATTTCAGTCCCAGTGATAATTAGGTAGCTCTGTCTTTCCTAAGTTGAATGCTCTGTGGCTACAGGGCTACTTGAGACATTCCCTCTCAGCCCTCATAGCTGGCTAGCTGGTTTCAACACAGTATTATTTATGTTCATAAAGTCCTGAAACAGTAGTGCCTCTGTCCCCCAGCCACATTAATCACTCCTCTCTCTGTGTGCGACCACTGAACCGCACACGTGCCTCACATTCCTGGCTTGTTTAGTATATGCCCAGTACTGGGCTAAGTGGTTTTACATGGAAGATTTCATTTAGCCTGTGCAGCAACCCTCAGACATAGGTACTACTATTATGTGGATTCTATAGATGCAGAAACTGAGGCTGTAAATAAACTGTGATCATACAGCTAAGAAAATGGCACAGCTGGGATTCGAATATCCATCTGCCTGATTCCTGAGCCTGAGTTCTTCCTCTCTGCTCTACCTGTTGCCTCTTTGTTTATAAATTGGCTTCTCCCATTGGTGTCTAAACTCTTGAGGACAAGGGCCATGACTTTTATATTTTGCCCCTAGAAATAGTGCCTGGAACATAATAGATCCTCAAACAATACTTGTTGGATTAATGAATGGATGAGTGAATGGATATCTCTGGAGCCTTTCTGAAAACACAGTGTTCAGGTATCAAGTGAATATCCTTGCTCAGGATGCTTAATTGGCTGAACAATACATTGGCTCAGAACTTTGAACTCTCCTCTAATTTCCTGAGGGATACGGCTGTTCTCTTCAGTCTGGGTGTGGCTGCGTTTCCCTACTGATGTCTTGTTTTGTTCTTCCTGTTGAGTGAGAACAAACACTCTAGCCAAGTAAATCATGAGGTTATTATAAAAAAATGGGGGGGGGGCTCATAAGAATAAAAAGTTTTAAATAAATTACAGTCACTTAAAAACATGTATCATACATGGAGTGACTTGTAGAGAAAAGTTTTCTTTTCTGTTTTGGCTTTTTTTTTGGCAAATAGTCACCTACTAATCAGGGAATTATTAGATATTTGAAAAGGTGGAGAGAAAGCTAGAAACTGTGATGAATATAATGTTTTATATATATTTTAAGGTCTTCCTTTTCTCAATTTTGCTTCAGAAATAACATGGTTTTGGGTGTTTTACTTTGCTTGAAAGCTCATTTTCAACTTCATAGGGAAAAGGTTTCTCTCTTCTTAGAGGTTCATCTGTTTGAACTTCTGTCTCTGAGTGCTATCAGCTCCCTGGGTACCTGTGATTATTTAATTACCTGATTATTAGCTGAATATTTGTCTTAAAGTGTTTGCATATTATTGAAGAAAAATAATCAATTTCTTCAGAAATGATTCACAGAATATGTTCTTAAGATTCAAAAGTGGAAGGTAAAATTATGAATGAATTTATGATGTAATTCCAAGTCAGAGAAATCAAGGAAAAATGTAGTCTCTAGCTCCTGTATTGACCTTTCTCCAGTAGAGTCTCTTTGAAGTGACCTTCTCTCTCCGTCTTCAGAGCAGATGACCTGTCTTTGCAAGCAGGCTTCTGAGGCAATTATTTTTGGTTGACTTTCAGGTTAACATTAAAGGCAAAAGAGGGACCCAGGCTTAAAAAGAAATGTTTGCAGCATGGACCAGAGCCAGACTTATGGGGTTCTCTGCCTTCTACACTCCTCTAGTGAGTGGTTCTTAACTTTGGCTGCACATTAGAATCACCTAGATATCTGGAATTCTGATTTACTTTTACTGGTGTATGACCCAGGAATCAAAGTTTGATAAAGCATCCCAGATGATTATAATGTAGAACCAAGATTGAGGGTCATTATAAAGGAATTTCATGTAACACAGAACAATTGCTGGAAGTCCTAGCTAGAGCAATCTGACAAGAAAAGAAATAAAGGGCATCCAAATTGGAAAGGAAGAAGTCAAATTATCCTTGTTTGCAGATGATATGATCTTATATTTGAAAAAGTCTAAAGACTCCACTAAAAAATTATTAGAGCTAATAGATAAATTCAGTAAAGTTGCAGGATACAAAATCAACATAAAAATCACTAGCATGTCTATATACCAACAGCAAACAATCTGAAAAAGAAATCAATAAGGTAATGCCTTTTACAATAGTTACAAATGAAACAAAATACCCAGGAATTAACTAAGCCAAAGAAGTGAGAAATCTCTGCAATGAAAACTATAAAATGTTGACAAAAGAAATCAGAGGACACAAAAAAAGGAAAGATACTCCATGTTCATGGATTGGAAGAATTAATGTGGTTAAATTCTCGATACTAACTAAGGCAGTGTACAGATTCAAAGCCCTATAAAAATACCAATGACATTCTTCAAAGAAATAGGAAAAACAATCCTAAAACTTATATGGAATCAGAAAGGACCCAGAATAGCCAAAGCCATCCTGAAAAAAAAAACAAAACAAAACAAAACAAAGCAAAAAAACCCAAAAACTGGAGGAATCACATTACCTGACTTCAAATTATACTACTAAGCTATTGTAACTAAAATAGCATGGTATTGACATAAAAACAGACACACAGACCAATGGAACAGAATAGAGAACCAGAAACAAATACATACGTCTACAGTGAACTCATTTTTAACAAAGGTGCCAAGAACATACATTGGGAAGAAAATAGTGTCTTTAATAAATGGTGTTGGGAAAACTTGACATTTATATGCAAAAGAATAAAACTGGACCCCTATCTCTTTCCATATACAAAAATCAAGTCAAATTGGATTAAAGGATTAAATAAAAGACCTCAAAGTATAAAACTACTTAAAGGAAATACTGGGGAAGCTCTCCAGGGCATGGTCTTGACAAAATGTCTTGTGTAGTACCTCATAAGCACAGGCAACCAAAGAAAAACATAGACAAATGAGATTATATCAAGTTAAAAAGCTTCTTCACAGCAAAGGAAACAATCAACAAAGTGAAGAGACCACCTAAAGAATGGGAGAAAATATTTACAAATCACTCATCTGACAAGGGATTAATAATAAAAATATATTAGAAGTTCAAACAACTCTATAGGAAAAAAAACCTAATAATCTGGTTAAAAATGGGCAAAAGATCTGAATAGACATTCTCAAAATAAGATTTACAAATGGCAAACAGGTATATGAAAAGGTGCTCAACATCACTGATCATCAGAGAAATGCAAATTAAAAACCACAATGAGATATCATCTCACCGCAATAAAATAGCTTTTATCCAAAAGACGGGCAATAACAAATGCTGGTGAGGATGTGGAGAAAAGGGAACCCTCCTACACTGTTGGTGGGAATGTAAATTAGCACAATCACTGTGGAAAACAGTATGGAGGTTCCTCAAAAACCAAAAATAGAGCTCCCATATGATCCAGCAATCCTACTTCTAGGTATTTACTCAAAATAAAGGAAATCGGTACATAGAATATATCTGTACTCTCATGTTCATTGCAGCAACTTGAGTGCTCATCAACAGATGAATGGATAAAGAAAATATGGTACATATACAGAATGGAGTACTATTCAACCATGAAAAAGAATGAGATTCTGTCATTTGCAACAATACGGATGAAACTGGAAGTCATTATATTAAGTTAAATAAGCCAGGCACAGAAAGACAAACTTCACATGTTCTCATTTATTTATGGGAGCTAAAAATTAAAGCAAACTCATGGAGAGAGACAGTAGGAGGATGGTTATCAGAGGTAGTGGAGGGAGGGAGATAGGGATGGCTAATGGGTACAAAAATATATTTAGATAGAATGAATAAGATCTAGTTTGATAGCACAACAGGGTGGCTACAGTCAGGAACAATTTATTGTACATTTAAAAATAACTAAGAGTATAATTGCATTGCTTGTAACACAAAGTAAAGATAAATGCGTGAGGTGATGGATGACCCATTTGCCCTGATGTGCTTATTTCACATTGCATGCCTGTATCAAAATATTTCATGTACCCCATAAATATATCCACCTACTATGTACTCCCAAAATTAAAAATTAAATAGATTATAAAAACAAACAAAAAAGAACAATTGCTAATGGAGAAACAAAGGGGTGAGAGTTCTCACTGACTTAGCTATAGAAAACCAACCTACAAGTAAGAATCAAGCGGAAGATTTGTCCTAGCTCCCTGGGTGCTGATTGTTTAAATCCTTACTTCTGAAAATGTGGTCTAGACCAGCAGCAGCAGCAGCAGCAGCAGCAGCAGCAGCAGCAGCAGCATCACCTGGGATTTTGAAAGAAATGCAGAATCTCAGCCCTTGACCTAGGGAATCAGAGTCTACATTTTCACAAGGTCTCCAAATGATGCATCTGCCATGGTGAGGTTTGAGAAGCCTGACCTAGATAGACACAGGGCGGAAGAGAATGACCAAGGGTGGGGAAATGCCAGCTCTGGGCTTCATACAAGGCCAAGCATGGTTTTTGTTGACACCTTATTTAGCTGATACATCATGATGGTTCTTGATTCTCAATGCTCTCCTAGAAATTTTCCCTGTGACCCAAGGGAAGTCCCTTTAAATGGTGTTTTTCCTGTCCCCCATCTTACATTTCTTGGGAAAGATGGTTGCAAGTGTGTTTGCTGCTGGTGGTAGTTGGCCTTATTAAGCTCACTCTTACCCCCTATGTCTAATTATATATAATACAGTTAAATAACTATTACATTAATATGCCCACGGATACTGAAACCAGGAAATTTCAGAGCACATAGGATAGACTAAAAGCAAACAATACATTTTCTCAAGAGACAGTATACACAGGAGTTAGAAGTGTATTCCAAAATTGCCTGAAGGTATTTATGAATCACAGTTCCAGAAGAAGTGGCCAATATGAGAAAGGGAAGGGTAATGGTCAAAGCTGAAAACTGCCACTTACCACTTGGGTAACTCTTTGAGCTTTTATTTTCTCACCTGTAAAACACATAATAGTATGCAGCCAACCTCAAAGGATTGTTTTAAGAATCCAGAGAGAAAGTAAATCTGAAAAATTTTGTAAAGTGTAAAGTGCTTCACACGCATAAAAAATTGTTGTGGCTCTTATTATTAAATCTAAATTCTTTGGAAAGCATTCCTTAGGGAGGACAATTCCGTCTTCCTAAAATGTGGCCTGGAGCCTCCTTTGACTTTTGAACCTGGACCTGACCCAGTGTGACAGTTCTCATGTCCCTAAAAAATATAACCATGATGTTGGTCCCAGGAAAACTTCTGTATATATCTGTTTAATAAATTGGAAATAGAATACATATGTAATTTGATTTTCCTGCTTTTTTTCCGACAACATTTCAGTTTCCCACTAATCATTAACATTTTTCCATGTTGTTAAATATTATCTGAAAACATTTTAAATTACCCTAAAGTATTTCATATTCTAAAATTTGTTTTTTCTTGTATTATGGGACACATTAGGTCTCTAATTTTGACTCTTATAAGTAATAATACTGTAGTAATTATCATTAAACATAAATATCAAAATGCATCTCTTTTTTCCTCTTAGTGTATACTTCTAGGAATGGATTTATTGGGTCAGGCTTAAAGATTTTTAAGGCTTTTAATGTATACTGTGATGTGTCCAGTGAAACGTGGCTTGAAGTGTATGAGGATGTTTATTTTAACATGTGCTCATCAGGGGTAATAACCTTTTTCATCTGTTTGAAAGGCAAATATGATACTTTAAAATTATAATTTGCATTGCATTGCTTTATTAGTAAGGTTATATGTTTTTCATATGTGGATTGACCATATACACTTTTTCTTTTGTTAGTTTCACCCTCATCTCATTTTTCTCTCAGAGTATTTTTATGCATCTGTAATTTTATTATCCTCACCCACAGCACTGCTCCCAAAGCTGAAAATTGTAAGCCAGGTGAGGAAGAAGGAAGTCTCCTTTCTGTTCCCTTTTGTTTTTAACTGATTTTTTTTTTTTTTTTTTTTTTTTTTGAGACAGGTTCTCAGTCTGTCTCTCAGGCTGGAAAACAGCGGCACGATCTTGGCTCACTGCACCCTCCACCTCTTGGCCTCAAGGGATCCTCCCACCTCAGTCTTCCTAGTAGCTGTGACTACAGGCACATGCCACCACACCCGGCTAATTTTTTATATTTTTTGTAGAGAGGGGTTTTCACTGTGTTGCCCAGGCTGGTCTTAAACTCCTGAGCTCAAGTGATCCACCTCCCTTGGCCGCTCATAATGCTGGGATTACAGGTGTAAGCCATTGGGCCCAGCCTCCTTCCTGTGCTAATAAGGCTTTGCATTGTTCATAAAATTAGGCACTAATTCTGCCAGGTATAGAGGTTATAGTCAAGATAAAAACAGTATTCTCAAATATCATAATCTTTCTTATTTTATCACTGAATGATAATTTCAACTTCTAGCACTTTCAAAATCAAATGAATTCAAATTAGCCAAAAATCTAAACTGAACCTTGCTCAATTGATAAATGATAGAACATCTGTATAAATCTATATAATCCGGTCCAACATTCTATAATTCGAATGTGCATTTGTCTATGTAATGTCTGGATTCTGATGTAGAATTTGCTGAGAGTGGTATTACAAAAAATAAATATATGTGATTACAGTTGTCCCTTGGCAGGGACGACTGCAGTCCCTACTCTCATACCGAAGTACTTGTTTGTTCAAGTCCGTGATATAAAATGGGATAGTATTTGCATCGAAACTCCACATATCCTCGCATATACGTTAAACCATCGCTAGACTACCTATAATACTCAATACAGTGTAAGTGCTTTGTAAACAGTTGTTATAACATATTATTTAGGGGATAATGACAAGTTCGCACATTTTCGGTACAGATTCAATCACCCATTTTTTTCAGATACTTTCCATCTGTGGCTGGTGGGAGAACCCATGAACACAGAGGGCTTACAGTACTGTAATATTAATAATATAAAATATGTTACTATTAGATATACAGGTTAGAATTGATACACTTTATAGAATCTTATGTACTATTCATCAATATGCTTATTTTGATAACACATTTCTTATCTACTATATGCATTAGTATCATCTAAAGCCAAAATTTGCTAATACCAGAAGAAGGAAATAATAAATATTTGAAGATGAGGAATCTTGCTCTGTCCTTATATACTGGTCTTCATAGAAAACCATTTTCATTCATCTTAGACCCGGCATTAAAGGTTTGGTAGTAGCAGAGCCCAGAGAAGTCCTCAGGCATGGGGTTTTGCCCGGCAGGTGTTGGTATGGCCAACCAACAGGGTCACAGTGGGTCACTGCCCGAGTTGACGCTAAGTTCCTTTCCAGGGATTGCATGGCTTCATTCCAGAAGTGTTATTTCCTCGTCTCTTAGACTTTACTTCCATGGTTAAGAGAAGTGATAAAGTGGCTCATTCATGTAGGCTTTCTGTGGAGAACTAAAAGCAAAGATGGGCCCAAGGTGTAATCAATGAAGATTTTCCATCAGAATCAACTCCATATTAAAACAGACATCCTGATAAATGCAAATAATCCATAAATTCTTACTAAATAAGATGGTATTTTAAAAGAAATTATAAAACTCACGAAGGATTTTAAAAATAACATATGCCCACACTGTACTTAATTTTACATCAACATTGATCCTGAGACAAGCCACCAATTCAAAAGGGGATGGAGCAGAAAAGAAAAACTCTAAATTACATGTAGATATTGATTAAAGGCAAAATTGATTAAGGTAAACTGATTTATAAAGCACACACACACACACACACACACACACACACACTTATATATATATATGCATGCCTTAGAATTGAGCAGGTAAGTTTTAACTGTGATGGGTTGATTCTTAGGTCTGATTTTCTCTGCCAGGACTCAGTAGAAAGCTCACCCCAGATCATTTTAATAGGGTCCAAATATTTTGGGAACTCTTTAACCCTTGACTTCAGTATGACGTGGTCTTAGAGAAGTTCTGGAATAAAAGCCTGTGACCCTCAACTTCAAGTGAGAGGGTATGACTTGAGTTACATTGAATGTGACACTTGAGGCTATAATTGTCCTGCCCTTATTTAAAAAAAAAAAAAGCTTATATTTATTGAGTGTTTACTAGTGCCCAGCCCATGCCTCCTCTTATTTAATCCTCACAATAAACAAATGATTTAGGTTCAACTATTTTTTTCATTTTACAACTGAATAAATGAGGCTCAGTGAGGTTAATTAAATCACCCGAATATGTTTCACAAAGCCACAGTAAAAAGAAATAAACAAAAACCAGTTGTTTTTCAAGTGCCTTGGCAAAGTCAGTTCTGTTCCCTGTGTACCCCGGATTCCCTGCCTGCTGTTATCAGTTTCGGAAGATAATCAAGACTCACTCCACTTTGCTAAACCAGGCAATGTCTACTTTTTCATAGCACTAGCTACTTGAAAAGGAATGTTAATTAAAATGAATCCACAAGTTCCAGTTTCAATAATAAGAATGGGTCGTATTTCATAGTTAAGATGCTATGTTGACAACAAACACTTATCAAGTATAAAATAACCACAACTATATATATATATTTTTTGAGACAGGGTCTCACTCTGTCCCCCAGGCTGGAGTGCAGTGGTGCCATCACCGCTCACTGTAGCCTCTACCTCTCCGGTCTCGGGTGATCCTTCCACCTCAGCTTCTCGAGTAGCTGGGACTACAGGCATGTGCCAACACTCCCAGCTAATTTTTGTATTTTTTGTATAGAGTCGAGGTCTCACCATGTTGCCCAGGCTGGTCTCGAACTTGTGGGCTCAAGCAGTTTGCCCACCTTGGCCTCACAACGTGTTGGAATTACAGGTGTGAGCCACCATACACACTCAGGTGCTCACAATCATTTTTAAAAGACAGATTTGTGTGTAGTTGGTCTTATTTTCCCAGGATATGGCACATATGTTGGTGGGCTTTGGATCAAGCCTAACATCTGAGAAGATGGTAAGATGAATTTGATTTACATTTCTAGAAACTGATTTTTTTCCCCTCAACTGATAAGTTAGCTGACAAAGGGGAAGGAAACAGGTCAAGTATAGTTTGATACCAAATTACCCTCATTATATTAAAAGAATAAAGTGATGACTTGAGCTCATGTAGATCAAAGAGAGAATGTATTGTGACTGTATTCTTGTTGTGGACATTGTTTGACCACAGCGTCGTGAGGAAACTGGAGCTGACGTAGCTGATTGACCCACATGAATGTGGAAGTCGGGTTCTCCCCAAAACATGCTCAGTCAGGACCAGGCCACAGAAGTGAGGCTAACCTGGGCTTCTCACCTGAGAATAGTAACATCGTAGTAATGAAGGCTGATGAAGCAATAGAAACAGGTGTTCATCAGATATTTTCCTAGAGATCTCCGGATCTCAGCCCACCAAGGCAATATGATCATGTCAAAGTGATTCTGCCTCCCCTTCCCACGATCATGATGCAACTTTTGTTTGTTTGCTTCTTATTTACTGAAGTAGTTAAATTTTCAATTTCCTCAGGAAATTATGCAAAACCTCATTTCCTGTAAAAAACACATCCCAGAGATTCAGATTTTACATCAAAAGTAAATATAAGGGATTGAGATTACTATCTATATTTTGAGCTGAGTCAAAAATTGTCAAAGAATGTGATTAAGTATGGCTATTTAAAATAAAGTAACAATTATAGAATACGTCTTACTTCATGGACTTTGGAATGCAAATACACCAGAATACAAGGACACTCATTTTTTTCCCTTTGTTTTGCTTTTTTCCTCTCTCTCTCTTTTTTTCTGGCAGTATGCAACTAGCTGAACAGTTCTATAAATAGAAGGAAGTATCATCATTTTAGGAAATATAATAGAGATAAATATGGAACAATAGGAGACAGATAGGAACACGTGGGCAGTCCTGTGTCTGCCATTAGCTATTCATGAAGTTCTGGGATTCCCAAATACACATCTAACAGTGATAGTCATACAGCTCAGAGGGAATCAGGAGACATCCTGGAGAAATAATTGTCTATGAGAAATTGCCAACACCTAAGTATAAATTAAATATAATCTTGACTAAGCGTTCCCTGTCATTAATCATTGTGCAACGTCGCTCCCATGACCTCCGGGCAGCATTAAACTCCAGGAAACATTCCTGGCTCTGTTCTAAAGACGTTGTGTCTGGGCCAGGAGAATGTGGGAAATAGCTTCTGCCCAGAGGATGGGGGTGGGTCTGGTATTCGACCCACCCCTCGACCCCTTCAAGCCCCAGGAAGGCAGACATTTCCACAGTCTCTGGGTCTAAAGATGACTAAGTCACGGGAGTAGTTTCTCATGCTGTTTCAGTGCTATCAGCTCACAAGGAATCTGCAAACACCACAGAGACAATTCCCTCTGGAAATGAGGCCCAGGCAGTCTGATTGGAGAACCAGAGACTGAAGAATCCTGAACGAATATCCAGAAATCATAATGTTATCTGCTTTGAAAGTAGTATTCCACTCACAGCTTTAGTTTACAGGGAGTATTCACAGACAATTCAGGGACCTCCAAGGATTCAGAATTATATACCATGGCAAGATTGTACACTTTACATCAGGGACAAAATGGTGCTAAAGTCCAAGCCCAAGCGTTCTCCCTTTCGGTGCACACTGAGTGATTTCATGTTCTCTCTTATTTTGCCACCCACTGAGGGAAGCGGTTAATTTAAAAATATGAGGTTACTCCCCAGTCACAACCACTGCACTGGTTTCCTGCCGGGCCATGCTTCAGGCGTTGGGTGCTCACACGACCTTGACCAATACAAAACTAAATCAGCCAAGACTCGAACACAAGACCTGAATTTTGGCTCTTGTTTAAACCTCAGAATCTGACCCTCTCTCCACGTGGCTCCTGACTATCTTGTCCTGCCCTGCAGTGCGTGATATTATTTTTGTGCACTCTGCTCTCTTTGCCTTGCTTTGGCTGCTGCCCTATCTGGTAGAGACCTAGGGTTGGCTTTCACTCAGTTCCATTCCAAAGCTGGAACAGGAGGAAAACAAGCTAGTTGCAAACCGTTCAGATGGCCTAGTCCAGGTTTAAAAACATTGCATCATGCACTCCTGTGGATGCAGGGCCAGCCATCTAATCCTATTCTCTACCAACAGTTGGTGAGGGCTGGAAGTTGGCCAGTAAGCCGGTCATGTGTCCTGGGGCCAAGGATTGCATTGGATTGTTTTGTTTTCCATGAAGGGAGTTGGTTCCAGGAAACTCAGTAGTGAGGAAAGCAGGGAAACGTTGCAAATATGCAGAATCTGAAGTGGTTGAGCCTGAAAAGGGGCATCCACACCAAGGTGGCAGAGACGGCACTGAAGCACTGTCACAAGAGCTGCAGATCTGAGGCCAGACGATGGCAAAAGGCAGTTCCATGGGTTAAAAAAAGAAATGTGTGAAAAGTGCTTTAGGAAAAGTTTTTGTGGATAAGCACTCAAAAAATGGTAGCTGTAAGGTTAATGTTTAAAGTAAGAGAGTTCTAGACCGTTCTTCTGTCTTTGTAATCATGCTCCTTTGAAAAACCGTATTTTTTTTCTGCCTACCTAGTTTCCACGTTAGGACAGGGTATTTCCCCATTAGGATTAAAACAAGCGTTTTAGAGTTGGATTGCCTGGATTTGAGTTTCAGCGCTGCCATTTGCCAGCTATCTGACCTTGGTCAAGGTAACCTGTTTGAGTCTCACTTTCCTAAGGTGATAGAACGCACCTCCTAGGGAAGTTGTAAAGTTTCAATGAGATACTTGGTGACAAGCCTTTTTCACAGTGACAGGTATTATTATTTTTGAATATTTCTTGTTTCTACTCTTGAATTTCCTTTTTCATTTTTTTGTTATTTAAAAAAAATGGTAGAGATGGGGGTCTCACCATGTTGCCCAGGCTGCTCTCAAACTCCAGGGCTCCAATGATTCTCCTACGTTAACCTCCCAAAGTGTTGAGACTGCAGACATGAGCCACCACGCCCAGCCAATCTTTCCCCTTTTATAAGAGTGAAATAATATATGTTAAATATCTGGCGTAGTTCTATATGAATATTAGCAGTCGTTATTATTATTATTAGCAGTAGTAACGGTCGTAGTCGTAGTAGTATATTTGGCATAGCTTGCCTCAGATTACTCAGAGAGTTCACGACAAAGCTGAAGTTAAAAACCAGGCCTCTGAAATCCCAGCCTATAGAAGATTTCATTTAAAGATGGTACCAAGTCCGGGCACGGTGGCTCATGCCTGTAATCCCAGCACTTTGGGAGGCTGAGGCGGGTGGATCATGAGGTCAGGAGTTCGAGACCAGCCTGGCCAACATAGTGAAACCCTGTCTCTACTAAAAATACAAAAATTAGCCGGGCATGGTGGCATGTGCCTGTAGTCCCAGCTACTTGGGAGGCTGAGGAAGGATAATCGCTTGAACGTGGTTAGCGCAGGTTATGGTGAGCTGAGATCGTGCCATTGCATTCCAGCCTGGGCAACAGAGTGAGACTCCGTCTAAAAAAAAAAAAAAAAAAAGATGGTACCAAAATGCCATCTACCTTTACTCAATGAAATCAGTTCCTGTTCCTGTTTATTTTAGATAGCATTTAGCAGGAATTCTCAAAGACTTTGACTTCTCCACTGGAGTATCTCCAGGCCGCAGTGCAAATTCCTAGGAGACGCTTCTCACTCCAGGTTTGGAGTATTCCCTTAAATATATTTGCATGAATGAAACTGGAGGTAATTACCTTACATGAAAGAAATTGGAAACAAATCCAAATACCCTATGTTCTCACTTATAAGTGGGAGCTAAATGGACATGTGGACATAGTGAGTGGAGTAATAGACATTGGGAACCCAGAAAGGTAGGAGGGTTGGCGGGGGGTGCTGAGGGATGAGAAATTATCTAATAAGGACAATGTACACTATTTGAGTGATGATTATACCAGAAGTCCTGACTTCAACACTATACAATATATCCGTGTCACAAAACTGTGCTTGTATCCTCTAAAGCTATAAAAAAGTGTACATATATTTACTGATTATATAAATATAAAAGACCATTCTTTTATCACTTAACATTTTCACTTTAGCTTTAAATCTCCAGGTGGCTGCAATCGTTAAAGATCTGGCTTTTTAATATACAGGATGGGGAGCAATGGGTGACCAAAGTATGAATACTAACTCCTGTCAGTGGTCCACACTCTGGGTTTTCCCTGCGGGCCAAACACCACCCAGCGGGTGGCACTTGGAGAGGTAGAAAGGATTTAGAACTCTGTTTTTAAAAAATATCTTACCACCTAAGAGATTCTTTAGGTTCCCGTGTTTCTAGCCTACTCGCTAATACCAGGGAAGCCTCCTAATCTTAGGCTTTCTGATGGAGGCAGGCAAGTCCAAGTCACCAGGAGAAGCAGATTCTTAAAGCTGCAAGTTGAAAGAGGCTCAGTGGTTATGTAAAACTGAGAGGGGAATCTAGAATGAGTAACTATTTAAGTTGTTGTAAAATATGGATCACCTTTGAGAGTGAAAAGACAACTCTTAGTAAATATGCTTGTGACAGCCTTTGAAAATCGATGTAATTCACCATCAAAGAGAAAAAACATATGGCCCTCCCCATAAATGCAGAAAAAGTATTCGACAAAATTCAACATCCATTTATGATCAAAACTCTCAGCAAATCAGGAATAGAAGGAAATTTCCTCAATATCATAAAGAATATTATTAAAGAAAGTATGCTGATAATATCATACTTAATGGTGACATATTGAATACTTTCTCCCTAAGATAAAAGATAAGGATGTCTGCTAGCACCTCTTCTATGCGAGGTTTTATTAGAGGTCCTAGCTGGTGCAATGAAGCCAGAAAAGAAAGAAAAGTCACAAAAATTGTAAAGGAAAAAAATAAGACAATTAAAATGGCAGACAATATTATTTGTGTATAAAACCTCAAGAAATCAACAAAACAGTTCGTGTATTTAATAAGGTTGCAGGATACAAGGAGAATATACAAAAGTCATTTGTATTTCTAAATACAAATAGTAGCAAACAATTAGAAAATAACAATTCCATTCACAATAGCACCAAAACGAAAAAGTTTAGGAATAAATTTAACAAAAGCTATACCACTATGGTGAAAACCAAAATATTGCTGAGAAAAATTAAATAAGGCCTAATAAATGAAGAAATACATGATATTTGGAAGACTCAATATTGCCAAGATGTCAATTATTCCAAAGATGATCAAAGAAACAAAACAAAACAAAAAAACAACCTTCTGCCTCTGGAAAGACAATATAAAGAAAATGAAAGCTCAAGACACATATTATGGGAAGGTATTTTCTTCTTTCTTTTTCCCTTTTTTTTTTTTTTTTTTTGAGATGGAGTCTAGCTTTGTTGCCCAGGCTGAAGTGGAGTGGTGCGATCTCGGCTCACTGCAACCTCCGCCTCCTGGGTTCAAGCAATTCTGCTGCCTCAGCCTCCCAAGGAGCTGGGACTACAGGCTCACGTGGCACGTCTGGCTGATATATATATATATATTTTTGTATTTTAATAGAGACAGGGTTTCACCGTGTTGCCCAGGCTGGTCATGAACTCCTGAGCTAAGGCAATACACCCACCTCGGGCTCCCAAAGTGCTGGGATTGCAGATATGAGCCACCGCGCCCAGTCGGGAAGGTATTTTCAATACGTTAATCGCCATAAGGGACTAGAGTCAGGGATATGTAATGGACTTCTATATATCCAAAATAAGGACAAACAGTCCAATAAAAAAACAGGCAAAAGATGGAATAGATATTTTACAGAAGAAGATGTGTGAATGATCGATAAGCACACAAAAACATACTTAATTAACATCATTAATCATTGGGGATATGCAATTTTTTTTTTGAGACAGTTTTGCTCTGTCATCTGGACTGGAGTGTAGTGGTATGATGACGGTTCCCTGCAGCCTCAACCTCCTAGGCTCAAGTGATTCTCCTGTCTCAGCCTCCTGAGTAGCTGGGACTACAAGCATGCACCACCATACCCAGCTAATTTTAAGATTTTTTTGTGTGTGTGTTTGTAGAGACTGGGTCTCATCGTGTTCCTCAGGCTGGTCTCAAACTCCTGGGCTCAAATAGTCCTCCTGTCTCGGACTCCCAAAATGCTGGGATTATAGGCATGAACCATCACCCTTGACCAGGGACATGCAGATTGAAACTGTACTGAGATGCCACTTCACACACACTAGAATGGCTAACATTTAAAAGACTGATAACCACCAAATATTAGCTAAGATGTGGAGGAACTATGACTGTCATATATTGCTGGTAAGTGTATAAAATGAAACACTCATTTTGGAAATCTCTTTGGCAGCTTTTTGTTTTTTAGAGTTAAACCTACACCAATCTTATAATCCAGTGAGTTCACTCTTAGTTATATATCCAGGAGAAATCAAAGCTATGCCAATGGAAAGGCTGTGTAAGAATGTTTATAGTAGCTGGGGGCAGTGGCTCACACCTGTAATCCCAGCACTTTGGGAGGCCGAGGTGGGTGGATCACAAGGTCAGGAGATCGAGACCATCCTGGCTAACACGGTGAAATCCCGTCTCTACTAAAAATACAAAAAATGAGCCGGGCGTGGTGGCGGGCGCCTGTAGTCCCAGCTACTGGGGAGGCTGAGGCAGGAGAATGGCGTGAACCCAGGAGGCAGAGCTTGCAGTGAGACGAGATCATGCCACGGCACTCCAGCCTGGGCAACAGAGCCAGACTCTGTCTCAAAAAAAAAAAAAAAAAAAAAAAAAAGAATGTTTATAGCAGCTCTGTACACAATTCTTCAAACTGGAAACAACCCACGTATCCATTAACAGTGAAATATACTCAGCAATAAAAAAAAATAAACATGCAATAGTATGGCTGAATCTCAGAAACATTATGTTGGGTGAAATAATCCAAACTTATAAGAGTTCAAATGTATGAGTTCATTTATATGAAGTTCAAGATTTGGAAAGGATAATCTATGGTGATAGAAATCAGAATAGTAGTTACCTGTGTATGAGGGTGAGAGGGGTTTGAGGGGTGACAGTATGAGGAAACCTGGGGTCATAGAAATGGAGTATATCTTGAGTTGTTGCTTATACAGGTGGATCTACTTGTCAAAACCTATAGAATTGTACTCTTAAGAGCTATAATTTTAACTATAAGTAACTTATATTTTCAGAGAGTTGGGGTCTTGCTGTGTCACCCAGGCTAGAGTACAGGGGCATGATCACAGCTCACTGTAGCCTCGAACTCCTGGGCTCAAGGAATTCTCCCACCTCAGCCTCTCAAGTAGCTGGGACCATAGGCATCCTCCACTGCTCCCAATTTGTAAGTTTTAACTTGATAAAAACTACATGGAACCGGCCAGGCGCGGTGGCTCATGCCTGTAATCCCACCACTTTGGGAGGCCGAGGCGGGTGGATCACCTGAGGTCGGGAGTTGGAGACCAGCCTGACCAACGTGGTAGAGAAACCCTATCTCTACTAAAAATACAAAATTAGCCGGGTGTAGTAGTGCATGTGCGTAATCCCAACTACTCAGGAGGCTGAGGCAAGAGACTCGCTTGAACCTGGGAGGCAGAGGTTGCAGTGAGCCAAGATCGCGCCATTGCACTCCAGCCTGGACAACGAGAATGAAACTCTGCCTAAAAAAACAAACAAACAAAAAACAAACAAACAAAAAACCTACATGGAATCAATATGTAAACCTGGGCAGTCCCAGGGAAACTGAGATATATTGTCACTTAAGTCTGGAGGTTTCCAGTGCAAGCTGGCAAAGTGACAAAGGAGTCCCTGTTTCTTAGGAAGAAGTAACGAAAAAACTAGCTGGTCATTGAGCAGAAAATAGCCTCCTTTCCTGATCCCCAAGTACAAAGAATGGAGACAGTGATTGAAGAGCTAACTGAAGCAGAAGACACTGATGACACAGGTCTGCTCTGACCTGGGTCTGCCCTGGAAACTATTTTCTCCGTTGTAATTGCAAAAACTAGAGGTCCCTAAACGCCTGACCATCTGGTCCCTGCTTGCCACTGGGACCCAGAGTGCTGGAAGGGCAGTTTTTTTCTGTCATATTGGCCCTGGGGCTGATTTTCTGGATCAGGAACTTTAGAAAGAGAGCTGGTGTATAATCCTGAAGCATCCGTATGCAGCCTTTTTCTCCGCTTGGATTTGTACTTGAAGGACTCTGTTTGCAAAGTGAGATTTCTGCTCAGCGGAGTTGTTTTTCTGAGAGACGCTGAATCAATGGCTTCTTTAACATGCTTTGATTACCTAATCTCTAGGCTGCATTTCAGCTTTTTCTTTAATTAAAGGATCCTTGGAGCTGAACAGAGAAAATCAAATCTCTTGAGAGCCTCAAAATTGGTTCACAGATGGAAAGAATATTTGGGAACTACCAAGTGCTAGTTCCCATTCTGGCATCATTCCTTATACAGAAGGGATAAACCAGAAAGTTGCTGGTGTTTCAACACCACATAGAAGAAAAAAGAGAAAAGCAAAGGGATCTCCTGTCTTGTAACTGTTCTTTTTTTTTTTTTTTTTTTTTGAGATGGAGTCTTCCTCTGTCACCCAAGCTAGAGTGCAGTGGAGCAATCTCAGCTCACTGCAACCTCCACCTCCCGGGTTCAAGCGATTCTCCTGCCTCAGCCTCCAGAGTAGCTGGGACTACAGGCATGCCCCACCACACCCAGCTAATTTTTGTATTTTTAATAGAAATGGAGTTTCACCATGTTGGCCAGGTTGGTCTCGAAATCCTGACCTCAAGTGATTGGCCCGCCTCGGCTTCCCAAAGTGCTGGGATTACAGGCATGAGTCACCACGCTGGGCCAGAACGGTTCCTTTTAAAAGGTCTTCCTCAACTGGCTTCACTTGACTGTTCCTTATAGTTTAATATTCCGAATAGGTTTTCCCTCATGGTTCTCCATCAAGGTTGAGGCTACCGTACCCTCCCTACCTTTCAGACTGGACACCTTGGACTCACTTTGATTCCTCACTCTTCCTTGCCCTCCGCAGATGATGATGGTCTCCAACTCCTGCAGAGGCTTCCTCTTTCAGGCCCAACACATCCATCCACGCTCATGCCCAGTAACACCTCCCCTGTTTAGACCATTTTTTCTTCTTCCCTAGACCATTGCAGTTGACCTGAACTGACTTCCTAACCTCTAGTCCCTGTCCCTGTCCAACCTATCCTGCAAAGGTATGTCCACTTATTTGACCCAATGTCCAGCTCAGATCACCAGATTTCCATATCACCACATCTTCAGTGGGCTACCATCACTTATGGAATTAAGCACAAACTCTTCTCTGAATCAGTTTTCTCTACTCTGACTCTCCCCCACAGCTTCAGTTGCCTGATTTCCTGCCATGCTTTTTCAACTCTGGGCCTTGGCTAATAATATTTCTCTTTTTTGGAGTGTCTTTCGTCTCTGTCCATTTCATTCTTTAATGCTCATTCCAGTGCTAATTCCTTTACGAAGTCTTCCCTGAACTTCTAATTGGATGTGTTCTCTTCCTCCTCTAAGCGTCTTAGTACATTGGAAGAAAATCTTATGAACGTACTTTCTGTCTTATAGTAAAGTCTACTTTTGTCTTATTTCCACTATTAGATTATAAACTCCTTGAAGGCCAGAGCCATGTTTGGCTTATCTTTGTAAGCCCGTCTATATTTTATACAGTACTTAACACATAGTAGTCCTTTAAAAACTATGAGTTGACTTCAATTTAATTCCTACTACTTAAAATTTGTATTTATACTACATAGGTTAGGATTAGTGTTAGCTCTCACTTTCCAAATAATCTATTGTGGTCTTCAGTTGGTATGACACATTAAAAATGAAGGGAAAGGGCTGGGTGCTGTGGCTCATGCTTGTAATCCCTGCACTTTGGGAGGCCGAGGCAGGCAGATCACCTGAAACCAGGAGTTTGAGACCAGCCTGCCCAACATGGTGAAACCCCGACTCTACTAAAAATACAAAAAAATTACCCGGGTGTGGTGGTGTGCGCCTGTAATCCCAGCTACTTGGGAGGCTGAAGCAGGAGAATTGCTTCAAGCTGGGAGGCAGAGGCTGCAGTGAGCCGAGACTGTGCCATTGCACTCCAGCCTGGGCAACAGGAGCAAAACTCCATCTAAAAAAAAAAAAAAAAAAAAAAAAAAAAGGGAAAGGCCAGAAGATAGGACTGCTATTTAATGAATTAATTTATTTATTTGAGACAGGGTCTCACTCTGCCACCTAGGCTGGAATGCAGTGGCAAAATCATTGCTCACTGCAGCCTCAAACCCCTGGGAACACGTGATCCTCCTGCCTTAGCGTCCTGAGTAGCTGGGACTACGTGTGCATGCCACCACACCTGGCTAATTTTTGTTTTTTTTGTTTGTTTGTTTGTTCAGTTTTTTGTAGAAATTGGGTCTTGCAATGTTGCTCACTCTTGTCTCTAACTCCTGGCCTCAACCAATCCTCACACCTCTGTCTCCCAAAGTCCTGGAATTACACGTATGATCCATCGTGCTAGGAGCAGCACTGATGTTCCTTAATACTCTTCAACTTTAAAGCATCATATACTTGTCATGGCCCTCAGTTAAATAGGTGCTGTGCTACCTTAGGAAATAAAATATGGGAGGTGTAAGAGAGCTGTGGGTCTTAGGAATTGTCTGGGAAGCAGAATGAGCTGGAAGCTTAGTGGTGGTTAACGACCTGCCCTGTTGCCTGTGACTACTGCAGAGTTATCAACAACTCAACAACTTTGGAGTCATGACCATTTTTCCTTTGGGGAACTGTCTACAAAATATTATTTTTGCTGTGTCTTAATATTTGATAAGGTTGTTCTTGCAAATGTCGGGCTTTCTAGGCATCACTGGAGGAACCTAGGAAAGAACATTTTTTTCTAAGGTTGAATGGGGTTTTAAAGGAAGAAGAGTTGGGTTTTATGATAGTAGGAGAAATTGAAATTCTTAAGGGAAAAGTAAATATCGATGGGTCAGAGGAATTTGGGGGAGTTGAGGTTGCTTTTACATTTCTCTCTCATTACCTAGAGATTTCCTTCTGGAACTCTTCTCGGATAAAACTGTGATGTGTTTCATTACTGTTTTAAGCAAGAGAGCCAGTATCTGTCCAATATGCTCAATAAATATTCACTGATGAATTGCTAATAAATGCCCCTGACTATTTCAAATGGATTAGCTCTGCTTGATGTGAGAGCCATATGGAACTTCCATCTAAGATGACTTCTAGCCCTCCTGCAGTTCAGAGATGACCTGGAATTGCATTTGTTTTTTGTTTGTTTGTTTGATAAACCGTGAGTGTATGAGTCCATTCTCACGCTGCCAGTAAAGACATACCTGAGACTGGGTAATTTATAAATAAAAGAGGTTAATTGACTCCCAGTTTTGCATGGCTGGGGAGCCTCAGGAAACTTATGATCATGGCAGAAGGGGAAGCAAATATGTCCTTCTTCACAAGGCGGCAGGAGGGAGAATGAGAAACAAGTGAAGGGGGAAGCGCCTTATAAAACTGTCAGATCTCATGAGAACTTACCACAATCATGAGAATAGCATGGGGAAAACTGCCTCCATGACTCAATTACTTCCCACCAGGTCCATACCATGACACATGGGGATTATGGGAATTACAATTCAAGATAGATTTAGTGGGGGACACAGCCAAACAGTATCAGTGGGCTTCCAATATCTTTGATACCCCAGCCCTGGACCCCTTGACTGCACATTAGACACTTCATTTGGACATGAGTGGATCCTAAATTTGATGAGAAAGGCTCTTCAGGTTATTTTTCATGTTTTCACAGGCCTTGCAGGTCACATGCTTATTTTATTCCTAATCTTCATCCAGTTTTTCCACTCCGTTGGTTTCCTCTTCTTCCATTGTGAAGAGCAGATTCTTAGGTAGGAGACCATTTAAGCCAATATGTTCATTGGAGCCTGTGAGGAATGCGGAACTCCTTTTAGTCCTTGGCAAGGAATGACCGTCCTAGGGAACAGAGCAGGAAGAGAAGAATCTGAGCCAGAGAGGCCACCTCTCCTCACTGTTTCTGGACAATGCTTCAGGATGTAGCCTTTGGGCTTCAGGAACCAAGTCCGGGTTTTAATCAGGACAGTGGTTCTGAAACAATTCTTTTCTAAGACAAGGTTTTCCCTGCCTCCACGGGAAGAAGTCAATGCAGAGGAATTACTGTCAACTGGGTTTCTACCTTTCTGATTTAAGGCTGTGATTAACTTTTTGAAAGTAAACATAAACATAGTAAAAAAAAAAAAAGAAAAGCTAGAATATATTGATAAACATTTTAAAATAAAAATTTAAATATTATAATGCAAAAATAGTATTATATACATATCAGGTAGATCCTTCTAGATATTTTTGCCAAGCAAATATACACACACATATATTTAAAAAATATATTCATACTAATTGCTCAGCCATCTGGGTTTTGTTTTTCTTTTTTTATTATTTATTCACTTGTTTGAGACAGTCTCACTTTGTCATCCAGGCCGGAGTGCAGTGGCACGATCCCAAATCACTGCAACCTCTACCTCCTGTGCTCAAGCGATTGTCTTGCTTCAGCCTTTCCAGTAGTTGGGACTGCAGGTGCATGCTATCATGCCCAGCTAATTTTTGTATTTTTTTTTTGTAGGGGTGGGGTTTCACCATGTTTCCCAGGCTGATCTTGAACTCCTGAGCTCAAGCCATCTGTGCACCTTGACCTCCCAAAGTGCTGGGATTACCGGCATGGGCCACCGTGCCTGGCCTGTTTTTCTTTTTTTAAAAACACATTACCTTGTGTAGTACTTCCCTGTCAATGAGTGTAGATATATATAAACATTTGCAGTGGCTTCATGAATATGATTTTAGGAATGTTTTATGTTAAGTGGTACGTATCGTTGTTTCAGCATTGGGTTTGAATGAAGTTACAGTCATTAATATTAATTATTTTGCTTAATTTTGTTTTGCAATGAAGATTCAGGGTTCTTTTGGTGTAATATTCATATTAATATTTGGGGAAATAATTCTGACATTTGGCCTAAAATATTTTTTATGTAACCCAAATATTATGATGTATCATTCGGGGCCATGCTTTCTCTCATGAGTTTAGGTAACATTAGGCTCTAGCTGTTATTCTAGGTTGGAGGAGTTCAGAGTCCCACCCTCCCCCCACAAATTCTACATTTTCCTTTCATTTTTCCCTGTTTTTATTTCTGATCCCATAGATTCTTCACTGTGTCACCTTAAGTCCGATTTGGATGTAAAGCCAAACGCAGAGCTTGCCTTTCTCTATTTCCCACAGGCAATGCAATCTCACTGTGTTTTGTGCTTAATTGAAGATCTGAGGTGTCATAGGGAAAAACCCCATCATGTGTTATACGGCCTTTCTCATTTTCCAGATAAACACCTTCCCCACTGCATGCTGGCTCTGCCATCACCCCCACGCCCTGACCCCCAGATCACACTGTTCCTCCATTGAGGAGCCACTCCATGTGGTGGGACAGTCTGTCCAGTGGGGCCCCCAGAATTCTGGTGAACAAAAATAGCACAGACATATAACTGTTTATTCATTTTGGTTTATTTGAATGGAATTGGCTACCTTTTGATGCTACCATTCAAATGGACTTATTCACTTAACATACAGTTATGGACCTATGGAGCAAAAAACAACCCCAAAGGATGAAGTCCAACCTCCTCATTTTGCAGAACAAGAAACCAGGGGCAATATTTCCAACCTCACTGGGATCTTTAGGACAGAGCCTTACTCAGAATTTCAAGTTTCTGGATTTTGATACCACTTCTTTGCATCATGAGACAAAATCAGGAGCCCTTTCCCCACCACAGAGAAAGAAGGAAGCCCCTGCAACTCCTAGCCCCATCTCTGGGTCAGCAGGATTCAGGACCAGAAGATACAGACAGAAGAGGTACAAAAAACATACAGATGCTTTAGGCTCTAAAGCATCCAGGCTTAAAAAATAGGCAGAAATTAAAGGAGACGAGTTTTCAAAGAGCAGAGAAAGAGTGAACTATTAGCATTCAAACCACGAAATCTAACGTTACTGCTGTGACTCCTGCTTATCTCATAAATCTGCCTAAGCCTTTGTGACCAGAAGGATGACCTCAGTTTGGGGACCCTGGGCCTGAGATCCAAGATTTTGAAGATTTGTTCCAGGAGTCGCCCTCTGACTCTTTATACAGTCCTTGGGAATTACCTTAACCTTTTTGTGAACTGACCCCTTTGTAAAGCAAGATAATATTACCTGCCTTCATACGATGCCTTTTAAAAATCTATGAGATTCCTGGGGGAGGGGGAAATGTTGTGTTTTAGTTTAGAGGGAAAAGTCATATTTTGCCCTTTCACCAACACTTAGATGATTATCTGAGATAAACAACGTAATTAAGTTTGTGTGTGTGTGTATGTGTGTATGTGTTTAATACTTTTCAGTTGAACAAAATGTAATCACCCCATGAATGGTTTCACCTTGACTTTTGAAAATCTTTGTTTCATCTTGGGATGTTATAGCTCATATCTCATAGGAAAAACCAGCCTTGGAGAATAAAATTTGAAATTATAGACAAATATTGCCATCTCTTGTAGAATGTGCCTGGAAATTCTCTTTTCTCTGTATGCATTATATGCATTATATTTTCTCTGTATGAATATAACATAATATAGAGTTCTTGCTGGCTACTGATATCTAGTCCCTTGAGTTAGGGTGCCAATAGCTTATTTGCAAGTCAGTTTGCTGATGGCTTCTAATTGTACAGCATCTGTTCTAATCTCTCTAGTGAGCTTTAAAATTGAATTCTAACTTCCTGCGGAGTCTCCACTTGAGTATTCCAAAGCCAAGTCCAACCAAAAATGTCCCGAACAGAGCTCGTCATTATCTTCCCTGTCCTCCATACCAAGTTGTCCTCTGTCCCAGTTAGTCATCCAAGCCTGACATTCATTCCACACCATTCCCCTTCTGTCACCCAGCACTTTTGAGTAATTGGGAAATCTTATGACTATATCTGAAGTCTTTCTCCTTTTCTTTGCAGTATCATAGTTCTAATTCAGTCCCTTATAGCTTATCTGAACTACTGCTACTTATTCAAAAAATATTTGTTGGGGATATATTGCATGCCAGGCACCATTCTAGGAAAGTGGGATACAATTAGTAAACCAAATGTACAAAGATCCCTGCCCTAGAATATTTAGGGGAAAAAAGAGGGCAGAAAATAAAAACATAATGAATGGGTAAATTGTACAGCAAATTTAAAAAATATAATGAATTTTAAGAAATTATGTAGTAAATTTAAAAAATAACTGCTGGCTGGGTGCGATGGCTCACGCCTGTAATCCCAGCTCTTTGGGAGGCCAGGGTGGGCAGATCACCTGAGGTCAGGAGTTCGAGACCAGCCTGACCAACATGGTGAAACCCCATCTCTACTAAAAATGCAAAAATTAGCCAGGTGTAGTGACACATGCCTGTAATCCCAGCTACTCGGGAGGCTGAGGCAGGAGGATCGCTTGAACCTGGGAGGCAGAGGTTGCAGTGAGCCAAGATCATGCCATTGCACTCCAGCTTGGGCAACAAGAGTGAAACTCCGTCTCAAAAAAGAAATGATAATAATAACTACTATGCATAGGACATAGGTGCTAGGAGGAATTTGGGTGGAGAAGCTGTAGTTTGCCTTTTTAAATAGGATAATTGGAGTAAGCCTTTTTGAGAAGATAACATTTTATGAAAGGCTTGAAGGAGAAAAGCCACGTGTTCCCTGGGGGAAAACATGGCAGACAGAGGGAAGGGGCCTTCAATTGGGAACGTGGCTGCTAGTGTGCAAGTGAAACAACACAGCTGGAGGCGCAGGAGCCAGGAGAGAGTGATTAGAAGTGCGATGAGGGTTCACTATGTGAACTTCAGCTGAACAGGACGAAGAGGCATTGTGGAGTTTTGAGCAGAGGAATCATGGGACCTGATGTTTGTTTTAAGAAGGTCACTCTGCCTGCTGCCTTGAGAACAAACTTAAGAAACCAGAGACAAACCGGGAGACAAGGCTGGCAGCTGTAGCCACAATCCAGGTGAGAGATATTGGTGGCTGAGACAGGGTGGTAGCAGTGGAGGTGGTGAGAAAAGGCAGGTTGTAGAAATATTTTGAAAGTAAAGACAACAGAGTTTCTGGAAATACTGGGTTGCAGTGTGAGAGAAGTACAGGAGCCAAGGATAGGGAGTTTAGTGACCCAAAGGGTTTACCTGCCCATGGCTTCTCCCGGTGCAGCAGTACTTCCTCTGCGAAATTCATCTTCCCTCCTTTTTTTTTTTTTTTTTTTTTTGACGGTGTCTCACTCTGTCATTTAGGCTGGAGTGCAGTGGTGCGATCCTGGCTCACTGCAACCACTTCCTGAGTTCAAGCGATTCTCCTGCCTCAGCCTCCTGAGTAGCTGGGATTACAGGCACATGCCACAATGCTGGGCTAATTTTCTTTTTTTTTTGTATTTTTAGTAGAGAAGGGGTTTCACCATGTTGGCCAGGCTGGCCTTGAACTGTGACCTCAGGTGATCCACCTGCCTCAGCCTCCCAAGATGTTGGAATTACAGACATGAACCAACACACCTGGCCCCCTGCTACTTCCAGGGCAATCCTTCTATGGGGCAAATCTGGACCTGTCTCTCCTTGCTTAAAAACTTCAGCAGAATCTCTTTCCCTAGAGCCCCTTCATTTGTTACAAGATGCCATCTCTGAGGTGGCCCTGCCTCACCATCTTCGTTTCCCGCTTCTGTACCTTGTACTCCAAACCATCTGCAGGGGCCTGCCTGCACTTCCAGGAGGGATTATGATTTTGCCTCTTAGACAATGGTGTTTTATGTTTTCCTAGTTTGCTTGTGTGATACCTTGTTCCTGAAACTCTCTTTTCTGCTGATTTGCCCAATTGTTGGGAATTCTATTTGTACTACAATATCAGACATTTAACCGGGGAAGTGGAGGTTGCAGTGAGCCGAGATCACACCACTGCACTCCAGCCTGGGCAACAGAGCCAGACTCAATCTTAAAAAAAAAAAAAAAAAAAAAAAAAAAGTAATGCTGTATCCTGAGTTGCAACCTGGAGCCCTGTGGACTGGGGAGGGATTTGGCTTAATTTAGATTCACAAAGACCCAGACTCTGAGCATTCTTTAGAAGCTGGACTGGCCACCACCCGTGGGTACCCACTGTTCCTGGTGCACACCTGCCATAACAATCATTGCATCACATTAAAATGTGTCTGTTTCTTTTGGGACTGAATATAAGTTCCTCACTCCCCTCACCTGCAAGTACTTGGCACATTACTGGGCACAAAAAGTAAAACTGACCCTTGGACAACACAGATTGGAACTTCAGAGATTCACTTATATCCAAATTTTCTTCCACCTCTGCCGCCCCGAGATAGCAAGACCAACCCCTTCTCTTCCTCCTCCTCCTTCGTCTACTCAACCTGAAGACGACAAAGATGAAGACCTTTATGATAATTGATGTTCACTGAATGAATACTAAATACATTTTCTTGGCTGGGTGCAGTGGCTCACGCCTGTAATCCGAGCACTTTGGGAGGCCGAGGCAAGCAGATCCTGAGGTCAGGAGTTGGAGACCAGCCTGGCCAACCTGACGATACCCTGTCTCTACTAAAAATACAAAAATTAGCTGGGTGTGGTGGTGTGTGCCTGTAATCCCAGCTACTCAGGAGGCTGAGGCACGAGAATAGCTTGAACCCAGGAGGCAGAGGCTGCAGTGAGCCAAGATCACACCACTGTACTCCAACCTAAACGACAGAGGAAGATTCCTTCTCAATAAATAAATAAATAAAGTACATTTTCTCTTTTTTATGATTTACTTAGTAACATATTCTTTTCTCTAGGTTGCTTTATTCTAAGAAACAGTACATGATACATATCACACAAAAAATATGTATTAATCGATTGTTTATGTTATCAGTAAGGCTTCTAGTCAACAGTGGGCTGTTCACAGTTAAGTTTTGCGGGAGTCAAAAGTTATACGAGGATTTCCGACTGCACCAGGGTATGTCCTCAACTCCCACACTGTTCAAGGTTCAACTGTGGAAAGAATTCCATGAATGTCTGCTGCTCTGGTTTGTATGTGCGGAGTCTGGGTCTTCATGAATCTAAATGAAGCCAAATCCCTCCCCAGTCCACAGGGCTTTTGGTTGCAACTCAGAATATAGCATTACCTTTTTTTTTTTTTTTAGATGAAGTCTCACTCTGTCACCCAGGCTGGAGTGCAGTGGCATGATCTCTGCTCACTGCAACCTCCGCCTCCCAGGTTCCAGCGATTCTCCTGCCTCAATCTCCGAAGTAGCTGGGATTACAGGTGTGCAGCACCACACCTGGCTAATTTTTGTATTTTTTGGTAGATACGGGGTTTCATCATATTGGCCAGGCTGTTCTCGAACTCCTGACCTCAGGTGACCCACCCATCTTGGCCTCCCAAATTGCTGGGATTACAGGCCTGAGCCACTGCGCCCGGACTAGCATTACCTTTTATCCCCGAAAACCCAGAGGTCAGATGAAGTCAGTGTAGTGCCTCATGTGGCTAATGACTTTCCCTCCATCCCACTTCAGGTTCTCTCCGCATTGCTTCAGCCACCCTGGGTTCCAGGGGGCCCACATGCCCCTTGGGTATTTCTGCAGTGAATCTTGTACATTTTACATTTCTCTCCAGAATATAAGGAAACAAAAGCACAGACAGCGTTTTCTCCTGGCAGTCCTGGTGACTTCTCTGTGTAGGGTTAGTATGGCAGTGGAGATAGCCCAACAGAGTGACCAAGGGACATGTCTTTGTGGCGAACGGAGGTTCCCTTTGTGGCCCAAGTCTGAAAGAAGCAGATGGGGCCATTTTGCAAGCTTTCTACTTAAAGAAAATCAGGAATAGAATAAAAAGGGGTTTTGGACGCACAGGCTCACGCAACAGAGCAGATGCAGGAAGCATCAAGCTGAGTTTTTCGGGAGGAAAAAAAAAGAAATGAGAACCCGAACAAGGCATTCCCCCTACAGTGAAATAAAGACCCCAATGCTCCATTACACTGTCTGTTTAGCTCTCACAGCAGGGGTCCTGGGATTGCAGCCAGGTGCACAAACCAAGGCTATTTGCTGAAAGACAATGGCACCCAGCCTTTAGCCAGTGCAGCCTCGCGCATGTGCTTGGGAGAGCCACAGCCTCCGAGTGGCTATGTTGGTGGCAGCCTGGCAACCTCACGTTTTTCTGAAGGCTGGAGGGGCTGGGGGAGAGGCAGTGTGGAGGAGTTGGCAAGGGCAGTGGGTCTGGGGCTTTAAACAATCTCAAATGCCCTGTGGCTTTCTAAGTCTTTGGTAAATTACCCTTTATTCTCTTTGTTAAGCCTCAGCAGCCTGGAATTGTCTCCTCAAAAGTCAGCCATCTGTTCCCCTCCTGTCTATATTCCGACCGCAAAAAAGGGGCTTAATTTCAGGAAAAGACTATTCTTTCCTTTAAAAATAATGGAAAAGGAGCCAGGCACGGTGGCACGTGCCTGTAGTCCCAGCTACTAGGGGCGTGGGAGGCCTGAGATGGGAGGATCGCTTGAGGCCAGGACTTCTGGGCTGTAGTGCACCATGCCAATAGAGTGTCCACACTAAGTTCAGCATCCATGTGACCTCCCAGCAGTGGGGGACCACCACATTGCCTAAGGATGAGTGAAACCACCCGGGCCGGGAATTGAGCAGGTTCAAACTCCCATGCTGATCAGTAATGGGATCACGCCTGTGAATAGCCACTGCACTCCAGCTTGGGCAACATAGTGAGACCCCGTCTCTAAAGAGAAAAAAAAAATTATAGAAAAAAATAACAGAAAAGGAAATGGAGAAGGGGAAATGAATGAGGATGAAAGTTTTAGAGATATCAAAGAAGAAGGTGGGCATTTCTGAAAGAGAACCCTTAAAAAGCACATTGTGAATTTCTTGGTGACTGGAGTTTGGAGGAGTGGCACATTAGTCAGCATGTTGCTGAACAAAAAAATAATATGTATCAAGCTAGTTTTAAATGCAAGGAACTGGACTAGGTGCTGTGAAAGGGGTTTGCGGGGAAGACTTTCAAGGAATAGTTCTTGAACTCAAGAGAGACAAAGTGTAGAAATTTAAATAACAATGTAAGAAAAAAAACAGCTCAAGAAACGTTGCAAGATGAATGTCAGGTACAGGCTAGAAGTTCTATAATCATCTAGCACAGGGTGCAAGCACTGTGAGCTGAAAAGTTTCAAGGAAGGGAAAGTGAATATAAGGAAATGGAAAAGATCCACAGAGGCACCAAGTTCACTTTCCTATCCAAACAGAATCCTTTCTGCAGCACACAGCTTCTTTTGAAGTATTTTTGATTACAGGCATCCATTACCTCCTCAAGTCCAGCCCTTTTGTTTTGAGAATGTTATTTTTTTTCTAGAAAATTCTCAACACAGAGCTGAGGACTAGCTTTCTTTAACTCTTCTACTCCCTTCTTTTTTCCTTCTAGGCAAGATAGTTTTGCACAGCCCCTCTTTAAACTTGAGGACAATCTCCAGCAGTTCCCGGGTCCTCTCCTCTCAGGACAAAGCACCCCTCCCTGTTTCCCTCATATGGTTGGGAATCTAGCTGTCCTCTGGCCTCATTCTAGTATGGAAATTCTCCTGTCCCCAGGGGGTGCCCAGCCATGAGCCTAGGACTCCAGATGTGATTTTTTTTTCTTTTTTTTTAGATCGAGTCTCACTCTGTCGCCCAGGCTGGAGTGCAGTGGCATGATCTCAGCTCACTGCAACCTTTGCCTCCTGGGTTCAAGCGATTCTCCTGCCTCAGCCTCCTGAGTAGCTGGGATTACAGGCGTGTGCCACCATGCCCAGCTAATTTTTGTATCTTTAGTAGAGATGGGGTTTCACCATGTTGGCCAGGCTGGGCTCGAACTCCTGACCTCAGGTGATCCACTCGCCTCAGCCTCCCAAAGTCCTGGGATTACAGGCATGATCCACCACGCTCCACCTCCAGATATATTCTGATAGATGATTCTACAACCATTATTTATCATTCTCTAAACATGATTCTCCTATCCATACAGCCTAACGTTGCCTTGGGTTTTAGCTACCACACTGTAAGTGGCAAACCTATGATCAACCAAAAAAAAAAAACTCTTCAGTCTTTTCCACTTAAACTTGCTGCTGAGACAGGTGTCCCCTGCTTGAGCAGAATGTCGAGAGGGGCAGATGTGGAGATCAAGTGAAGGTGTTTGGATTGGGGGCAGGTTGGAGCAGTCCAGGTGTTCAGTGAACTGAGGAGCTGCCAGATATCAAAATTTACTTTCAGTCAGGCACGGTGGTGCACCCCTGTAGTCCCAGCTACTTGGGAAGCTGAAGCAGAGGATGCCTTGAGCCCAAGAGTTTGAGACCAGCTTGGGCAATATAGTGAGACCTCGATCTCTAAAAAAATTTTTACTTTAACACTACAATATTAAAATATTTTTATACCAGCATGAATACAGATTGAATAGAATACAGAAACAGAGACATGGAAATTAAGTATATGTTAGAGATTTCTTTTCCAATAAGTAGGCAGCTATGAATTATTCATATACG